>NC_000010.11:35791365-36095647 GCF_000001405.40 Homo sapiens | reverse complement strand
AAGAAGAGTGTGAAGCGGGGAGGCTACACACTTTTTTGTTGTATTTATTAAGTTCTGGGGTACATGTGTGGGTGCGCAGTTTTGTTATATAGGTAAATGTGTGCCATGGTGGTTTGCTGCACCTATCAACCTATCACCTAAGTATTAAGCTCAGCATGCATTAACTGTTTTTCCTGATGCTCTCCCTCCCCTCACCCCTGCTCCTCAATAGACCCCAGTGTGTGTCATTCACCTCCCTGTGTCCATGTGTTCTCATTGTTCAGGTCCCACTTATGAGTGAGAACATGCAGTGTTTAGTTTTCTGTTCCTGCATTAGTTTGCTGAGGTTAATGGCTTCCAGCTCCATCCATGTCTCTGCAAAGGACACAGTCTTATTCCTTTTTATGGCTGCATAGTATTCCATGGTGTATCTGTACCACATTTTCTTTATCCAGTCTATCATTGATGAGCATTTGGGTTGATTCCATGTCTTTGCTATTGTGAATAGTGCTGCAATGAACATATGCATGCATGTATCTTTATGATAGAATGATTTATATTCCTTTGGGTAGATGCCTAGTAATGGGATCACTGGGTCAAATTGTATTTCTGGTTCTAGGTCTTTGAGAAATTACTACGCTGTCTTCCACAATGGTTAAAGTAAAATACACTCTTTTAAATAAACAGATCTTGTGAGAACTCATTCACTATCACGAGAACAGCGAGGGGGAAATCCTCCCCCTTGATCAAATCACCCCCCTCCAGTCCCCTCCTCCAACACTGGGGAATACAATTCAACATGAGATTTGGGTGGGGACATGAATCCAAACTATATCAGGGAGTTTAATGGCAAAGAATGAAGACTTTTTTGAATTAAAAATTTTGGAGGACTATTTTAAACCATAAATGTATAGTATTTCAATAAAAATAAATTTTAACCTAAAAATTAAATTAAGAATTGACTTCACTTCAAGCAGGGTCTGTAATTTTAAACTGGAGCTACACCCAACATTGACATATAGCTACTTATATGTGAGGCTTGAGTCTCCTTCCACTTTCTGGCATGCTTTGTTAATATCATTCAGAGCCATCCAGAAAATACTGTATCTGTCAGAAGAACTCAGCCTCAAAATCTCAAAACATCAGAAAATTTTTTTAAAAAAACTATCACTCTAACTACCTGAGAAATCCAAACCAAACACCAAATATGTTATGGAAAAATATGAACTCCATCATTGCGACTCCTCATGTTACCAGCTGTTCATGGAAAAGCAGAAAATAGAGACGCAGCAGATGATGAGGTAATCTTGTTTCCTACAGGATTTATTCTCTAGAGGGTTATACAGCCACTCGTGTTTTGAATGACTCAAGTACGCGAGTCACTCAGCACTGCTACCCAGGGAAATCTATCCTGTGCTAGCAACAGAGCACCTGCAGTGATGCTATCGCGCAGATGTGCCAGATGGGCTGAGAAACAGGAACGACTCTTGAGGGAAAAAGAGAGACAGGGAAACAAAAGTCTCTGAACAAGTATCCATTGACACCAGCATATCATGTAATTTCCCAGGAAGGAAAGACAGAAACACATAAGGAAAATATTTTTCAATAGTAAATTCAGTGCCATTTCACCTACATTAAAGTTGGTCATGGCAAGAAAAATCAGTGAGACCCTTAACCCAAGATAATTTTGGGGGATATAGAGCAAGATAAGAAAATGACCTGTCCTGCAATAATCACAGGAAATATTTTTGTTCTACTCATCCACATAGTGAGCTGCAAGGCAGAACAATGCGTCCTAAATCATCATGTTTTGTTCAACTTCTGTTTCTTCTGTCCTAGAATGATCCTTTCCTCAGGTTACACTTCCTCTTGTAATTTAGCAGCAAGGATATAATGAATAATAAACTCATCTGTCCTGCTTTCCCTCCACCAACTTGAGACCTTTGCATGGTTTATAATTCATTTATTGAGTACTATGCTAAGCTCTGAGTATATTCATAAGAATAAGATCACCATAGAAGCTATGATTACTACTACTAATGATGACAGCTAACATTTTTGAGTATTTACTATGATCTAGGCATTAAACAAATTATCTTTTAATTCTCACAATGAAAATTATGCCTCAATCTTCTAATCTATAAAAATGAGGCCGATTGTAGTTAAACAATAGTTCTAACTCAAGCAATTGTTATAAAAAAATCAGTCAATGTATGCAAAGTCTTTGGAGCTGTGTCTGATGTATAGAAAATGCTACCGAAGTTGCTATTATGACAGGTGAGTTCATCCAGACCCATGGTTCTACATGCCATTTATATGCCAATGACTTCCAAATCTTGGTCCCTAGCCCTTAAACTCCCTGTAGAACTTCAGATTCATAGGTACAATTGCCAGATTTCATCTTCACATAGACATCTAATGTGGCCAACTCAAATTAACATAGTCAGCAGGACTCTATTTCCTCCTCTACCCCCAAGGAAAAGATCAGCTCTTCAGCCAGTAGACCAAGTAAATTAAGGGTCCCTAACCTAACAGATGATACAGGTCTGTGGCCTGTTAGGAACTGGGCCACAGAGTAGGAGGTGAGCGGCAGGCTAGCGAATGAAACTTCCTCTGTATTTACAGCCACCCCCCACCACTCACATTACTGCCTGAGCTCTGCCTCCTGTCAGATCAGCAGCAGCATTAGATTCTCATAGGAGCGCAAACCCTATTGTGTTCTGTGCATATAAGTAATCTAGGTTGTGCGCTCCCTATGAGAATCCAATGCCTGAGGATCTGTCACTGTCTCACATCCTATCACCCCCAGATAGGACAGTCTCATTGCAGGAAAACAAGTTCGAGGCTCCCACTGATTCTACATTATGGTAAGTTATATAATTATTTCATTATGTATTATAATGTAATAATAAAATAAATAAAGCATACAATAAATGTAATATGCAGCCCGGCATGGTGGCTCACACCTGTAATCCCAGCACTTTGGGAGGCTGAGGTGGACGGATCACCTGAGGTCAGGAGTTTGAGACCAGCCTGACCCACATGGTGAAAACCCATCTCTACTAAAAAAAAAAAAAAAATACAAATTTTGCTGGCCATAGTGGCAGGTGCCAGTAATCCCAGCTACTCAGGAGGCTGACACAGGAGAATTGCCTGAACCCAGGAGGTAGAGGTTGCAGTGAGCCGAGATCACGCCACTGCACACACCAGCCTGGGTGACAGAGTGAGACTCCGTCTCAAAAAAAAAGAAAAGAAAAGAAAAAAAAAATATGCTTGAATCATCCTGAAATCATTGTCTCCCGCCTCCCGCCACTGGTCTGTGAAAAAATTGGCTTCCACAAAACCGGTTCCTGGTGCCAAAAGATTGGAGACCACAGCAGCAAATGATAGTAAATGAGAGTTTGCATCAGACAGCATTTACACAGATTGCACAGCCAACACAGTATAGATTCAAACTTGGTTCAAGTCCATCAGTTACTAGTTGTGTGACTTTGGGCAAATTCCTTACTCTCTTATTACCACCACTTCCTCATTTGTAAAGACGGGAGATAATTATAGTACCTACTTGCTAGGGTTGTGATGAGGAGTTTGTGAGATAGTATAGATCCAAATGCTTAGAACAGTGCCTGATGCGTACAGTGAACACTCTATGAATGTTATAGGTTATCACCATGATCATAGTTAATCATCAGCATATTTTTAATTATTTAAGTCAAACAGCTACAAGTTGTCTTTGATTCTTTCCTATACCCTTCACTCTGACTCTGTCAATAAGTCCTATGGGCTTGTCTCAAAACATATCCCAAATGTAGTCAACTATGTACACCACACCCACGTTTCCACAGTAAGATCAGCTGCCATAACCTCATGCCTGGCTGACTGCAATGGCCCGACAAGCAGTCTCCCTGTTTCCATACATGTGTACTCCCCACCATCCATCTCCAAATCATAATCAGATTGACCATTTTAAAGGTAAGGCAGGTTAAATCGCCCTCCTGGTGAAACCCACAAGTACAGCACTCTCTTCATACCTGGAAAGGTATCCAAACTCGTTACTTAGTGGAGTTTCTGAAGACCAATCACCCTATGTGACCTGAGACAAGCTATATGTATATATATATTGCTCTCTCTATATATATATTGCTCTATGTCTTGGTTTCTTTATCTACAAAATGAAGAGAATGCGAGAAACCACCTCGCAGGCTATTACAAAGATGAAATGTGTTTATAGATGCAAAGTGCTTGGCATAGCTCCAGACACACAGTTCACAGTGTTAGTGCAATTAATGTTTTCATTCACTTCTCCCTCCCTCTCCTCTTCTCCTTCCCTCTCTCTATCACCTGCTACTCTCCAGCTACTAAACAGCTTTTCATCTGTTCTTTGAATAGGCCAAGTTCATTCCTGCCTTGGGATTTTCGAACAGGCTATTCTCCCCACCCAGAATGTTCCTGTACCAGATCCACCCAATGCTTGAAGCCTTCTTGTCTGAATAAATTTAAATATCTCTACAAAAGCCTGTTCCCTGAATACTTGACTATTCCAAAGTACACACCCATTCCTCCCTGTCACATGACCCGATTTTAATTTTCTGGATAATTCTCGTCACTAATTTTATACATAATTGTTTACTTACCTGTTTACTGACTATCACCCCCTCAACACACACTTAAACACACAGAGACCTCCAAACTCCATGAAAGCAAAGATTCTGATTGTCTGGTAGCCTATTGTCTCTTCAAAGTCTAGATTCTTGCTTGCTCTATACTGAGTGTACAATAAATATATTTTTCTGTCATGACAATTTATTTGAGGATCTCTTTAAATACTGACATCAGCTAACAATAATAACATTTATCCCACTGTGTTCACAAAGTTCAGATCACAGTGATATAGGGTACTTAATAAATATATGAATGGTAAAAGTATTTCTATTACGTGTATGTCCAAGGTGAGTATATCCTAACAGTATAAATTTTAAGTATGCATAATTTTTCTACTAGATGCTTTTTAGCACAAGATTCATTTTAATTCATTAGCTGTATAGACTCTATAAGCATGTCAGACAAACCAATAAACATGTAGCATGTTGTATTTGCATATTATACCACATCTACATCTCTTGAGACAAAGTCTGGCTTTGCCAGTAGCCTCCAGATTGGCTGATGGGGAGAATTTGCTAGGATGGTATTAGTGAGGCTGGATTCAGTTGCAAATTGTTTTCCCTCTTTGCAGATGTGAATTAGCTGAGGTGTGAAGTCACCCTCATCTTTTGGCACATTATTGTGGTCCTTGGATGGAGGATTTCTAAAAAAAAAAATAAGCAAAGAATTAAACTGTGGGAGAGCTTGCAGTGCAGCTGGAAATAGCAGTCTCTGATGAGCAAGCTGAGCCAACAACCAAAATTAAATAAGGCTCTGAAAGCAAACCTACCATGGCCCTGCTGTTCTGACATCCCCTGGCTAAGGTCAGCAGCTGGGACAGGCTCCGGTCTTTTGAATACTGCCCTTCAAGACTGACATGGAGCCAAATTTAAAACCAGATGCCTGCATGGAAAGGAAATTAAGAGGAGCCTGAAACATGTTACGTGAGAGTATTATTTGTTTGATCATGTATAACTGAAACTACAACAATTTCAGTCTCAGAACTATATTGGGTAATCAGGAATCATGCTCTGAATGTACCCCAATGTAATTAAGTGAAGTTTTAGGTCTTAATAAAAGACCAATAACTATGTTGCAAAAGCACATGCAGGAACTGAGACCTAATAAGCTACTAACCAAAAATAGTTTTCACTCTGAATGCTTTATGATATTTATAGAGACATTAATGCTTTATAGTTCTCAGAATGGGTCCACATGTTCCACAAAGGAGATATTTCCTTATTTTCTAGGGGTTAAACATCTTTCTTCAACCAACGACCATACTTTGAGCTTCTCAATAACTTTATTTAAAACCAACCAATTAAAGGAACCAACCAAGGAAGCTCCATTACTGAAGCTAGAGAGTCACACATTCATTCGTCCTGGCACCGAAAGTGGTGAACATAGAAAATACGTTTTTAAAGAATATCACAAGGAGATCCCTTCTTACATTTTTGTAATATACATAGTAAGAATGTGAGCAATTCAGAGTTTTACCAACGCAGGAAAAGCTTTCTTGGTACTAACATAATATTGAAACTTGGTGAATCGTATTTTTTCAGCCATAAAACTTGCAATCATGACAGGAGGGATATTTCCTTTTCTCTGAAATTAATTTGCTCATTTCTAACATTCAGAAATACGTTCTCATTTTTCTGAAATACCACCAACATTTTCCTGGAACTTTACTTCGGCCTCTTTCCCTGTAATGTGAGACAGTCTGATACATCTGCAGTGCCCTTGCTATATGTAAGTAGAGAAAAAGTGGTTACAATTTTCCCACTGATTCTGGGTGGGTGGAGGGAGGAAGAAGGCCCATTCAACAAGTACTGACTGATGATTCCCTGTGCTCTGCTGTGTTCTCAGGCATTACACGCTATGACTAGGCACCGGGCTGGGTCAACTCTACGCCAAGGTTATATTCAGGGTCGTATACTTGATTGAAACACTCTTCACTCCAGACATTTCTGTTCTCTAGAATGTAAATTTCATTACTTCAGAGACAGCATAACTTTGAACAATAATATAAATGGACAATAATTGGCAAAATGAGGTGAGTAACAAAAGTAACAATTCTCCATAAGGCTCTGTGATCATAAGAATGTAACAGAAATATTAAAAATGTGTTTCTACATGTAAAAATTAATGTGGAAGCGAGAGTGGAGGACATTGTAGGTCTTCTCTTGAATTCATAACATTTAAAAGCTATTGAGTTTTGACTAGAAATTCAAATAAAGTAAAAACCTAAAAACTCACTAAATAATTTATTTCTAATTATTTTCACAGTACAGCATTTAAATTATTATGTTTGAAGTTTATGAGATACAAGCAAATGACATTTTACCATCTATAGAAATGTACAATTTTTGGGCGGGCGCAGTGGCTCATGCCTGTAATCCCAGCACTTTGGGAGGCCAAGGTGGGCAGATCATGAGGTCAGGAGATCAAGACCATCTTGGCCAACATGGTGAAACCCCATCTCTACAAAAAATACAAAAATTAGCCGGGTGTGGTAGCGGGCGCCTGCAGTCCCAGCTACTTGAGGGGCTGAGGTGGGAGAATTGCTTGAACCCAGGAGGTGAGGGCTGCAGTGAGCCGAGATCATGCCACTGTACTCCAGCCTGGGCAACAGAGCAAGACTCTGTCTCCAAAAAAAAAAAAAAGGAAAGAAAGAAAAGAAATGTACAATTTTCTTCTGAAACATAAAATTCACAAAAATTATTTGTCACAGCGGAAGGTGAGTACTGGCCGGGAAGACTGATGAAAGTGAGCAAAGATATTGGTGAAGTCCAGCGAGTAAACAAGTGTGTCCCTGCTGTCCAGAATCACCTGCAAATGTTCTCAAATGTGCTGGTCCTCGCTCTCAGACGTTGCTTTTTCCTCTTTTTGAATTAAGAATTCCTATGACCTGGTTAAGCAAATACTCAGTGGAAGGACAGCCTATATTTCATGACGAAATGCAAGGGAAAATAATGCACACCTTGTCTTTCTACGACTAATGCAAAATCTAATCATTCATTCCATTCCATGGCCCACACTGGGTTGAAACAGCCATAGCCTGTCTGCCAGGTAAAAAGACTTAATGTCCCTCTTGAGAAGAAATTAACTGCTAACACAGACGGAGGTGAAATGGAGTCTGTCTTCTGTCCTCAATGCAGCCATTTTTCTCTTTTACTCTCTCTCTTCCGTTCAAGCAGAATGAAAACTTGGATCTTTGCCTTGAGCAAATTCGCTTCCAAGGCTCCAAATCTGGGACCCTGTTGAATTGCAGAGGTTAGCTTCTCTTGTAGCAATTCTAAAATCAGTCAAGGCCAGCACTCACAAGGGTAGGAATGAGGCAAGGTGGTGGTCCACTTCCCAAGTCTCACATTGCTCATGTGGGAACCCTGCTCCTGTTTTCCTTATTCAGAAAAACCTTGCTGGCTTAGCTGATACTGCAAATTAACATAGCCCAGAAGGGCAATGGCAGCAAACCAAAACATACTCAGGTGTGTGACTCAGGCTTCCCCAGCCTGCGTGGCTGTGGCTTTCTATCCTAGGATATCAGGTAGGAGAGGGATGAGGGGGTCGTGGTCCAGTTGTAGACTCAGCCTTTCGACCAGAAAGAATCCTCTTCTGCCACGATGATGTGTCTCTTCCACAAAGTGGCAATGTATGTTTACAGAACAGAAAACTAAAAGAAAACTTGATGTACTACTCAGGGTTCCCCAGAGAAGCAGAATTGATAGGATGTGTATATGTATAAAGAGAGCGATTATAAAGAATTGGCTCAAGGAATTATGGAGGCTGGCAAGCCCCAAGGTCTGCAGGGTTAGCTGGCAAGTTGGAGATTCAGGAAAGCAGATGGTCTGGTTCCAATCCAAGTCTGAAGGCCTGAGAAGCCAGAGAGCCCAAAGGCAGGGAAAAGCTGATGTCCTGCTCTGAAGGTCAACACAGAGGAAGAATTCTTTTTTACTTAGGGAAGGTCACCTTTTTATTCTATTCAGGCCTTCTGCTGATTGGACGAGGTCACTCTGCGTAGTTCAGTCTACAAACTTAAATGTTAATCTCATCCAAACACAGCCACAGAGAAACACCTGTATTAATGTTTGACCAAATACACGGGCACCCTGTGGCCCAGCCGAGTTGACACATGAATTAACCTTCACATGCTAGTTCATCTGATGTGCAGCCCCAGTACAGACAGCCTGACCTCACATCTACTCCAAGTCCACTCTTAACTCCAGCTCACAATAAATGTGTAGAGTGTTTGGATGCTTCCTTCCTTTGGTCTTCTTAACTTGGTATAGGATCAAGCCACTTTTATTCCATAAACTTAGTGTAGAGCCAGATATGATACCAGTTTACTTCATTCTTTATTAATATCTCTTTTCTTATTCCTCTTCACCCTTTCATTTTAATCAGTGCTAAAACAAATGTTCTAATTACCTAACAAAAGTTCATTATACATTATCAATTAGCCTATAATGCATGAAAGCAATAATTGGTATTTCTTCATGTAACTTCTCAATCAAAGGAAAAAATCAACTGATTCTTGACAAAGGAGCAAAGATAATTTAGTGGAAAAGGGTAGTCACTTCAAAAAATGTACAAACAATTGTACAAAAAAAATTAGCCTACACTCAAATCCTGTATGTTTCATAAAAAAATTAACTCAAATGAATTACAAAGCTAAAAGTATGATATGAAACCACAAAAGTTCCAGGAAAAAAGCATAAAATATCTATATGATCTTGGTTTTGGTGATGAGTGTATTAATATAATATCAAAAGCATAATCCATGAAAGAAAATATTGACAAATTGAACTCCATTAAAATAAAAAACTTCTGCTCTGCCAAAGAGGCTGTTAAGATAATAGAAAGACAAGCTACACACTGGAAGACCATATCTGCAAAACATGATCAAATAAAGAAATTGTATCCAAAAATACAAAGAACCCTTGAAACTCAAAAATAACAAAACGAAAACCCAGTTAGAAAATGGTCGAAAAGTCTCAACAGACACCTTACCAAAGAAGATATACAGGAGAAAAAATAAGAAGAAAACATGTTCAACAGCATTAGTCACTAGAGACTTGCAAGTTAAAATAAAAATGAGATACCACCATAAGCCATACTACCATTTAGAAGGACTAAAATTTAAAAATCAGACAATACTAAATGGTGGCCAGAATGCAGAATAACAGGAACTCTCATTTATTACTGGTGGAAATGAAAATGGTACACTCACTTTGGAAAAGAGCTTGGCAGTTTTCTTACAAAGCTAAGCACAGTTTTATCATATGATCCAACAATCGAACTCTTAGATATTTATCCAACTGATTTGAAAATTGATGTCCACACAATCAGATGTACACAAATTGTTTACAGAAACTTTATTCATAATCACCCAAACTAAAAGCAACCAAGATGTCCTTCAATAGGTGAATGGATGAACTCATTGTGGTGCCTTCATACAATAGAATATTATTCAGCAATAAAAATAAATGAACTATCAAGTCATGAAAACGCATGGAGGAATCTCACTCAAAAAACAGCCAGTATGAAAAAGCTACAGATTGTATGAGTCCAATTAAATTGCATTCTGGAAAAGGCAAAGCTATAGTAATAACCGTGTGAAAGATCAGCAGTTGACAGGACAGAAGAGGTGGAGTGTTGAAAAGTTGCCCTATTATTAAATATCTTCATGAGTGCAGGTATTTTTAAAGTTGTTTAGGAGTTTGGTGGATATCAGGACAGAATGTAGCCTGGAGAGAAAAGAAAAAGAATGTAATTGTATTACAAATGCATGAAATCACTGCACTGAAGGGAGTGGGAGGGGGAAAAGGTGCTGACCTTAGTAACTCTGGAAATGTGTGGACTCTATAAGCCTGAAGGCAAAGAGAGTTTCACATGAACAGTGAACTGTAGTCAATACAGTTATTTTCCACAGGGTCTGGGTTAACAATTCTGATACTGGTATATATGTATACTAGAATTGAACAACTGAGTAAATGAATGGTGGTTAAGGAAGTCATGGGAGTGTGGGTTTACAGGTAGGTTAGGAAAGGAGGCTGTAATGATCTATATGGTAGTGGACTAGAGTTGGAGACATCGGTATGAACCCATATTTAGCTTAACACAGATAGAGATGGGCTCATGTAGAAATATATAGAGACAAGTGTATTTAAGCAGTTAAAGTACATCATCTGGTGCATATATTTCCTTCTTCTTAGCTCAGTGGGCTGAGAAGAACAACACCCAGGAGCAATGGGCATACTTGGCACCCAGATCTTGGTTTCTAGTATTATCCTCCAATAAAAGGAACCACAGCTGCTTGGATAAACTGCTGGTTGTGGGACTGAAGCAGAAAATATACAAGATGAGTGTGGAGCATCTTGTAGTCCCAGAAGGTAAGAAGGAGTGTTTAGAAAAAACGAATGGAGGAGGGGCCAAGATTACTGAATGGAAGCAGCTGTGGTTCGTGGCGCTCACAGAGAGGAACGAAGGGGGCGAATGGATACAGCACCTTCAACTGGAATATCCAGGCTCTGGCCTTGGGACTGATAGTGAAACAACTGAACCCTTGGAGGATGAAGAAAATCAGGGCAGAGCGATAGCCCACTTGCGAGTGACATGGAGCCAAGGGAACCTCTACCCCAGCCGAGGAAAATGGTGAGCGAATGTGAGGCCCCAGGAAACCACGCTTCTCCCATGGATCTCTGCAATCCTCAGAGCAGGAGATCCCCTCGTGAGCCCACACCAGCAGGGCGTTGGGTCTGACACACAGACTTGTGTAGTCTCAGCAGAGCAGCTGCTCAGGCACACAGAGAACTTGACATACTCTGCCCCAGGATCCCCGCCAAGGTGGGAGGTCTGTACATACCCCCAGGAAGGGGGGAGAATGCAGGGAGACGAGCAGCGTTGGTCTGTGGGCTCTGCTTCTACTGCACATCACAAAATAAGACCCACTGACTCAGAATTCCAGCCAGCCACCAGCAACAGGGTGGAGCCTGCCTGAGATGGGATAGAGCCCCTGAAAAGGGGTGGGCTGCTATCTCTGCTGTTTGGTCAACTCAATCATTCCAGCCTGCGGGCTTTGGAGACTCCAAATGGTCCCGATGAGGAAAGGTCCCCCCAGTGCAGTACCGCTGCTTTGCCTGAACCTGGTCAGACTGCTTTTTTTTTTCTTTTAGACGGAGTCTCACTCTGTTGCCCAGGCTGGAGTGCAAATGGCACCATCTAGGTTCACTGCAACCTCTGCCTCCCTGGTTCAAGTGATTCTTCTGTCCCAGCCTCCCAAGTAGCTGGGATTACAGATGCCTGCCACCATGCCCAGGTAATTTTTGTATTTTTAGTAGAGACGTAGTTTCGCCAATGTTGGCCAGGCTGGTCTCGAACTCTTGACCTCAGGTGATCCGCCCACCTCGGCCTCCCAAAGTAGACTGCTTCTTTAAGTGGGACCTCAACCCACTCCCCCTCACTAGGTGGGACCTCCCAGCCAGAGCCTCCAGCTACCCTTGCCTACCCATATTCTACGGACAGAGCTCTGATCTCTCCCTGGGACAGTGCCTGCGGGGAGGGGAGGCCCCATCACCTTGGCTATTTGGGCAACTCAGCCATTCCAACCTGTGGGTTCTCCAGGCTGACCACGGCAGAAGCAGTTCCCCAGCATGGCTATTTTGTCAAGGCATGGTCAGACTGCTTTTTAAATGGGGCCCACATCCACTTCTCCTCACTGGGTGGGTCTTCCCAACCAGGGCCTCTGGCCATCCCCACCCATGTTCTACAGCTGACTGAGTTCTAATTTCTCCCTGGGGCAGAGTGCCCAGGGGGCAGGGCAGGCCACCACCTTGACTGTTTGGGTATCTCAGCCAGTCCAGCCTATGGGCCTTGGAGAGACCAAACTGACTGGGGGCTGAAGAGATCCAGTGAAGGATTTCACCAACACAGCACAGCTGCTCTACCAAAAAGCAGTCAGACTGCTTCTTTAAGTGAGTCCCTGATACCCTTTCACCTGACTGGGTGAGAACTCCCAACTGGGGTCCTCCAGCCACCTCTTACAGGCGTGTTGAGGCTGGCAACAGGTCAGTACACCCCTCAGATGGAGCTTCCAGAGGAAGGCACAGGCTGCCATCTATGCCATTTCACAGCCTCCACTGGTGATACCTCCAGGTACTTGAAGAACTGAGGTGACTAGATCTGGAGTGGATTCCCAGAAAACGGCAGCAGCCCTACGAAAGAATGGGTAGACTTTTAGAAGAAAAACAAACAACAGCAACAACAAAACCAAAAACTCCATCCAAAGGTCAGCAGCCTCAAAAATCAAAGGTAGATAGGCCCACAAAGATGAGAAAGAATCAACATAAAGATGCTGAAAACTCAAAAATCCAGAGGGCCCCCTCTCCTCCAAATAACTGCAACACCTCTCTAGCAAGGGCTCAGAACTGGGCTGAGGCTGAGATGGCTGAAATGACAGAAGTAGGCTTCAGAAAGTGAATAAAAACAAATTTTGCTGAGCTAAAGGAGATATTGTAACCCGATTCAAAGAAACTAAGAATCAGGATAAAACAATGCAGGAGCTGACAGCCAAAATAGCCAGTATGGAGAGGAACATAACCAACCTGATGGAGCTGCAAAACACACCACAAGAACTTCACAATGCAGTCACAAGTATTAATAGCAGAATAGACCAAGCGGAGGAAAGAATCTTGGAGCTTAAAGAGTATCTTTCTGAAATAAGACAGGCAGACAAGAATAGAGAAAAAAAAGAATGAGAAGGAATGAATAAAACCTCTGAGAAATACGGGATTATGTAAAGAGACCAAATCTACAACTAACTGGGGTACCTGAAGGAAACAGGGAGAATGGAGCCAATTTAGAAAACATATTTCAGGATATCATCCAGGAGAACTTTTCTAAGACAGGCCAACATTCAAAATCAAGAAATGCAGACAACTCCAGTAAGATACTCCATGAGAAGATCAACCACCAGACACATAATCATCAGATTCTCCAAGATCAAAATGAAAGAAAAAATGTTAAGGGAAGCCAGAGAGAAGGGCCACGTCACCTACAAAAGGAACATCAGACTAACAGCAGACCTCTCAGTAGAAACCCTACAAGCCAGAAAAGACTGGAGCCAATATTCAACATTCTTAAAGAAAAGAATTTCCAACCCAGAATTTCATGTCCTGCCAAACTAAGCTTCATAAGCAAAGGAGAAATAAGATCCTTTTCAGACAAGCAAATGCTGAAGAAATTTGTTACCACCAGACCTGCCTTACAAAGCCTCCTGAAGGAAGAACTAAATACTGAAAGGAAAAACTGTTACCAGCCACTACAAAAACACACTGAAGTAGACAGACCAGTGACATTATGGAGCAGCCACATAAACAAGTCTGCAAAATAACCAGCTAGCATCATGATGATGGAATCAAATTCACACATAACAATACTGACCTTAAATGTAAATGGGTTAAATGCCCCAATTAAAAGACATAGAATGCAAGCAAGATAAAGAGTCAAGCCACATCAGTCTGCTGTCTTCAAGAGAGCCATCTCAGGTGCAAAGATACACTTAGGCTCAAAATACAGTGATGGAGGAAAATTTGCCAAGTAAATGGAAAATAGAAAAAAGCAGGAATTACAATCCTAGTTTCTGACAAAACAGACTTAAACCAACAAAGATCAAAAAAGCAAAGAAGGGCATTACATGATGGCAAAGGGTTCAATTCAACAGGAAGAGCTAACTATCCTATATGCACCCAATACAGGAGCACCCATATTCACATAGCAAGTTCTTAGAGACCTACAAAGAGACTTAGACTCCCACACAATAATAGTGGAAGACTTTAATACCCCACTGTCAATAGTAGACATCATCAAGACAGAAATTTAACAAAGAAATTCAAGACCTAAACTAAGCTCTGAATCAAGTGGACCTGATAGACATCTACAGAACTCTCCACCCCAAAACAAAAGAATATACATTCTTCTCATTGCCACGTGGCCTTACTCTAAAATTGATCACATAATTGGAAGTAAAAGAGTCCTCAGCAAATGCAGAAGAACTGAAATCATAACAAGCAGTCCTCAGACCACAGAGCAATCAAATTAGAATTCAAGATTAAGAAGTTAACTAAAAACCATACAACTACGTGGAAATTGAACAACCTGCTCCTGAATGACTTTTGGGGAAAAAATGAAAGTAAGTCAGAAATCAAGAGGTTCTTTGAAACTAATGAGAAGAAAGATACAGTGTACTAGAATCTCTGGGAGGCAGCCAAAGCAGTGTTATGAGGGAAATTTACAACACTAGATGCTTACATTGAAAAGCTAGAAAGATCTCAATTTAACAACCTAACATCATAACTAAAAGACCTAGAGAACCAAGAGCAAACAAGCCCCAAAGCTAGCAGAAGACAAGAAATAACTAAGACCAGAGGTGAACTGGAAGGAAATAGAGACACAAAAAAATACCTTCAAAAATCAACAAATCCAGCAGTTGTTTTTCTGCAAAAAAATTAATAAAATAGACCACTAGCTAGACTAATAAAGAAGAAAAGAGACAAGATTCAAATAAACATAATCAGAAATGATAAGGGGGATATCACCACTGACCCCACAGAAATACAAACAACCATCAGAGAATACTATAAACAACTCTATGCACATAAATTAGAAAATATAGAAGCAATAGTTAAATTCCTGGACACATGTACCCTCCCAAGATTGAATCAGGAAGAAATTGAATATGTGAACAGACCAATAACAATTCTGACACTGAAGCAGTAATAAATAGTCCACCAACCCAAAAAAGCCCAGGACCAGGCAGATTTATAGCTGAATTCTACCAGAGTTACAAAGAAGAGCTGGTACCATTCCTAGTGAAACTATTCCAAAAAATTGAAAAGAAGGGACTCGTCCATAACTCATTCTATGAGGCCAGCATCATCCTGATACCAAAACCTGGCAGAGATACAATAAAAAAGAAAATTTCAGGCCAATATTCTTGATGAACATTGACGCAAAAGTTCTTAACAAAATACTGGCAAACCAAATCCAGCAGCACATCAAAAAGCTTCTCCACAACGATCAAGTAGGCTTCATCCCTGGGATGCAAGGCTTATTCAAAATATGCAAATCAATAAATGTGATTCATCGCATAAACAGAACTAAGGGCAAAAACCACATAATTATCTCAATAGATGCAGAAAAGGCCTTCAATAAAATTCAACATCACTTCCTGTTAAAAACTCTCAATAAACTAGGTATTGAAGGAATATACCTCAAAATAATAAGAGCCATTTATGACAAACTCACAGCCAATATCATACTGAATGGGCAAAAGCTGGAAGCATTCCCCTTGAAAACTGGCACAAGACAAGGTTGCCCTCTCTCACCACTCCTATTCAACATAATATTGGAAGTTCTGACTAGGGCAATCAGGCAAGAGAAAGAAGTAAAGGATATTCAAATAGGAAGAGAGAAAGTCAAACTATCTTTGCTTGCAGATGACATAATCCTATATCTAGAAAACCCCATCATCTCAACTGAAAAGCTTCTTAAGCTGATAAACAAGTTCAGCAAAGTCTCAGGATACAAAATCAATGTGCAAAAATCACTAGCATTTCTATACAACAATAACAGGCAAGCCAAGAGCCAAATCATGAATGAACTCCCATTAACAACTGTCACAAAAAGAATAAAATACCTAAGAATACAGTTAACAAGGGAAGTGAAAGATCTCTTCAAAGAGAACTATAAATAACTGCTTAAATAAATTAGAGATGACACAAACAAATGGAAAAACCTTCATGCTCATGGATAGGAAGAATCAATGTCGTGAAAATGGCCGTAGTGCTCAAAGAAATTTATAGATTCAATGCTATTCCCGTTAAACTATCATTGACATTCTTCACAGTATTAGAAAAAATGTATTGTAAAATTTATATAGAACCAAAAAAGAGCCCGAATAGCCAAGGCAATCCCAAGCAAAAAGAACAAAGCTGGAAGCATCATGCTTCCCGACTTCAAACTGTACTACAGGGCTACAGTAACCAAAACAGCATGGCACTGGTATAAGAACAGACACACAGACCAATGGAACAGAATAGTGAATGAGTAACAAGATCACACACCTACCACCACTTTATCTTTGACAAACCTGACAACAACAAGCAATGGGGAAAGGATTTCCTATTTAATAAATGGTGCTGGGAGAACTGGCCAGCCATATGCAGAAAATTAAAACTGGACCTCTTCCTTACACTATATACAAAAATCAACTCAATTTGGATTGAAGACTTAACTATAAAGTCCAGAGCTATAAAAACCCTAGAATAAAACTGAGGCAATACTATTCAGGACACAGGCACAGGCAAAGATGTCATGATGAAGGTGCCAAAAGCAATTGCAACAAAAGCAAAAATTGAAAAATGGTATCTAATTAAACTAAAGAACCTGTGCACAGCAAAAGAAACTTCAACAGAGTAAACAGACAACCTACAGAATGTACGAAAATATTTGCAAACTACCCATCTGACAAAGTTCTAATATCCAGTATCTGTAAGGAACTTAAACAAATTTACAAGAAAAAAATAACCCCATTAAAAAGTGGGCAAAGGACACGAACAACAGACACTTCTCAAAAGAAGACACATACGTGGCCAACAAACATGAAAAAAAGCTCAACATCACTTATCATTAGAGAAATGCAAATCAAAACCAAAATGAGATACCGTTTCACATATTAGTAAATAATCAAAAAACAACAGATGCTGGTGAGGTTGTTGAGGAAAAGGAACAATTTTACACTGTGGGTGGGAGTATAAATTAGTTCAGCCATTGTGGAAGACAATATGGCAATTCCTTAAAGACCTAGAGGCAGAAATATCATTCGACCCAGCAATCCTGTGACTGGGTATATGCCCAAAGGAATATAAATCATTCTATCATAAAGACACATGAACTCATATATTCATCACTGCAGTATCACAATGGCAAAGACAAAAAAAAAAAAAAAACCTAGGTGCCCATCAATGATAAACTGGATACAGAAAATGTGGTACCTATACACCATGGAATATTATGCAGCCATAAAAAGAATGAGATCATGTTCTTTACAGGGACATGGATGCAGCTGGAGTGCATTATCCTTAGCAAACTAACACAGAAATGGAAAACCAAATACCACATGTTCTCACTTATAAGTGGGAGCTAAATGATGAGAACACATGGACACATGGGTGTGAGCAACACATACTTGGGCCTGTCTGATGGTGGAGCATGGGAGGAAGGAGAGGATCAAGAAAACTAGCTAATGGATGCTGGGCTTAATACCTGGGACGATCTGTGCAGCAAACCGCCATGGCACACATTTACCTATGTAACAAACCTGCACATCCTGCACATGTACTCCTGAACTTAAAAGGTGGAAAAGAAAAAACTAATGGTGGGGTAGGTCAAAAAAGCACCAGGGTCAACTTAAAGAGCCCCGATAACCAAAGCTAGAACCACCTGAGCAACAAGTCAGAAAAATAGTATTGGATTATTGCCCAAAGCACAAAATAAATATCTATGAATCCAGAGTGATATAAATATGTGATTCAATCAATAAATGAGAAAGAAGAAATGTCTCCTATGCAGAAGAATTACAGACAATTTACATAGCTGCTCTGCCCTCCATGAGGTGGATTCTAACTCCCCACTCCTGAAGTGTAGGCTGGGCACTGTAACTTCCAAAGAGTGCAGTATGGAAGAGAGAGGGAAAAAGAGTAATTTTGCAGTGGGGAAAACTGACAACAACCTCAGCCAGGCAATCAGGTTTGTCATCGCTAGCGGTAAGTCATGTTGATTGTATGTG
This sequence comes from Homo sapiens, assembly GCF_000001405.40. Taxonomy (NCBI): domain Eukaryota; kingdom Metazoa; phylum Chordata; class Mammalia; order Primates; family Hominidae; genus Homo; species Homo sapiens. The sequence goes on along the minus strand of NC_000010.11, from coordinate 36,077,181 downwards.
CTCTCAATGAAGTGATGGAAATGGCACATTACTTCAATGGTCTTCCTCCCAAGAAACCACAACCCCAGGCTAATCATGACAAAAAACAGCAGGCACCCCCATGTGAGGGACATTCTACAAGATACCTGACTAGTACTCCTCAGACTTGTCAAGGTTATCAAAAACAAGGAAAGTCGTCTGAGAAACTCACAGCCAAGAACTCCTAAGGAGGCAGGAGACCAAATGTACTGTATTCTGGATGGGATCTTAGAACAGAAAAAAAAGATGTTAGACAAAAACTTGTGAAAATTTAATAAAGTGTGTCCTTTAGACAATAATACTATATCAATACTGGTTCATTGTTACAAATATACCAAACAAATGTAAATATTAATCGTAGGATAAACTGGGTGTGGAGCCTATAGGCACTCTCTGTACTGTTCTCACAATTTTTCTGCAAATTTAAAACTGTTCTTTAAAAAAAGTTATTTACAAAAGGATAAATGTCTCATCTAGTTTCTTGTTACCTTTTAAGTTTTATTCCAAGCATTCCACTACAGTTAGAAAAACTATTATCCAAAAATTCTACTTTGAAATTTATTATATAAATATCACCATAAGTAAGTTTATATTATTTGCTGTAAGGAGTCAATCACACTGATTAATTAATCTTTTCTCTCAGTTTTTAAGAGTTTTTCTTTAAAAACTCATTTCAAATAAAAATATAAAAATGACATATATCCTCTATCTCAGAGGTTACTCTGACTCCTATAAAATGAAGAGAATGTTTCAGACCAGCCATATATTCAAGGATTTTTTTTAATTGTTCTGGATGACAATTTACTCCCTATGCTCTAATGCTTTTTGGTATTCTGTTTAATAGCTTTACATGCCAAAATGCATAAGACAAAATATCAGAAACCTGAATAAGTGTTTGAATTTGATCTCATTGCCATCAGGCAAGACCATATCTAAAAAGACAAGTGGACAATAGCCTCACCTACCTCTGTGTAACCACTAGAGAAGACATTCTGTCTGTCTCCCATATTTGTACTAATCCCCCTGTCAAGGTCCTTCCTTAAGCCTGAGTTGAATCCTATGTGCTGCTGCCTAATTCTATTTCTTCCTATTATCTTTTCAAATAAAGATGGGAAATACTTACTGGCCAATTTCTGTGCAGCAACCATGCATGGTATATAAAAATCATCATTAAATAACCATTCTTTTCAGATGAAATGTGCATAGTCCTTTAATCTTTTCAATTCAAGGCTGAGCCATTTGTCATCTTGTAGGTGGTTATCTGAACACTTTTCTAATTGCTACAGTCGTGTCTTTAGCACAGCACCGAAGAGTAAAACTTGACATTCAAGACAAATATTTGAAAATCCCTGTGTGATCGTGGAAGAAAAAAATAGTCTATGAAAAGAATAAGGTTACCTAATTTTATCATTGAGAATGGATTTTAACTGAAAACATTCTCTATTAGAATTTCAACCTTCCTTTTGTGCGTTTGGATACAAAAGAGAGTGCAGAATCTGATAGACTATAACTTTTTAAAGCACAACCCTCCCATGTGACTATTAAAACACGGGCTATTTATTGAAACATCAGGGTGAGATGGATTGGTGGGCAAATTTTTATCCAATACTAAGTAGCCATAGAAAAAAATGCTTGATACTTTGCCATCCCTGGCAGCTCTCATCTCAGGCAGCAAGGCTCCTTGAACTGTGAAAAGGCTTTCCTGCTGTTCACAGTGTCTGCAGCCATACAGCTTTTGGAACACAATTTAACTGATTTTGTCCAATGAGCCTAGAGAGACATAATCACCTTCTCCTCTGGACGCTGCAGGAGATCCTCTCCCATATGAAGGCCTGGTCACTTGGACCTACAAGAATAGGATTAATTCATTGCTTTCATAAATGCAACGAGTTACTTATGTGAACACAAAGGAATGTGTACCTAACACACGTAGCACCGGCCTGCCATCTAATAAGGTCTCAGAAGAAAAGCTAGTGCTTTTTTGAAAAAAAGGAATTTACAGATTACAAATTTGAGACCTTGTAACTGTGGTAGAAAGGTTGTTTTTTCCCCATAATTTTGTTAATGAGAATTGTGTGTGTGTGTTTGTGTGTGTGTGTGTGTGTGAGAGAGAGTGAGAGAGAGAGAGAGAGAGAGAGATATTTACTCTGTTTGCTTGGTTATATGGAATTTATTTCACCTGCTCTCTTCCCTACAGCACTCACATCCTCAGAGGTTTAGCAGAGGTCAATTTGACACTCCCCATCTCAGCCAGTGTGCGAAACCAAATTTTAAGCTGCTGATGAGGAAATTAAGTGCTGTGACACCTGACTATGCCTTTCTCTTCTCCACCTCTCACCACAGGCTTCAGTTCTGGAGACCCCTACACGTGATCCCCTGTTGTGGCTTCACTCTTCTCTCTTCATTCTCCTCCCTGACTGTTTCTTTTCCATCTCTATCTCAAAAGCCATAGAACGAAGCATCCCCTTCTCCCACACACAAAATCCCAGCAACCTCATCCTTCAAACTTAACAAGTTCCTATCTGGTTCGTGATATACCAAGACACTGAAATACCACCAATACCCATGCAGTCAATGCTGTGGTTCTGTTGTTTTCAGCAACAGAGAAATAAGTGTAGTGCCTATGGGTATAAAGCAATGTGCCCACAAAACTGCCTTCCCAAACGTATACATTGAAGATGGTTATCCTTTATCCTTCTCCTCTTGAACTCCATGAAATGCCCCTGAATACCTGTCTTTTCAGTAGTCTGTGAATCTTCATATAATCTTCCATATAATATGGTCTTACATCATCCCTAAAGATGATAATTACCGGGCCGTAATTTTCAAGACTGTCCCAAGGTGGAAGGCATCTACTGGTGCCAGGGGTTGGAAAAGACATTCTTAAGAAAAAGCAGTACTCTAGGTCTGTGATTGTCAGTATTTACCTGTAAACAAGATAAAGTGAGGTAATGATTTCAGATGTGCAAAATACTTATGGCTAATTTATCCAGGTAATTGAGATGCATTTGACATTTGTCACATGAGGCATCAGGATTTAAACTTTTCCTAAGAAGTCACTAAAGAATTTCCTCTTGAGAGATTTTCCTTCTCAAAAATGATGATGCTTTTCTTTACTTAACCTAATCTCCACCAGCATCTACCTCCTGCTTGGACGTGCTCACACCAAGAAGCACAAGCCCGTGCTTGTTGCTAAGCAGCAGCTCTGCTTTGAAATAAGAAATACTTTCAGCTCACACCTGTAATCCTAGCACTTTGGGAAGCCAAGGTGGGTGGATTTCCTAAGGCCAGGAGTTTGAGACCAGCCTGGACAACATGTCAAAAACCCTGTCTCTACAAAAAAATACAAAAAAAGATTAGCCTGGCATGGTAGCATGCACTTATAGTCCCAGCTACTCAAGAGGTGAGGTGGGAGGATTGTTTGCGCCCAGGAAGTCGAGGCTGTAATGAGCTGTGATCGTACCACCACACTCCAGCCTGGGTGACAGAGAGAGACCCTCTAAAAAAATTTTTTTTAAGTATGTGTATTCATGATTCATCTTTGGACGTGCAGTGTATTTGAATCTTCTTGATGGAAGAAATATATCACAACACATGGCTCATTTACAAGATTCTGAATAAGACCGGCCATGAGGGGAGTTATTAGAACAGAACAACTACACACCAGAAACCCAGACCTCTGGGTTGGGGCTAGGTTGTAGCTTTCATCTCAGACCTTGAGAAGCTCCATTAGTGGAAAAGAATCTAATGTGACAGCTTGGTCACATCCTATCTATTAGGAGCCACGTTCTGGACTGAGGGGTACACAGTAGGGACCCTGCTTTTTGAAGACAGGCAACTTCTGCTCAAACCGACATATTCAAAAAAACACAAAGTGTACACAGGGAGCACGACCCCGAATCAGACTTGCATCCCATTATAAAGAGATTGCATTCTTTAAACTGTGCTAAAGGGGCATCTAAACCATCTGTCTTCTGCTTCTTGGTGGCCTGTCACAAAGAGTCTGACTCTAAACAGGAAACATTTCCAGGTTATAAATAGAAAGGGCATGACAAATATATTTTGCCTGAAGAAAAATATTAATGAAATAAATAAACCCAAATTTTGGTAAGGTGTCAGCCAAAATATGTTCATCACTGTCAGTTTGAGTCAGCCACACAGCATTTCCCAAGTTAAGAACAGCTCGAGGCTGTTGCTAAATTGGGATTATAAAAGATGTCTTCATACACAGAGTCTGTATTTCCAAGGAAGAAGCAGGATGAATTTCCCCCTACTCTCTATATAAAAGAAAAACTGAAAACTACCTGGAGGAAAGCCTCCCTGCTTATGTTTTATTTTTGTTGCTTTCATCCTTTCCCCATCCTCACCACCACTGCGTCCAGTAGAAGGAATTACTTGACTCCATCCATCCAATGTGCAATCGCTATACAGTTCTGGAATGTAATTGCCTGGGTTTTAAATCTTGGCTCCCCAACGTGGCTCTATGACAGCCAGCAAATCACTTGCTTTCCCTGTTCCTCTGTATCATCATTTGTGAAATGGAGATAATCATAAAGACCTCAGGGCTTTTGAAAGAGTTCAAAGAAATAATGAAATGCAAATGCCTAGGTGTGTACTCAGCATACAGATCCATGAACATTGGCTATAATTAATAGAAATGTCCAAAGCATTTCCTTCAGCCACTTTTATAAAACACACTCTTACAGCACTTGATTTCCATGGTTTGTGTGCATTTCTTACCATTTTTATTGTGAAGTTCTGTGTTGAAAACTTCTTTACGTTCATCCAGCACGTTGCCTTATTGCTTTAAACAAAGTGGGTGCTTTGCAGTGAAAAGTCTTCATAGCAAAACATTTCACAAATCTCTGAAAACATTTTCATTTTGCTTAATGAGAGACAGTATTCTTTCAACCCAATTATTGATCATCTATCCCTCTAACATCAAATTTTAGCAATATTTGATTTTCAAATGACTACAATTTCAATTACAGGCAAAGGCGTAACATTTCTGCTTTAAAGTTAGTAATATGGGGAATGTGGATTCTGCCTTGTCCAGAATGATGGCGATGGAAGAACAAGGTGCTTCTGGATGGAATTCCACAACGACCTGGTAGCCACGTTTGGAAAGCACACATTTTCCATGGAGGTGACTCCCTGAGCTACACTTTGGCATGATGAATGGATCTCCAATGCTCCAGCAGCCTCATCCGCAACGGCAAATATTCAGTGCATCCTTACAGCTCTTTGCAGAACCTGCCAACATGTTGACGAAATATGTGGTTTATAATAAACTCATTAGCCTTTTTATCTAAAATTGAGGCTGGGCACGTTGGTTCACACCTGTCATCCCAGAACTTTTGGAGGCTGAGGTGAGAGAATCTCTTGAGCCCAAGAGTTCAAGACTGCAGTGAGCTAAGATCACGCCATTGTACTCCATCCTGGTGACAGAGGGAGGCCCTGTTTCTACAATACATTTAAAATAAATAAGAAAAATAAAATAGATAATATTTTTGTTTTGCAATTTGGGAACATAGTATTTTCTTAATCAATATATTCATATGTTTATATATATAAATATGTATGTATTTTTAATAAGCATTAATACAGCACATTTGCTTGCTCATGGGAACCAACCCAGGACAGAGGTGGGATTGGATGCTCTTTCTTCTTAATTCCTGAACACGTGCATTCCCTGATGATAGGGGGAGGTTATGACAAGGAAGGATTTCTGCCTTGATGCTCTGTGGATCTTTCCCCAGGAGGCATCAAAACTGTGCAGTGAAATTCTACACAACTCAGGAAGTAGAACAGTTTCTACTCATACTATAAACAATTTTATTTGCAGGGGATATGATTTTGTTTTTAATTTAGAGTAAATTAAGCAGCATAACACAGACTAGCCTGCCCCTGGAGAATAAGGTTTGGTGACAAATGTCAATTAGATTAGGTTTTAAAAAATTATTATAATCTTAGTTTACAGCACAGTTACGTGAGTAATTGTGACAATTCCCACCAGTCTAATTTAAAGCTTCAGTTAGGCCTTTAGACTTTTAAATATCATTTTTAATTTAGTTTAAAATTCATGTGGATAATGGGGAAAAATGGCAAGGTTTTTTTGTTGTTTGTTTGTTTTTTGTTTTTTGCCTTTTGGTTTCATGCATTCCTTTCCTCAGTGTTCTCTCACATCTGTTTTAAAGCTCAACTGACAACCAATATTCTCCTCCTAGGAATTATTTTGGTATATAAAGCAACCACAGCACTATTATTTAGCCCCTTCAGATAAAATGGAAAGACACACACGATACACACACACACACACACACACACACACACACGCAGATACACACACAGAGTCACTGATCAAAAGATCAGTACAGGCCAGGACCTAAAACAGAAGGTGAGTAGCTGTAGTTGACTGAAATTAAACCAGGCCAGGGTTGACCCAGACCCAGCCAGCAGTTGTTGACAGAGGCTTTGAAGAGGCTCTATCAGATACGTATCAGATTATTCTCTAGCCCCAGCAAAGGGGCATTGAAGATCTGTTGAGTTTAAAAGACAATTTCCTGATGACTTGACCTTGCCAGGGTAGAAGCATTCATGACTTTGGCCTTTAAAACCCTCTGCAATTATCCAACTCAGTAGTGATAGTTTTTCTAGGTGTCTAAGCTGCTTAACAAATCATCCAAAACTTGGTGGCTTAAAACAACAACCATCATTTACCTTCTCTCAGTTTCTGTAGGTCTTCCAGAGTGTTCAGCGGTGATGCTGGTTCAGGGGCACTCAGGAGGATGGAGTCTGGTGATGGCTCAGGCTGGGGATATTGTCAGGTTTCTCCTCTCATCTCTCTGGTGCCAGGGCTGAAATGATTCAAATAACAGGGGCTGGACAGCTGAGATCCTCGGGCACCTCTTTCTGTGTCTCTATGTCTCTCCCTGGAATCTCTCTCCAGCACTGTGTTTTCAGGGTGGCAGTTCCTCTAGTATACTGTCTCAGGGCTCCTTAGGCATGTTTACCCATGAGAGCAGGAGACCGGCAGAGCTGTGTCACCTTTGCTAACCTAGCCCAGAGGTGGCCCAATATCACTTCCACAATTTTCTATTCATTAGAAGCAAATCCCTAAGTTCAGTTCACATTAGGAAAGGGGAATTGGACTCCATATTTTGAAAGTGGTATGCAAAAAATTCAAAGATGTGTTCCAAACCGTCACAATGGCTATGCCTAATAATTTTTTATTTTCATAAGTACTGGATGGGTTTTACCTAACATGATAGCAGGTATAGATTTTTCTTCCTTAAAAATGTTTGAGCTTAAAACATAGGTCATATGTCATCCTTTTCTATTACATAATGAAATAATTATTAAGCAAATATTTTGTGAAATAAGGAGAGCTATAAATAAATAAATAAAATAAATACATAAATATCTAGATGAAATGCTCATAAAGATGTCAGACTTAAAAATGTTATCAGGTCATTTGTACCACCTGTTCACTTTTCCTATGAATGTTATCTCTTGGAAAATATAAAGGCCAGTGCTTTAAGCAAGTAATATGCACAATTTAAAACATGAGTAAAAATAATAGATGTTGAAAAGAAACATCCTCTTACAAGATCATGCCCCAAAGCCACTGAGGCTCTTTTCTGAACATTTTGAATATGATTCTCATTTGAAGCTGATGGAAACTAGAGTAATTATTAATACAAACCCAATAAGTAATAATTAATTTTTGCCTTCTTGTTTATGCCTCAGGGAATATTTCTGCAATCAACTGATATGTCACCCCCTGAATTAACACTAAAAAGTTTCTTTGGTATTCGACAGGTGTTAACACTGACTAGGAATCACAGCCTTTTTAATTAGCAAAATTCATTGTGTTGAAGGCTAGTTAGGCTTTTATCAATTAAAAAAATCTTTCTTTTTGAATAATAGTGAAAATTTAGCCCAGCACTTGAATGTCCCCAAAGAGGTGAGCGTATGAAAGAAACCACTGAACCCAGAAAAGAAGAAACATAAAGCAATGTTTATACCCCTTCTATGATTCTTCCAGAAAGAACTCTAGTGGATTACCTGCAGGGAGACTAAAACTTAGAGCTCTGACTAGAGTAGCAAAAACAGACAGGAAGCATAGAAAATAAGATCAGCCTAAGGTTAAGCAGAGTTTGCAGAAAGCAAAATGCATGTGCTGAGGATTTCTTATTTTTAAAGTTAAGCTTGCCACATGTTATAACATCAACATATTCAACTACTATTTCATGTCATCTTCACAGGTTTCTATAAAATCTTTTGAAAGAATTGAGGAGGGAACAATTCTCAGTTCTAAATTTGCTTCATATTTGCCAATTGTTTTCACACTGAAAAGAAATGCACTGACATAATTTCAGAACCAAAGAAAGGCACATTTTGCTGGGCAGGTGTTGTGGTCTACAACTCTCATACAGAGAATATTATTGCAGAGAATGTCAAGGCTGAGGTCAGAAGCCCCAGGTAAGAAAGGCATATTGAACCATTTTGGTTTACAAATAAGTAAAACAGAAATCTCAGAGCTTAATTGCCAAATAGACTAAAAATCTCACATAATTTTTAAATAATGAAACTATGAATAATAAAATTAATTAAGTTTTAAAGCTGGGACATTTCCTCAAAATATATTTTTTTCTTATTCGCTACAGTTTAGAGGCAGATGGACTCCAATGACTGTGTTTCTTGGAGTATTAGAATGAATGGGATCCTGTTCTTTGAATTTGCAGACTGATAATAAAAGTCCCTGCCCCTCTGCAGCCTTTGCCATGTGGCCTGGGTTTCAATTAGTATACTTTTAAAATATAATCAAAGCTGAAATTATATTTTTAGCTGTCTCCAGGGGAAAGATATAATGACAGCTGGGACTAAAATGAAAGGATTCCCATATCATGTAAAGGGCACCAAAAAGAAAGCTATCAAGATCTCGGTTCTCCATCTCATCCTGGACACCAGCAAGCTTTGGGACCCGAAATTAATGCTCCCCCTCTCAGGTACTCCATTTCCAAATCCGTATACTTGACTAATTATCTAAGATCCCTCTGGCTCTTAGTGGTTATGATCATTTGAAACTAATCCTCATGACTTCTGTAATAAGGCCTCAAACCTAAAATTACATGCCAAAAATGAGATAATCAAGAAACAAACCATGATTTAAATTCCCCCTTTGGGATTCTTTTCAACTCTGACACACCCAGCCAGCACATGGAATACTAACCAAGTGCTGTTGCTGAGTGGACACATTGAAAAGTCACCACGGTTTTCTCCATAAAATAGTTACTGAGATTCAATCAGATATAAAATACAGTTGTAGTTGCTAAGATAGGCAGGTGTCAGGCACCACCCCTCCCTGGAGTTGCTGACAGCACACACAGGGATATGAGACAAGCACACTCCTAAAGAGGAAGAACAATGCTGCACAAGTAAGTAATGCCACAGGATCCTTCAGGTGTCCCTTCATCAGCTGGAAACCTCTGTGGCTGGTGGCACCTCTGATTGAGTTCTCTTCATACCCACTGGGCTCATTCCACCCACTCAGCCCGGCCAGCTGTGCTCAGCTAATGCTGCTGGCCTGGATCCCACACCTGCCAAGGGCAAGCCAGGCATGGAGTGGCAAGAGGTGTATGAGTGAGCAAGCACAGGGTCTGGCCACTGCACACAACCAGATATGTTGGCTGCTGTGGTATGACAGGCAGCTCCAGGCACCGGCACAGGCACTGGCTCAGTGAGAGGCTGCGGCTGAACCAGATGTACCACATGTGGCTTCTGCTGTGGGCATCAGCGTCTGGACAATGGGAATGCAGTGGCACCCAAAAGCTCAGAGACACCAGGAACCACAGATCCCCAAAGAGGGTGTTACAGTGTGTCACAGCCCTGGCTCAGGGAGCCTAGAGGTCTGCACTCCCAGAAGGGCCACAGCTCTTCATTCCCACAGTCTGGGAGTGTGTCACCACCCACAGCTCAGCAAGCTGGCCAGGAAAGCATTACACCTCCTTTCGCTCCAGCCATTCAGTGGGTCCCGAGTTCTTGTCTCATGTCCAGGAAGAATGAGTTTACAGGGACTACTAGAGGGTGAGTAAGGCAAAGAAGAGCCTTATTGAGAGACAGAACACCTCTCAGCAGAGAGGAGGCCTGAAGTGGGTAGCTCCTATCCACAGGCAGTTTGTCCCAAAGAGAGTAGAGGAGGCCCAAAATGGGTAGCTTCTATGGCAGGCAGGTCGTCCCAGAGAGTGTCTGAGTCTGGCTGAGTCTAGGGTTTTTATGGGCTCAGGAGGGAGGAAGTGCATGCTGATTAGTCCATGGGTAGCCATGGTTGGGGCTGGAAAAAGCACCATAAGTTCCCACTCTGGGTCATGGACTTCACCTGAAACTGGCAGCCCAGCCCCCAGGCTTCAGTCCATCCCTGGCTTGAAACTGGGAATTCACTGGGGACCTGCCCCTTCCCACCTAGGAACCTGTCTGCCTCCTGCCACCATCAACATGCTGTCTGCAGTGCCCAGGCTGTCCATGCTAAGGAGTGCCCACAGGCCCTTGCAGAGCCATCCTCAGCCCTCTGGGCCTCCCTCCCTGAGCTCATTGGTGCCCAAAGTTTCAGAGGGGTCTGGGGCAGCAGGCAGCTAGTGTGTCAGCACTGCCCTTGGCACATGCACACCCAGCCAGGTCATGACAGTGCCCAGGCTTGACCACAACTTTGCTCCACACTGGAGTGGGCACCAGGAATGAGGAGAGGCCAGGGAGTGGGAACAGGCACTTCCAAGCCTGCCAGGGCAGGAGTCTTCGCAGGCCCCTGAGAGTGCAAGGATGCCTGGGTCTGGAACCATGGCTGGGTGGCTGGAGCTGTGCATGGGAGTGTGGGGCTCCTGCCCCACCAACTCAGTAGGGTGCAGGGCTTCCACCTGTTCCTGGCCCCCACTGGCTTCATGGAGTGCATGGCCCAGGCTGCAGCTCGCATCCTCACAGTGGCTGCTCCAGATGGGCTGCTGCAGCCATCAATGATAAAAACAGATCACAGTGATATCAGGGCAGTGATACACAAGGTGGGGAATGTCCAGCCACTTTGCTAAATGTAGCAATGTTTGTGGAGGGTCTCCCAGTAATCTCCTTCAGCTCCCTGTAAAGGCACCCCAAATAAACATAAAATATATACAAGAAATGATGTGCTTGCCACGCAAATGCAAATTGAAGGCCAATTCCGTATTCCTGACTTCTAACCAATTAATCATCCCATTTGCACAATTTCCAAATAAAATTCTTGCCTTCTTTTTGATAATGGTCACTTTTTAAGGAGACCAGGTCTTAATGAATTGGTTAGTGAGTGAAAAGTTCACAATTCAGGGTTTGTATATAGTAGTGTGAACTAGCATGCCTTAAAAACAATGAAAAGGATAATGAGGGCTTGATCTGAAAATAAAAATGCACAGCTGTGCCTATATAAAGAGGAGGATTTATGAAACCAGGTCATGAATTTATAGCAGGAACCCAGTCATCATTTTTCCCTTCTGTCATTAAGGTCTCTTTCTGCAGAGATTCCCTGTTCCAGACAGAAAAATTCCAAATTATAAATATTTTCTGTAGGAGTTGCCCAGTCAAACCCTATTCAATGAGCAGGTAAGTTCTGTGGCAATCCGTGTCAACTGAGGAAGAATAGATGTGTTCATGTGCTCATTTTACTGTGTGTGGCCTCTAGCTGAGAATCTTTACTCAGTTTTCTTGCTCCCATCCTTCTCTTCCCTTTCTGTTCTCCCCTAGCACACACGTTGAAGGGCCCAGATGGAAGGGACCCTCCCTATGTGAGAAGGGGAAGCCCAGCTGAGATGGAGAAAATCATAGCAAAAGTGGTCACTGAGGAGGTGGAAGAGGCAGGTGGTGGAAGAGGAGGACGGCCTGGCAAGCCCCTGTAGAGGATGTGAGACTTCATCCTCTGGGCAAGGGGTAATGATTGAAGTAGCTCCCAGGGGATAAGCATGGCAGGGGCACCCTGAGAGCAGTGTCTCTACACGATCTCTCAGACTGCAGAGTGGAGGTCACACAGATGCGGGGTCCAGAGTGGGTCACTGAATTGGTCAACAGGATGCTGTACGGGCATTTTTGGGCAAGTCAGGATGGTGGTTTGAACTTGGCTGGTGACCATGGAAAGAACAGGAGCAGTACAAGTGGGGCTTTGGAGGCAAAATCCACATGATCTGTAAATAGGCTGTATGTTTGTGTGTAAGGGAGAAGGAGTAGCCAGGGGCTTCTGCGTGTTTGCACAGAACCTCACGCTGCTCGTGACAGGCTCAAAAGGACTCGGCCCTGTCTGCATGTGCACCCTCTCTGTGGAAGGAGCAGCAGTCCCGGACACAGGAGGTGAGGGGACCATGGCCAGCTGCCCACTGCCTAATGCCTTGGAATAGCTCTTACCTCCTAAGTACCCAAATTTACATCAAGTACATGATTCAATCATTCTTACATTTTTTCCAAAAAAAAAAATTATGACAATAAGCTCTTTGTTTTTGTCTGTTTCTACCATGCCTGTTTCACAGTAGGGTTTGAAACTTAAATTTCAAAATATCCTGAGAAATAAGACTCCTCTTGTGTTTCTGACCACGTGGAAGCAAAAATAATAAGACAGGCTGAGCGTGAACATGTTTACAGATTCATCCTTAAAACAAAAAAAGAAGAAAATAGATGAAGCATTTGATGTTTGGAATCTCTTTTCAAACTGAACCACATTATTTGTATTTTCAAGACCATAAACTTGTGAGGATTTCCTAGTTGGTGTTGGTGTTGTTCAAGTGCATGTTTTACAATCAATGCTCTTTGGGGGTTTTATAAGCTTGTTTGTTTTTCATGGTTCCTATCCACAACTAAAATAGGTTGGATTTTGCTGATTACATGAACGTTGAGTCTACTGGTTTTATGACAGTGCATTATCACCATTGCTACATGGAGATTAATCTTTTTCCATTAGGTTTTTAGGCTCAGAAAGTATTCACTTTTACAAAGAATGTAAACCATTACTATTAACTCTAGGAAATCTGAGGATGAGTTTTTGGTGGAACAGTTCTGGAAGATGGTTAAATTCTCAAGGCATAAGTCACTTGCATCTAATAAAACACAATAGATATGTTGTGTCTAATAAAACACAGTAGACTCCACGTGTCAAAGAAAGTATCCTCAAATAATATAATGATATGAAGTAGAAATGGCAAAATGGTAAACAAAGCCAGCTTCCCCGTAAAATCTCAGGAGGTTGTTTCCCACGGGCTCTTTTCATGAAAAAGACTTGAAGTAGTTTACAATAAAACACACACACAGAATAAGACAAAAATAATACAGAAAGGCAGGATTGAGAAGATAGGTGTTATTCAAGGGATTTGAGGGAGATGTTGCCGAGGCTATCTCACCAGCTTTCCTCCCGGGCATGCGAAGGATGCTGCTCTCAGCTCTGGGCTGCTGAGTGACGCTGTGTGACTCGTATGAGCCAGTGAAATGGGAAGGAAGGTGACAGGTGCCACTTTCTAGTGTAGGCAATGAAAAGCCCATGTGTGAGCCTGGGTTCTCTGCTCCCCTGACACTTCAACTGAGGACAACGTGTACTCCCAAGGATGAGGGAGTGGAGCCCACATCCACTTAGACTTCTGATGGAGTCTCCCTGCCAACCTGCTCAGGGCTCTTTGTTGATTTTGCTAAACCACAGAAATTTGAGGGGATTTGGGGCTTATCCTAGCCAGTCCCGACAAATACTGTGAGTGATTATTTAGAAAAGGAAAAAGAAATGTCTGTTCCCCAAAAGGCATGGATAAGTGAGATTAACAATGATACAAAGCCTAAACTAAGTAAATAATTGTTCATCGAATATAATTGTGTTAGGTTCTGTTTTTTGAGTATTTGCATCTATTAAATGTTCATGCATTATCTCACTTAATCCAGACGTGGGAAGGAGAGTTTAATGGAATTAAATAATTTACATGATTTCTAAGAAATAGAGCAGGACCTGAACTCAGTGGGTCTATTTCTAGAGCAGAACTTGGAACTGTGATTCCAAAAAAGGACTTTTGCACAGAAGGTTGCCTGGTAAAATTACCACAACTCGGCAGAAGAAAAACCTTTTCCTAGTTCCAAATAGACTGAAACTTGGCACATGAAGTTTTAAATAAGGAACACAATGACCAACTTATTTGACAGTAGAAGAATAATAACAAGAACATGGGTTATGGGATGAGGTAGGCACAGGGTTGGATACTGGGGTGATCATGCTTTTTGAGGGAGATAATTAAGAAAAACAAAATGCCCTCTTACTCAGGTGAATACTGCAGAGAATCACATGAAATCTAGAGGTCCCTAAAAGATGTTGGTTTGTCTTTTTTAAAACTTTTTTGTTTTTGAAATGAAGTTTTCACTCTTGTTGCCCAGGCTGAAGTGCAGTGATGTGATCTCAGCTCACTGCAACCTCCGCCTCCTGGGTTCAAGCAATTCTCCTGCCTCAACCTCTTGAGTAGCTGGGATTACGGGCACACACCACCACACCCGGCTAATTTTGTTATATTTTTAGTACAGACAGGGTTTCATCATGTTGGCCAAGCTGGTCTTAAACTCCTGACCTTAGGTGATCTGCCCGCCTCAGCCTCCCGAAGTGCTGGGATTACAGGCGTGAGCCACCGCGCCTGGCCTATATCTTTGAAAATTCTTTAAAAGATGTTACTTGCTCAAAAGAAGACATTTATGCAGCCAAAAAACACATGAAAAAATGCTCACCATCACTGGCCATCAGAGAAATGCAAATCAAAACCACAATGAGATACCATCTCACACCAGTTAGAATGGCAATCATTAAAAAGTCAGGAAACGACAGGTGCTGGAGAGGATGTGGAGAAATAGGAACACTTTTACACTGTTGGTGGGACTGTAAACTAGTTCGACCATTGTGGAAGTCAGTGTGGCGATTCCTCAGGGATCTAGAACTAGAAATACCATTTGACCCAGCCATCCCATTACTGGGTATATACCCATAGGACTATAAATCATGCTGCTATAAAGACACATGCACACGTATGTTTATTGCGGCACTATTCACAATAGCAAAGACTTGGAACCAACCCAAATGTCCAAAAATGATAGACTGGATTAAGAAAATGTGGCACATATACACCATGGGATAGTATGCAGCCATAAAAAATGATGAGTTCATGTCCTTTGTAGGGACATGGATGAAATTGGAAATCATCATTCTCAGTAAACTATCACAAGAACAAAAAACCAAACGCTGCATATTCTCACTCATAGGTGGGAATTGAACAATGAGAACTCATGGACACAGGAAGGGGAACATCACACTCAGGGGACTGTTGTGGGGTGAGGGGAGGGGGGAGGGATAGCATTAGGAGATATACCTAATGCTAAATGACGAGTTAATGGGTGCAGCACACCAGCATGGCACATGTATACATATGTAACTAACCTGCACATTGTGCACATGTACCCTAAAACTTAAAGTATAATAATCATAAAATTAAAAAAAGATGTTACTTGCATATGCAATTAATAAAAATACTGTGTTGCATAAACACAAATATCAGTTTCTTTTCAATGTAAATGTCACAATTTTAAAGAAATGAATTCAAAATGAACATTCTCTAACTTCAGAAGGGAAAAAAATAACATAAGTATTGTCTTAACTGCATTGCATACAATGAGCTATTTTTAAAAAGCCCGTATGTGAGATGGTAAAAATATTTGAATAAAATTCAGCAACTCACTCAATTATGTTGAAGTATCTCGGGTGAAAGAGCATGCTTGATCTAAATTATTTTTTATAAATTATTCATTTTCCTGCTTTATTTAAGTGAATATAGACTATAGGAAAACTAGTATCTGACCAAAGTGTGGATCCAAAATATTGGCCCTGTCACCTTCATATTGAGAGGCCTCCTGCAGTCCAGGGCTGAATAATCACAAAACACAGCTTATGTAGGTTATTGAAGACCTACTTTGAGGTCTTTGAGGCCTGGATGTAGAGCAACATGTGAATGCCCAGAATGTATATGAAGGTCTCTGCAACAGCACCACATCAGGCTGAATAACACAAAACAGAAAATATCCTCAAAATTCCACTCATGTTCCTAACACTCACTTTTTACATTGCTAATGGAGGCTCAAAAAGAAGGGTTTGTCTGTCTTTACTAAAAATACAAAAATTAACCGGGCGTGGTGGTGCGCACCTGTAATCCCATCTACTCAGGAGGCTGAGGTGGGAGAATCACTTGACCTGGGAGATGGAGGTTGCAATGAGCCGAGATCACGCCACTGTACTCCAGCCTGGGCAACAGAGCAAGAATCTGTCAAAAAAAAAAAAAAAAAAAAAAAAAAGAAGGGTTTGCAACTGAGCAGCCTTAGAAAACTATCAGTCTTTTTCCCTGTCTGGGTTGTTAAGTTTTGTTTTATTTTGTTTTTGTTTTGTTTTGGGTTTTTCAGATAAGTGAAAGGAATAGCAAGAGGTTATAGAAGTCTCTAGTGGACCCAGAAGCCTTGGAATGTGCCTGATTTATCTTAAGGATTGGATCTATCCAGTATAGGCTAATCAGCCTTCAACATTGGCCATGCAGTAAGATGTAGATTACTGATATCATTTGGATCTGTGTCTCCACGGAACTCTCATGTCAAATTGAAATCCCCAATGTTGGAGGTGGGGCCTGGTGGGAGGTGATTGAATCATGGGGGCTGTTTCTCCTGGTTTAACACTGTCCCCCATGATGTTGTCATGGCAAGGGTGAGTTATCACCAGATCTGATGGTTTACAAGTGTGTAGCCCCTCCCCACTCTGTCTCTTCCTCCTGCTCCAGCCATGTAAGACGTGCCTGCTTCCCCTTCACCTTCCACCACAATCAAAAGTTTCCTGAGGCCTCCCCAGAAGCCACAATGCTTCCTGCACAGCTTGCATAACCAGACAATTAAATCTCTTTTCTTTATAAATTACCCAGTTGCAGGTACTTCTTTATAGCATTATTAGAATGAACACAATTAACTAAGTAAAAAAGATCTTGCATAAAAATAACAGTTTTCATGTTGGGGGGTTATGAATACTTAGTGGTTTGCAGATCACCATCAAAAAACCATGAATGTCCACAAACTGCAAGTAAATTGTACATGTTCGGGAAGAAGCCCCATAGCATTCATTAAAGTTGCACTATAGCTGAAGCTGGGTTAAAAGCACCTCCAGTGGTGTGATGTGATCACAGGGGTCTTGACCCACTTCCCTCCTTAATGTGATTAGTCTATTTTTGCTTCCCTGATGCATGTCACTCATATCCTGCAGTCTCTTCCCCTCTATCTGGGTCCCAGCTGCTGTATGCTCTTCACCCTTGCCTTGTCCTTGCCTGGATTCTGTTTCCAGCAGCTGATACCTCCTCTATGATATACACTATCCCTTGCTCCATCCCACCTAGTATTGGACTGGAAAATCCACAAGAAGATTCTTGTTCTGTGAATTGTTAAAAATATTTATAAGTGGATAGATTTTTGCAATATGCATCATCAAGGTCAATGGAAACATTGTGAATTACTTCTATAAAGCCTTGAAATAGATTTAAGCAAAATATTAGACAAATGGTGATTTGTTTTTAAATTTCTTAACTCACATACTTTAGAAAATAAAATTCATGCAATGTCTGTTATTTAATTGGGTAATTTTAAAATGAATCATAAGGAAGTCAAATCTAGCATGTATTTAATACAATAGGAGTAGTAGTAAAATTTAAAAACTGAGCATATTCCCAAAAAAAGTTACAGCCATGAAGATACATTCTTGGGTAGTTTTCATAATTGACTGGGTCATACTTATATATACTTTTCAAATAATGTGGAAATCATCATTTATAACATGAAATTTGGACAGCACGGGTCAAGAACTGTTACAGTGAAGGCCACAGCAGTGAAAATGAGTTTGTTCCTCCTGAATTTCTTTGCAATGATTAATATTTGACTAAATTCAAAATGCCAAGTAAGAGAGAAGTGGAGGTTCAAGGACTCACCAAGAAAAATGAAATTGTTTTCCCTGTGGAAGATCAGGAATCATGAAGTATAATTAAAACATTTTATTTAAAAGAAGGCAAATGTTCTAAGAACTTTCCTAGAATCCCAATTACCACTGCAGGTGCCAGTCACACCAACACTTGACTGGTTTGGTAACTGTTTTTGCTAGAGGCACAATAAAAAAAAATCTTAATTTAGTTTTTTCACTACTTTCAGGGTCAGATATCCCCAGCAGGCACAAGAGCATCTGCCCAATGTCCTGCACTTTTCAGAGGAATGTGAAGGAGCAGTGATAACTGGAAATCTACTAAGCTTTGATTCTGACCTCCACACTCCCCCTGGCAGTGCATTTAAGTCCCAGCCATAAAAAAAAAAAAAAAAAAAGGACCGCTACTAGTGGATTGACATCCTGAGAATTACGCCAGCCTGAAGAAAAGAGTTTAATCAATTCTGATGGAGAAAAGATGGAGTGAAAAAGCCATGTATAAAATGGTCAGCATGGTGAGAACAGCTTGCACTGGTCTGCACTCTTGGTTTCTAAAATATTTTCACATAGATGACCTTGTTTGATACCCCCATTCACTCTGTGAGGTTGAAAGTGAAGTATTTTCAGCTCTTTTTGACAAATTGCAATTTTCTAAATTAGCAAATGAAGAGGGAATGTCAGGCAGCAAAATGGTGTGGTGTTAGGCAGTAACCCTGTGAGAGACAGGCTGAGCTCCCAGAACGATTCCTTCAGTGCCATTTCAACGTCTTCCAGCCACTGCTACTGATATGGGTTGGCTGTGTCCCCACCCAAATCTCATATTGAATTATAGCTCCCATAATTCCCATGTATTGTGGGAGGGACCTGGTGGAGGAGGTAATGGAATCATGGGGGCAGTTTCCCCCATGCTGTTCTCATGGTAGTAAGTCTCATGAGATCTGATGGTTTTATAAGGGGAAACCCCTTTTGCTTGGTTCTCATTCTCTCTTGTCTGTTGCCATGTAAGACATGCTTTTGCCTTCCGCCCTGATTGTGAGACCTCCCCAACCATGTGGAACTCTGAGTCCATTAAACCTCTTTTTCTTTATAAATTACCCAGTGTCAGGTATGTCTTTATCAGCAGCATGAAAACAAACTAATACAGCTACTGTGAGCAAGGAGTTTAGTGATATTCTCATGACCTTCTGCTAACAGCTCTGGACATGCAGATGTGGGGGTTTCCCTTCCTGATGCCTTGCCTCAAACCTCAGACAACTTGCCATTTAATTAGCCCTCTGACTTCCTTGACCCACCAATCTTTTTTTTTTTTTAAGCTTAACGTCTGGGGAGGAACGTGCTTTCAAGTTGGTATGGACAATATGGACCAACTTAATCACTGTCACCCCACATCTGTTCTCGAAATGAGAACAAGAGTAACTATAGAGGCTGTTCATGTTTACCTTTCTGGGATTTGGTTTTCTTATATTTAAATTTAAGGAAGAAGACAAAATAAGTCTCCAAGACCCATACCAATTTCAAACAAGAAAGGTTTGCAGTCTGGTAAAAAAAATATTTGTAAGACAATCACTCTTACAAAACTTACTTCTAAGGCCACTGGAGAATCTTCAGAAGTTCCAATAATTTATAGAATTCACTGCCAATGAATATTTCTATCGAGACTCATATCTAAACAACCACATAGCCATTATCACAGCATTATAAAGAGTATCCGAAATGCTAGTAGAAACAACCCCAACCTAGAAATGACTCAGAAAAATGAACAGCATGTGCAAATGCCCCTTCCTCCCGTCATCTCCTCACCTCAGGGATCCCTGGGGTGGCTGCCAAAAAAAGCCATTCTGGGTAGGCAAAAAGCATGAGAGGAATTGGAGGTTCAGAAGTAAAGAAAGGGAAGGTACTGTGAAAAAGGCAAGGCAGCATGGAGCTGGCCAGGGACAGATGCACAGAACGAGCTGACCTTCCCCAGCCCAAAAATATCTTCCCCCCACTGTGCCTGAAGTTTTGACTACACTTTGGCACGCTGGCTAAAATCACATCACTGGGACATGCTTTTTGGATAATAAGCAGAGGCTTTTCTTCCCCCCCAAAATGCAACTAACTCTAGGAGAGTTCAGAGACTGTCAAGCTCTGCATGCACTTGTGTGGGTTGATTCGATCAGATTGCTTTCCTCCTGACACCTAGCTGAGACCAACAATCCTGAGTTACTCAGAGTTTTGAAAAGCTGGAAAGGGTAGGTAGGTAATTTTGGTGAAAGATAATTTTAGGGAATGGGCTAATTTTGGTTAATGTAGATGGAGAAGTCCAGAAACACTGAAAAATGAAGAAGTTGCAGAAATCTTTTAAGAATGTCAATTTCCTATTTCCAGCTGCTTCCTGGAGCTACCCTCAAACCCAGGAAAGGAGGGACCAGACACTTTGGCTGATATTCCATGCTTTTGAGGATTAGGTAATATCTCTTTCACAGATAAGAAAACTGAGGCTTAGAAAGATAAAGAGACTTGCCCAGGGTCAAGGTCAGACCATGTTACCTCCAACACGGCAGGCTCCACTCCATCCTCTTTCTTACCCTCCTCCTTTTGGGTTTCTTACTGCCCTCCTCTTCACTGCGACTAGGACTCAAAAGTGGAGGCAACAATACTAGCATAACAATGTTGCCCAGGTCCCATTTCTGTGATCCCACCTGGCGAGGCTAGTGAACATGTGTGCCATTGTTTCCGTGGAAGAAAATATGTGCTGGGCTCCAAACAGCCAATTTTTAAATAAGCTATTGGCATGCAATTGCTCGTAAGTTGAGGAAATCATACTTTTCCCCCCATCTACAAAAGTAAATTAATAAAAACTGTAGAGATAACTTCTTATTTGAAATCTTCCTCCCTGTTCCAAGGCATCGTGGTTGGTGTTGACTTGTGCTCTTTGAGCAGGAACTGTCCTGCACAAGCCAGGCTAGAGATTTAGTAAATGTATCAAACAAATAAATGAATGTGAGTGAATAAAATCTAATCTGGGTATCTTACTCAATAATATAGTTATATGCATGTATTTTTCAGATTAGACTGCAGAGGAAACCATGGGCTATCTCTGGATCTGGCTGGCAACGAAAAGCAACTACATGTGGCATAATTTATTTGCTTTAGAACAACAAGTTGGGACATGAATTTGTTTAGTATCTTCTGGTATTTGTACTCCCTTTTTTGTTTTTTAGTCTTTACTCTTCCAAGAGTTTCTTTTGACTGTAGAGATGAGAAGAATGGACTAATTCTAGAACCAATAATGGAGAGCTTAACTTGGAAATATGAGCAGATAGGTAATTTCAGGATTCGGAGATCATGTGGCGGGGGCATTAAATAAAAATCTGTGAGTTGAAAAGTACAGTCACATGCATCAGGTAGTTGAGGTGTTAATGAAACAATTCCATTTTAGAACTTTCTAGGAGCAAAAGCTTAAACTCCCCCCCACCCCCACCATTTCTATCACCAATCTTTGGTTTAGTCTTGAGTTTTCAATCTAAGGGGAGAAGCCTGACCATTGGTTACTGGCAGATCTTTTGTAAATTCAGCTACTCAAGGGAACAGCTCAGAAAACTTACTTATTAATAAGGAAATCCCTACAATGAAATAGTAATTCCAGGGCATGACGTAAATGTGGGAAAATAAGACAAATGTGATTTGAACAATTATTCCCATTTCTGAAGGCAAGGGAAGCGATTTCCTATTTGAAATTTCTTGAAGAAACAGAAGCTAGGTGCAGGTGAAAGGATTCAGGAAACCTGGTACTGGATGTAATTCAGAGCTGTGCAATCACACTGCTAATGCCCAGGACAGAGGATTGAATAAGGCAACAGTGGCATATACATATAATGGGATATGACTGAGCTTGATAGGGGGAAATCCTGTCATATACAACAACATACATAAACCTAGAAGACACTACGCTAAGTGAAACAAGCCAGGCACAGAAGGACAAATACTGCATGATTCCACATATAGTCAATCTAAAATATTCTAACACATGGAAGCAGAGACTAGAATAGTGGTACCATGGGCTTAGGGAAGGGGGAATGAGGAGTTGCTCTTCAATGGGTATGAATTTCTAGTCATGTAAGCTAATTAAGTCTTAGAAGTTTGCCGTACAACATCGTGCCTATAGCTAACAATATTGTATCTTACACTTACAACTTTGTTAAGAGGGTAAATCTCATGTTAAATGTTCTTGCCACAATTAAAAAAAAAAAAAAAAGACTGCTTGGCTTCAACTCTCAGATCCACCACATATCCTACCTGAGTGGCCTGGGGCAAGTTTTTAAACTTTCCTCATTTCAGAGTAGGGGTGGCAAATGAGGAATCCTGAGACCTCAACTGGTTAATACATGTAAAAGCACTGGGCATAGTGTAAGCCCTCACACACCATTAGCTGTTTACTTCAGGCCTAGTGGGCTTGAGACCTCAGGGAAGTTTGGCTTCTCTAGATCTCATTTGCCCCATCAAGAGGACACAGTGAGGCAGCCCTGAGCCAAAGCCACGTTTGCGAAACAGAATGAGTGACCTTGGGGGCAGCAGAGCAAGTAAATACTAAGGAACATCGTCGTTGCACTCCTTACAACCAGCAGGAGTAGATTAAAGCAAGCGAGATCATGAATTCCCTGCAAGAATTTCCCTATGAACAAGAAAGATTCTTGAGCTGCTGCCTGAGATAATTCAATTCCAAGAGATCTACCACTAATTAGTTCTTCCCTTAATTTGGAATTTTTAAGTGTAGACCAAAGATTGACAGTAGCATTGGAG
The DNA here is from genome assembly GCF_000001405.40 of Homo sapiens. Taxonomy (NCBI): domain Eukaryota; kingdom Metazoa; phylum Chordata; class Mammalia; order Primates; family Hominidae; genus Homo; species Homo sapiens. Next base: position 36,054,368 of record NC_000010.11, on the reverse strand, counting down.
ATTTAAGCTTTTGCTTCTAAAAAAGTTCTAGAATGGTATCATTGTTTTTAAAAAACCTCAGCTACTTTACTGCAATGACTGATGTGTGACTGTATTTTTTAAAATTCATCATTTATGATTCAACGCATCCATGCACTACAAGTAATTCTGATCCTAAAATTTTCTATGCCCTCAAAATTCCAAATTTATCTTTCCTTTTTCCCCATAATGTAGCCCCTGCCCCAAAGCATTCCTTTATATACCCCTGAATTTCACCTCCAGTCACAATTCGTTCCCCTTACAGTCACTCCTCAGGCTGAGTCTGTCATATCCTCTCTACGTAAAACTCTCCCATCATCATTTCAGCCCAGAAAATTCCAGTCACAATTGCCTTCTGGGGAATCTAAATCAGGTTATGGTAATGTGACAGCTCATTCAATATCCTGAAACTCCCCAGCCTCCAGCCATCAACTCCCATTCACAAATTCATATTTTATAGAAAAACTTTAAATGAAAGCTTAGATTAGGCGAAGATTGTAGTTTGGTCAAGATACCTGCTGGGATTCACATTCTCTACGGAGGAATCTGACTGAATTCTAAAGAACAATTAAATGCAGTCAGTATTACTTAAAAGTTTGAGTTTCTCAGTAAAGGCAGTCTGATAAGAAACAATGATCTGGAGCTTGAAGGAGGCACCCAGAGATTGCAAGTTTCAAATTCACCCTCTAACATCAGGACTATTAGAGAGCTCCTTTGATTCAGACCAAAATGGTCAAGACCATGTTCAGGTAGCTCGTATTTTTAAGATTGTTGGAATATTTGACTGCGGTGGGGGCACAGTACATGAGCTAACAGTTGAATGGACATCAGAGGTTTGAAACAATGTGCTTTGCCACTAAATGGCCATGTGATCTTGGGTAAGTCACAACTCATATGGGACTCCCTGTTCTTATCTATGAAATAAGGGCTAAGTCAGATGTCAAGTATGTCTCCTCCCATGCTAACAGGATTTTCCGTGTACGTTCAGCAATCAAGCCCACATGGCAAGACCTGAAGGTTCACGACCTAAATTTCATTTTCTCAGTGAAACGTGCTCACACGGATGATTCTCTATTTCTCTCTCCTCTTTAGAAATATATTTACAAGATGCTATTGCTGTCTTCCTATAACCAAGTTGATTCAAATTATTATCTTTTTCAATTTTATAAGAAAGTAGGTCTTTAGTTTTGAAAACAATCCTACAAAACATATTTAAATGCGAACTTATCAAGAACAAGATGCCTTTTGCCCAAGTCAATAGAACCTGTCCTAAACCTGTCATTTAAATGATCACTCATGAAATAATTTTATCCTATAAGAAGACATGAACTGAAGGGAGACACAGGTGTGATGGAATGGAATGCAGCCTGAATGCTAACAATCTGGTCCCGTTTCTGCATCTTGCATGAGTGGCCTCATGATCTTGAATGTCCCTTCCTGCTCTAAAATTTGGTTCCTCTGGAAAACACACTCCGTTCATTTTGGCCTTGAGTCTTAGCAATCTCATATGGTAAAATTGAGGGTCAGGTGCATAGCAAACAGTTCATAAACACTTATTTAATATACAACAAATTAAGCAGAGGTTCTCACCAAATTCTACCGTGCTCAAGTTCATAAGAACTGAGAAGAGTGGAAGATTCCAAAGGAGGAATATAAACATATAAACATATGCAATTGCATTTTCTGATGGATCCTTAACTATTGAAGTATAAGTTTACATTCGAGGCGTGTATACCTCCCACAACAAACTCAGATGGTTTGTATGTCATGTTTGAAAATTATATCATGTTTTATACTATCAGAAAATTAGTCCTGTAGCTGTATCCTTTGAGATTTGTAATTGCTACAATGTGCCTAGTGTGTTGTGCAGGGATAAAAGATTCAAGAAATCTGATTGATGTGTTCATGGTTGTTCGAGAAAAAAACAGGCATTAGAGAAACCGTTCAAGTGAGGATTAAAGCCAAAAAAAAGCTAAGCTCTTTCAAAACGGATACTTTTCAGAGTCTGCCTAAAAGATAATGTCTCCCAAGGTACTAAAAGCTATTGTGTTATCTGGGGAGGGATGCTCATGGCTGTGTGACCTTGGGCAAGTCCCTTAGTTTTCTATTTATAAAATCAGGCACTCAAACCAGATATCTTTTCCAGCTCTAAAATTCTATACCTGAATCTGAGAATGAATGCCTTCTTGCAGATGACGTTTAATTCTGGCTTTTTATTATGATACAGTGCGGTTCAAATATAACCCAAACAAAACCATGTCCCCCACTGCACAAAAAGCAACATCCAGAGCAAGCTTGATTTACATGGGAATTAGATCCAACCTCAGATTTCAGCATTATGATGGGTTCCCACCAGAACGCGCTTGAGTCTCCTCCACCCTGTTCAACTGTGCAGTAAATCTTCAGGATGTGAGATCAGTACTTGCTCTGATAAATATATGATCAACATTAAGCAAATGCACTAAATCATCAGCTTCCCTCTCCTCAGTCTCCCTTCCCTGCCAAATTCCTATGGAAACAAACAAACAAAAAAGTCAGAAGCAGAAAATGTTTTCGGCCCAATACATGATTTGTTTGACCAAGATTGCCCTACATTTTATCAGCGTGGCCTCCACCTGCCCTCCCACCTAGCAGAACTATTTTCAGCACATAGGCCAATGCTTATTTTTGTAGATGCACTAAGCCACATCTCCTGTTAGGCAGTTTTTGTAGAGGAAGTTATTCCTTAAGCCCATCCAGCTGTTTTCTCAAGTGTACCTTTAGGAAAAAGGGAACGGGAAGCCTGAGAAGACATGGCTAGCTCAGAACTGTCCCTTGTGACCACAACCCAGGAAAAATATCTCAGGGAACTTACCTTGTTAATAGCAGATCAGCAGCACCTCCTTGTATGAAGGGCAGTCATCTCATTTCTTTACTTGGCCGTTGTAAGTCCTGGATAATTACTTTTCTCATTCTAATTTAATTTGCATTAAGCGCGGGGTGTTTAGTTTTTGAGACCTAACACTCAAATCTGGCAGACACTGGCTTGTGGTTAGGAATGCAAGACTCCTGGGAAAACATCTGGCCTCATTCTGAATAAGTGCCTGAATTCATTTTATTCTCATCTAGAAACCTCTCTGAATGTCCTTCCTAATGAAGTATATGCTGCACACACATTATTTTAAAATAAAAATAGATTGACAAATGACCTTTGAGAGAACCAGGAATAGAAGAATGTTTGCTACTTTACCATGAATTAATCATTAAAATGATTCCTAACATTTTCCTAAAATTTTAAAGAACGACACACCAACTCAAGACATTCCAGTTTGACAATCGTGCTTTGAATGGACTGCAGCATTTTCAGCTCTCATTATTATCACATTGTCTCACTGTAACTTTACTGAGTCACTATCACAACTACAGAATAAAGCATGCTGCATAACCTTTCTGTATACAGTACCTATCACGTAGTTACTAAGCGTTACAAAACATAAAAAGGGTGACAGCAATATTTTAGCTATGAATTAACTAGTAGTCACTTAGAAACTGTTGGCCTTTCATTAGCATACAGACATGCACACATATTTGCATATGTATTTGTGTATGCTTGTATATGTATACATAGACATGTATATATGTATATATTAGCCAATCAACTGGAAGTGTTTTTATTTCAATATATGGACTATGTTGGAGAAGAACTAGAATCTCCAAACAAATGATAATGTATCTCTACTCTAGCTACAGGAATCCGATGTAATTCTCTTCATCTACCTACACCATCATATACAAGTAGAATTTCCAAGAAAGTACTCACTTATTTCTAAATATTTCTCTCCGTTTAGTGCCAGAAAGCTAAGGGGCCATGCATACTCAAGCTGATAAAATGTCATTGAAGCTTCCAACATAAGGAGACATGGAATGCATTTGAATTAAAGAAAGTAGTGAGTGATACAATGCCTGCGCCTCCTCAACTTCTCCTTCTGAAAACCTGACCTCCTGAGAGTCTAGATGTGTGGGATGAAGAAATGCAAATGGTCCAAAGCAGTGTGTGTCAAACTCAAAGCCTGAGTCCTCTAAGTGGATCCAACAATTCTCAGGAGGGTAACATCAGGTATATTCTAATTCGATGAGGAACTGATGGGTAGGTTTTTTTTGCATTAAATAAATAAAAGTAATACTATTTCACTCATTACATTTTTTTCAGTAACTCTCCACATTAACTAGTTCTATGGAATACTGCATGCTATATGTTATGTTCTCCTCTTCCAGCCCCCCTAGAAATATTTAAAATGTGTAAAAATTTACATTAAAAGGTTTTATTAACAGAAGAGCTAAGATACCACCATCTTCCAACATTTATTGTGGACTACAAGAAATCATTGAGAATTCCTGGAGGACATAGTTCTCAAAAGCCATCCAACTTTGCCATTTGTGAACTCTGATTTGTGTGGTGCTGGTGATGTACGCCTCGGTTTCTTCCTCCAGACTTTCCTGAATTTCCTGAAACTGATCCTCTTCAGAGAACATCTCATCAGCATGCATACCTTCATCCCTCCCCACCCAAATCTAGAGGCCACCAAAAACATCCTCTCTGTGGAACATATTTGCAACATTTTTGACTTGGTGTTCCTATTTCAGCCATTTCAATACCAGGAACTCTTTGACATTGTCACATGGGCTATTTTAATCCTCCACATTTTGACATAACCTAAAAAAATTAAATAAGATACTGTAAGATGAGCTTTCATAAGTTGTGTGTGAAGTATCCACCCCCCACTGCATCCTTGAGCCATAGGCATTATGGATCCCCAGCCTCTAGAGTGAACATCAGCAAAGAGATGGGAGTTGAAGAGGCAGAACCAGAGATGGGGCAGAGGTTAGTGAGCCAGAGGTCACTGAGAGTCATGTTCACCCACAACTTCTCACCCCCAAGGAAGGCTGCCAACTGCTCCGAGCAAACTCTGCTTTTTCTCTGAAAAGTCATCTATATTTTGAAAGACCTGCATTGTGACTTCCCAGATTCAATAATACATAACTAGAAGGAATCATGTAAAGCAACAGTGTCGTGCAGGTTGCACAGGAAATCTGCGATTCCATTCCTCTGGATAATGTATTTCATATGTAGGACATCTCTGGCTTTGGACAATGGGACTAATAGCCCATCTGGAGGCAGATGCACTTTAGAAATGAGATTCCACTTCCAAGCACAGTAGCATGAGTAGTTCTGAAGATCCATTTCTTAGCAAAACTGGTAAAAATTATTTTTTATAAAAATAAAAATTAAAAGCCCTGGAAATGATCCTAAGGTCATACAGCAAATGAAGAAATATTTATTCAAGAAAACTTACTAAACCTCAGTAAGAACAGTGGCAATCTATAATATTTGTGCCAAGACCCACCCCCTCCCTCTCCCCTCCTAGTTCAAGGAGATGGAAAACCCAACCCAGAGAAGTGCAGCCAAGAACACGAGGTTTGCTCCTCACCCAGTTCCTCAGAGGATTATCGTCTCTGGAGGGGCAGGACATCCCCATTTCCCTTGCAGTCCTTAGCTACCTATTGCTGAGGCTAAGTTCTAGGTGAGTGAGGCCGAGAAATGAAGGCTTCTTTCTTCCACTCAGCCCCCACTTGTGGGACAGAGGTTCTGCCTTGGGTCTGGCAGTGCTGAAAATTATCCAGCCCCAGTCATCCTTGTCTCAGCTGGAAAGGTAGAGGCTTCACACTCAGAGAAGAAGGCCAAGAAGACCTAAGGCCACTGCCACATCCACCCATTGAGCACTAAGCTTTTAAAGCCCTAATGTCACACTGTCCTAAAAGCAGCAAGGTAAAAATGACTTCTCACTAACATAGGAAACCCAATAAGAATAGTAGCTGATTTCTTTCTTTTACAGCTTTTCCTGCCCCTCCATCCCTTCCTTCTCCTCACTTTTTTTTTAGACAGTTTGACCTGAATGACTAAACTGTAGACACAAGGGATTTTTGTAGGTCCATTGTGACTCATAGAGTTTAAGCATCCAATTAAATATCTCTAGGCTTCAGTTCCTAGGGTTTTTCAAATTTCTGCTGACAATTATTTCATATATAGACATTTTAAAACTAGGACTCAACTGTTTAATCATGCTTAAGACACAGTTTTTTAAACATAATGCTTTTTTGTATTATTAACAATATTTTTAAAAACTTTTATTTTAAGTTCAGGGGTACATGTGCAGGTTTGTTATATAGGTAAACCTGTGTCATGGGGATTTGTTGTACAGATTATTTCATCACCCAGGTATTAAGCCTAGTACCCATTAGTTATTTTTCCTGATCCTCTCCCTCCTCCTACCCTCCACCTTCCAATAGGCCCCAGTGTGTGTTATTCCCCTCTATGTGTCCATATGTTCTCATCATTTAGCTCCCAGTTATAAGTGAAAACACATGGTAATTGGTTTTCTGTTCCTGCCTTAGTTTGCTAAGGATAATGGCCTCTGGCTTTATCTATGTTCCTGCAAAGACATGATCTCATTCTTTTTTATGGCTGCATAGTATTGCACAGTGTGTATGTACCTTATTCTCTTTATCCGGTCTACCACTGATGAGCATTCAGATTGATTCCATATCTTTACTATTGTGACAATCAACATACGTGTGCATGTATCTTTATGATGGAATGATTTATATTCCTTTGGGTATATACCCAGTAATGGGATTGCTGGGTTGAATGTTGTTTCTGTTTTTAGGTCTTTGAGGAATCACCACATTGTCTTCCACAATGGTTGAACTAATTTACACTCCCATCAACAGTGTGTAAGTGTTCCTTTTTCTCCACAACTTAACCAGCATCTGATATTTTTTGACATTTTAATAATAGCCATTCTGACTGGTGTGAGATGGTATCTCATTGTGGTTTTGATTTGCATTTTTCTAATCATCAGTGATGTTGAGCATTTTTTCATATGCTTATTGGCTACACATATGCCTTCTTTTGTAAACTGCTCATGTCCTTTGCCCACTTTTTAATGGAGTTGTTTGTTTTTCTTTTTTCTTGTAAATTTAAGTTCCTTACAGATGCTGGATATTAGACCTTTTTCAGACACATAGTTTGCAAATATTTTCTTCCATTTTGTAGGTGGTCTGTTTACTCTGTTGATAGTTTGTTTTGCTGTGCAGAGCTCTATAGTTTGATTAGATCCCATTTGTCAACTTTTGCTTTTGTTGCAATTGCTTTTGGTATCTTCTTCATGAAATCTTTGCCATTCCTATGTCCAGAATGGTATTGCTTAGGTTGTCTTCCAGGATCTTTATAGTTAACAGCTGAGTATTGATTAGAAACAATGAAGGCCAGAGACAATGGCATAGCATATGCAAAGCACTCAGAGCAAAAAACTGTCGGCTGACAACTCTATTCCCAGCAAAGCTATCTTTCAAAAATTAAGTTGAAATAAAGACATTCCCAGATAAACAAAAAGAAAGAACTTGTTGCTAGCCAATTTATCTTACAAAAAGTACTAAAGAAAGTTCTTCAGGCTACAAGTATGTGATCCCAGAGGGTAAATACATGAAAACACAAAGAGCCCTGGCAATGATGATTATGTAATTATAAAAAAAAGCATAAATGCATATGTCTACTCTTTTCCTTTCTCAACTGGTTTAAAAAGCAACTTGATAAAACAAAATGCATGTAATTTATTTTTAGGTCCATAACATATGGAAATATATTTGTAATAATAGGACAAAGGAGGTTGTGGGAACAAAGCTATTCTGGGCTAACAAAATCAATCTACATGGTTACTGAAATCCATAGGAGCAAAGGAAGAGATACAGAAATCACAAAAATGAAAGTTAATATAACAAAAGCTAAAAATATATAGATCCTCTGTTTTCCTCTCCCAGCATCTTAAAACTTAAATCTATATAATATCATAATTATAAGAATATAATACTGGGCTTGTAACATTTATAGATGTAATAAATATAACAATGATAACATAAAATGGAGGAAAAAGGGGCTGGGCGCGGTGGCTTATGCCTGTAATCCCAGCACTTTGGGAGGCCAAGGTGGGTGGATCACGAGGTCAGGAGATCGAGACCATCCTGGCTGACACGGTGAAACCCCGTCTCTACTAAAAATACAAAAAATTAGCTGGGAGTGGTGGCAGGTGCCTGTAGTCCCAGCTACTAGGGAGGCTGAGGCAGAAGAATGTCATGAACCCGGGAGGTGGAGCTTGCAGTGAGCTGAGATCACATCACTGCACTCCAGCCTGGATGACAGAGCCAGACTCCATCTCAAAAAAAAAAAAAAAAAAAAAAAGGAGGAAAAGAGAATAAGAATAAAACTATATTGGAGTAATGTCTCTTATACTGGAATTAAGTTAGTATAAATTCGAAGCTGATTATGATAGGTTAATACATGTATGGTAAGTCATAAAGCAACCACTAAGGAAATAACTTAAAAAGTTAAAAAAATTTAAGAAATAAAAATGCTACATTAGATAAATATTTGCTTTATCTAATATATAAGAATTAGAGGAACAAGAGAGGCATGAGACATGTGGGAAATAAGAGGTAAAGTGGCAAATGAAAAAAGCCGACTATATCAATAATAGACTTAAGTATGAATGGATTAAAAAATCCAATCAAAAGGCAGATATTGTCAGACTAGACAAAGAAAGAAGACCCAATCACATGCTGTCTTCAGGAGACACACTTTTAATTCACAGATACAAAGAGATTGAAAATAAAATGATAAAATATGTATATATATCATGCAAACAGCAACTGCAAGGAAACTGGAGTGACTATACTAATATCAGACAAAATGGACTTTAAAACAAAAAAAATTACTAGATATGAACAGGAGTATTTTATAATCATAAAAATGTCAATTCATCAGGAAGATATAATAATTGGAAACATGTATACCCGTAACAACAGTGTACCAAAATACATGAATTAAAAGCAGCAGAAACGAAGGAAGAAATAAACAATTTAACAATAATAAATGGAGACTTCAGTGCCCCACTTTCACGAGTGTATAGAACAACTAAGCAAAGACCACAAAGAAACAGAAGTCTTGAACACATTAACCCTGACATACGTCTAGAGACTACACCACCCAACAACAGACCACCTGGTCTTCTCAAGTGCACACAGAGGCGAACTCCTTCAGGATAGAGTATATGCTAGGCCATAAGACACACCTTGATAAACTTTAAAGTACCGAAATGGTAAGAAGCATGTTCTCTGACCACAACTAAATGAAATTAGTTATCAATATCTTAAACAAATTTGGGGAATTGACAAATATGTGGAAATTAACCCTCTCCTAGGTAAACCAAAAGGGAAAATAGAAAACAATTTGAGATGAATGAAAATGTAATAAAACAACATATAGAACTTATGGGATGCGAATAAAGCAGAGGTTAGATGGAAATTGATAGCTATAAATGCCTATACTAAAAAATAAGAAAGATCTTAAATCAGTAACCTAACTTTCCACCATAAGGTGCTAGCAAAGAACAAACTAAACCCAAAGCAAGTGCAGGGAAGGAAGTACTACTAAAGATTAGAGAATAGAAAACCAACAGAGACAATTCATGAAACCAAAATCTAGTTCTTTGAAAAGATAAATAAAATAGACAAACCTTAACTAGATTGATGAGGGTATAAAACATGAAATGAGTCAAATTACTGAAATAAAAAAAAAATGAAAGGGGATACTGGTACCACCCTACAGAATTAAAAAGGATTCTAAAGGAATTTATTTACCAATAAATTAGATCACTTGGATGAAATGGAAAATTCCTAAAAAGACATGCTCTACAGAAACTGACTCAAGAAGAAATATACAAACTTAATATACCAATAACAAGATATTTAATTAGTAATAAAAAATACCCACAAAGAAAAGTGCAGTCTCAGATGTCTTCATGAATGAATTCCACTGAACATCTAAAGATTTAATACCCATTCTTCACGAACTCCTGCAAGAAATAGAAGAGAATAGCTGACTTCTTAACTCATTCTATGAACACAGTATTATCCTGATACCAAAACCAGACAAAAACATCACAAGTAATAACTATACACCAGCATGCATACCTTATAAATACAGATGCAAAAATCCTCAACAAAATACTAGATAGTGGAATCCAGCCACATATAAAAGGAAATACACATCATGACCAAGTATGATTTATCCCATGAATGTAAGTTTGACTTAACATCTAAAAATCAGTTAATGTAATACATCTTATCAGTTTAATAAAGACACCAAGATAACATTAACATGATTATATCATAGACAGAGAAAACACATTTGACCAGATCTAACATCCTTTCTTGATAAAAATACTCAACAAACTAGGAATACAAGTAAAAGTCCTCAAGATGATAAGGGGCATCTATGAAAAATGCACTGTTAATGTAATAATTAATAATGAAAGACAGAATTCTTCCCCCTTATGACCAGGAAAAACACAGGAATATTATATCTTGCCACTTCACCCACTTCTATTCAACATTGTACTGGAGGCTCTTGCAAAGGCAATTAGGCAGGAGAAATAAATAAAAATACATCTAGATTGGAAAGGAATAAGTAATACAATTTCTATTCACATGTGACATGATCTTGTATACAGACAATTCTGAGGAATCCACTGAAAAACTACTAGAACTAATAAAAGAGTAGAGCAAACTTGCAGGATACAAGATTAATATAGAAAAATCAATTGCATTTTCACACATTTCCAATGAATAATTAGAAAATGAAATTAAGAGAGCAATTTCATTTACAATAGCATCAAAAAGATCAAAATACTTAGAAATAAATTTAATCAAGGAGGTACAAATCTTATAATCTGAAAACTACAAAATGTTGAAATGAATTTTTTAAAGATAGAAATAAATTGAAAATAATAGATGGAAAACTATCTCACATTTGTAGACCAATATTATAGATTCACATTATTAAAATGGCAATATTTCCAGAATTAACCTACCATGTAATTCCTATTGGAATCCCAGTTAGCTTTTTTGTAAAATTTGTCAAGCTAATTCTAAAATTCATATGGAATTGTAGGGTAGTCAGAATAGCCAAAATAATCTTGAAAATGAATAATAGAGTTGGAGGGTTCACACATTCCAACTCTTTGAAAACTTACATTGCAGACAAAAAGCAATCAAAACAGTGTAGTCCTAATAGAATGAGGGACTTGTAGATCAATGAAATAGAATTGAAAGTTCAGAAATGAAGCCATGTATCTATTTTCAACTGATTTTGACAAGGGCACAAGATCATTCAATGGGGAAAGACTAGTCTTTTCAATAAATGATGTGAGGAAACTGGATAGCCAAATGAAAAGAAAGAAGTCAGACCTTTATCTCACATCATATATGACAATTAATTCAAATGGATCAGAGACCTAAATGTAAGTGTTAAACTATAGAACTCTTAGAAGAAAACATCGAGGTAAATCTTCATGACCTAGTGTTTGCAATGGATTCTTAGCTATGGCATTAAAAGCATGAGTGACAAAAGAAAAAATAGATAATTTGAGTTAATCAAAATTAAAACCTTTTGTGCTTCAAAACACACCATCAAGAAAGTGAAACACAATCCTCAGAGAGAAAATATTCGCAAATTATATACTTCATAAGGCATTTGTATCTACACTATACAGCTCTTCCAAATAAATAATTAAATCCACATAACTCCAATACAAATGGGAAAATTATTAGACACTTCTTCAAGAAGATATACAAGTGACCAACAAGCACATAAAGGAATGCTTAACACCATTAGTCATCAATGGAAATCTAAGCCACAATAAGATGGTACTTCACACCCACCAAAATAGCTATAATCAAAACATAAGACAATAGCAAGTGTTGACAAGGAGGTGGAGAAATCCTAATCCTCACACACTAGAGCCACTTTGGAAAACAGTGTGATAGTTCCTTGTTTTGGTCAGCTCAGGCTGGGCAGCTTAAGATAAACATATTTCTCACAGTTCTGGAAAGGCTGAGAAGCTGAGATTGAGGTGTCAGCCAATTCCTCACACGGCAGAGAGAGGGAGCAAGTTCTGGTGTCTCTTCCTCTTATTATAAGGACACTAAATCCCAACATGAGGGCTCTACCCTCACGGCCTCATCTAAATCCAATTCTATGCCAAAGGCCCCTTCTCTAAATACAGTCACATTGGGGGTTAGAACCTCAGCATATGAATTTGGGGGGATGGGAGGGACACAATTCTGTCCGCAGCATTCCTTAAATGGTTATTTAAACATAGAGTTATCATCAGACCTAGCAATTCCACCCATAGACATAAACCCTAGAGAAATGAAAATACATTCACACAGAAACTTATACACAAATATCTATAACAGCATTATTTAGAACAACCAAAAGGTGGAAACCATCCGAATGTCCATCAACTGAGGAATGGACAAACAAAACACAGCACAGCCATACAGAGGTGTATTATTCGACCATGGATACTAATGAAGTACTGATACATGCTACAACATGGCTGAGCCTTTCAGATGTTATTCTAAGTGAAAGAAGCAAGTTACAAAGATCACACATTACATGATTCTGATAATATAAAATTTCCAGAATGAAAAAATTTATTAAATTCTATTTATAGAAAGAAAAAGTAGATTAGTGATTGCCTAGGGCTTGGGAGAATGGGGTGATGAGGAGCTATAACTTAGAAAAAGGGATTTCTTTTTGAGGTAATGGAAAATGTATAAATTAAATATGTCAACAGTTGCACATATCTTGAATATACTGAAAACTATCAAATTGCGCATTTCAAATGGGTGAATTTTGTGGTATACAAAGATACCTTAATTAAACTTAAAAATCTAGAGACTAACAGTAATTTCATGGTCTTTCCTGATTATAAAAAGTTATATTATTCAGTAGTGGTAATAAGAATAGCAATAACTATAAATAGCTTTAAAGTAAATAGTGTACAGTTAAATAAAAAATAGAAACAACAAGAACAAAATACCAGCCCATAAAACACATAAGCAATACAAAAGTGAATAAGAGGGTCCCATAGCTTTGGTGGGTGGGGCAGCGTAACAGGCAGGGACATAACTTTAAAACATGATTTTGCTCTTTGATAGGATCATTTCATGCAGTTATGTCAAAACTGATCATTCAAAATGGCTTTGTCAAATGCCCCACGTGGCTATGGGATTGCCCTCTCTGCAGCAATCAATTCATCTCCCAAATGTTTGATCTGCTAACAGCTATTGTGGCCACCTCCCAAGAATCCATGGCCCATTCTTTCATTTCAGTCTGTTAAATCAGCTTTTTAAAATCTAGAGTCCACAACCACTAAACTTCTACTAATTTTATAGAGAAAAGAGAGTAAGTAAATTGTCTTACCCTAAAACCAAATCATTCTTCATTCTCTTTATCCTTTTTCTTTGCTGTCCAGAGACTCACAGACTCACATCCGGTTTTCTTTAGTTTTTTTTTTCTTTCTCAGTCATCCTTTCAGGTCATTCTGCACATTATTATTCAAATAGTTTCTCCAGGGCACATTTTTACATTTGTTTTTTAAAATAACATTTTAACATGTTTATCAAATAATCATATACATATTTATATATAATTATTATGTAACTATTCAGCAATAACAACACAGTTTTAAAAAATTGTTATATTAAAAATAGAACTCTAGACTAAAGAGAACTGATATGAAAAAAATAAAGCAGAAAAAATCCAAAAGTCCATGGTTTACTTGCTTTTTTTTTTTTTTTTTTTTTTTTTTTGAGACGGAGTCCTGCTTGTTTCCCAGGCTGGAATGCAGTGGCACCATCTCAGCTCACTGAAACCTCTGATTCCAGGTTCAAGTGATTCTCTTGCCTCAGCCTCCAGAGTAGCTGGGATTACAGGTGACTGCCACCACGCCCAGCTAATTTTTTTGTATTTTTAGTAGAGATGGGGTTTCACATGTTGGCCAATGAACACAGCTAATTTTACTCAGCCTATAAAACTCTACATGCAGCACTACTGTTTGCCAGGTAGACTTCTCCATTCTTTGGACATTTACAAAGACCCTTTCAACCAAGAAGACACTGTTACTCATGATCTCAGCTACTGAGATGGTTGCCTTGGGTTTGTTCTTAGCTTTACCATCTCTGATTCCAAAAAAAAAAAAAAAAGTACATCCACTGTTCAGCTCCTATGTGGGAATGTTACTAACAGACTTGCTTCTTCTTTAATGGCATTATTTAACATGATTGCAAAAATGATATAAGCATTGCTCTGACTGCAATTACAACAATAAAACCAGTCGAGTATTATTTCAGAGCTAACACTACTGAAAGAATAAAAATTCAAGAAAGAACATTGAGGAACAAAAAGAAATCCAACACAGATGTTTCAAATAAAAGAACTTTAATGAGGGAGTTATATAGAGAGTTGTCGAAAATGTTAAGGTAAGTAGTAAGGGCTGTTGAGACAGCCTGACTTGGAAGGGTGAGAAACTGTCGACACCGGTAGGGCTGGAAGGGCAGGGAGATGAAAATGTGCTGTTGGAGCCCTGTGAGAGCATCAGGCTGGAGGCCAGGGTCACCCAGCAGGAGCTGCCATCACTGAGGGACACAGACACTGCCTCAGCCATGGGGGTTGGGGGTGGGAAGGGAACTGTCCCAGATAATCTCTCTCACTCTCTTTTCTCTGCTTTTCTCTGCATTCTAGTCTTTGATTTCCAGCCAGTGAGCCCAGGGAATGAAGTCCATAGGTGTCAGCCCCCCTTATGCACAAGAAGAGAAGAGCTGGACTGGGAATTTTCCTGTGGAGGCAAAGGTAGAGCACGCTAGTCTAGGTACTCGGGAAGCAGAACCCAGCCATCTCAAGAAACATCCTTGGACCAAATACCTAACATCCTACTGCAGCTACCAATCTGTAGCTCTTCTGCAAAGCCAGGATAGCCTCCAAGAGCTGTTTCCAGGGATGAGCAGAATCTTCATTACCCTCTGCTATCTCCTCGTAATTTCACCTTTGGTGAAGACCCCTTCTTTCATGGTGATTCTCAAAGGACATAGACTATGCAATTATAATTTTCCTGGGAAAAGATCCAGAAGTAGAAGTAGGTACACTGGCATTCCTTTAATGGGGTCTGGGTCGAATATTAGAATGTTCAATCAGACAAGGAATTCTGGTTGTTGAGAACCAGCTGCAGGTGGTCATCTCCTTTGGAGCAAGAGCAAAGCAGCCTCTGCTACCACATGGTTCTGTCCAAAGGCCACAGCCTCTCCTTTCTTATTAAGACTACTGCCCTTACATGGACTAACCATTTCTCACGTCTTTACCCAGTTTACTCTCAAAATATAAGGCTATACAGCCATTACCTTATGACGGTCATAATAACTAAGGCTCTGTTATTGACTAGCACAGACGTCATCACAAAATAGACTCAGAACTCTCTTGTGCCTGCAGCCTTGAAAGTTAGGGGAGTATTTGTGGAGTACATGATACTATTTGGTCTGTCATACAACATCAACTTCATTGTGACTGTATCAGTCAGGGTCACAGCAGGGAAAGAGTTCCACTTCAATGAGTCAACTGAAGAGATTTTAATGAAGGAACAATTTCAGAGGTGTGAGCAGCATTAAGGGAACTGATGAAGAATGTCAAATCGCCCAGAAGTTTTCAGTTATGGGAAACTATTACCACGTTTAGTGCAGAAAAGGAAAGTGGGGGGTGCTGATAATGTAGTCAGAGCTGGAGCCTGCCAGGCAGATGTCGGTCACAGAGGGACACAGCTACTTCTAAACATGAGATGCATGTGGGGTGGGGGAAGTGAATTCCCCTACCTACTTCTCTCTCCATCTGCCTCTAGTATCTGGCAGATGGCCTCCCTCTGGCCACACCTCACCCTTCCCAGGAACAAAGGCACTCATGTAGGCTGACACATGAGGGTCCACCTGCCTGGTCCATTGCAAGACAGAGGAGCAGGTTGGAAAGGGGCAAGGCATGAAATGGAAAGTAACCAGCCCAGCATCCCTCCACAGGAACCTGCTAAAACTACTTTATAATATTGGGAGAAAGCTAGATTTGAATTCTTGCCAAGGGGACTCAATTACAAAAGCACTGAAAGATTTTGCTAGTCATGTAACAAATGCCCAGTCAAACCTGAAAACAGCATTATAGATTCCATTTTAGGGCTAACAGTCTGGTTCAGGCACAGAATACAATCCATTTGTGTGAAATTCTCTACATTAAACATACATGCATTGTATATTTTTTCATTCTGTCTCATCAGTAACCTTTTTTAAAAACTCTTGGGGAGTAACTCAACTTTATTCCCTAAACCAACCAACTAAAGTGTGGCGTTTTTTTTTTTTTTTTTTTTCTGGAAACAGGGCCTCACTCTGTCACCCAGGCTGTAGGGCAGTGGCACAATCATAGCTCACTGCAGCCTCAAACTTTTGAGCTCCAGTGGAAATATAACTTTACTTAATTTCCTTTCCACTTTCTCCAGATCTCATCATTCAGTGTATTTAAAGGTACCATTCAGTACCTCTAATGTGTGTGTGTGTGTGTGCACATGTGCAACTCTCTCTCACACACAGAATCTACTATAGAACTGGAAAAGATAGCATAAAAAGCATCATACTGATGTTTGAAAAATTGCATAATTTCTTATCTCAGCCTCCCCAGTAGCTAGAACTATAGGTGCCCACTTAATTTTTTTTATTTTACTTTTTGCAGAGATGGGGTCTCACTGTGTTGCCCAGGCTGGTACCTATTATTGTGAAATAGTGGGATTATTGTTTATGGCAATGACTGTAAATGTAAATGGAGTACTATGACTTAGCATCAAAGCACGGTGGCTAGGGGGTTCTGTGTTGCCTTTTTTTCTCCTGTTTAGTATGCAGAAAATGACATGGTTCTTTCCACTCCAGTTTCATTGTATCTGTCACACCACAAATAATATGATCAATCACAATTTGTCCCTATGGTCAAATGTCTTGTTTCTCTAAATTAGGTATTTTAACAGTCTTTTCACTTTACATCAGAAAAATTGGTTATAGACTCCAAAAATAAGTCATATTAGTAAAGTGTTATGAGGAAATATTGCATTGCAAATGAAAATTTTACCAAAGTTTCATTGAGTTTTGGCTTTTATTAGGACAGTATTCCTCTAGTTTAATCTCCTCATACAATTGTTCCCATGCCTTTCACTCTTTTACTGCAAGAGCTACATCTAATAAAATTAACTCTTCTTTTGACCTTATTTTGAAGTAAGCTATTTACACAGTTGTAGCACTAATGACTCCAGAGACTTTAAGGTTCTTGATATTTTTTAACATTGTAACATCTAGGACTAAAAGTAAACTATGTTTTACATTTTCAATATTTACCTGGATTCTTTTATGATTGCTAGTTTTATAATCTCATGTGCCTTTGGAGAATTATAGATGAGCGGCTAATTTCCAATTTAGGTAAAGGAAGGAACCTCTTGATAAGTTAAATGGATGCATCTCTTAACTAAACACCAGCAAAACCTCCAACTTTGAGCATGCCAGGGAGCGTTCTGCAAGCCCAGTGCTATGCTCCTCCGTGTTCTGTGCACACCAGGTGCAGGGATGGCATTTGTTTTGTTTCTCCTGGCAAAACCGCTCCTCTCAGGGAAATGAGAGACCTGCCACAGTGAACTCCTAGCATGAACTTTAAGGCTCAGAAACATACAAGGCAGTCCTCCACCTGACTTTAGGCTTTTCATTCTCCTGCCCCCAAATGAGCAATAACCTGCCAGAGATGGTAAAGAAATCTCCTACCGTGTTCCATTTGTAAGGATGCTTCCTCCCCCTTCCTCACTCGAGTGGGTCCAGGAATTGGCAGTGTGCTCTGCTTTCACACACCCTACACAGAAACACAGCTATCCACAGGTCCAGGAAAACCCACCTCCAGGCTTGGTGGACTTCTCCAGCTACAATTAATTGTTTGATGAGTGTATAGCTTTAAATACCAGCTCTAAGACTATGACTCACAAACTTATATATCTCTGCCCTGGATATCTCCTGTGAACTGCACATGCACACGTGCAAATGCCTTGGCGACATCTGTATTTGGACGACTAACAGGTATTTCAGCTATAACACATACAAAACTGAACTCCTGGCCTCTCCCTAAAAGCTCCTGTACAATGCTATTCCCGGGCTCAGTAACATATGCTCTTGGATGCTCTTCCCTTCGGGCACTTAGGCCTAAAATCTGGTAGTCATCCTGACTCCTCTTTCTCCCCACCCTACATGTAATATGTCATCAAATCCCGCTGTCTTCAAATACGTCTAGAATCTGAACGCTTCTCACATCCATGAAAGAAGGGCAGGCTCCTGTGACAACGAAACAACTGGAGAATCAGAAAATCCTCTTGGAGTTTAAAAAGGTACTCACTAGAATTTAAACATCAGTAAGTGGATATCATTTCATGATGCTCCAGGAACTGAGCTGGTAATTTGGAATCTCACCTCGAGCAATTCTTTATAGCTTAAAAAGAAAACCAGATAGAAATGTAAGGAAAAAAAGCTCAACATCACTGATCATTAGAAAAATGCAAATCAAAACCACAATGACATACCATTCATATCAATCAGAATGGCTATTAACAAAATGTCAAAAAACAACAGATACCTACAAGATTGTGGAGAAAAGGGCACGCTTCTATGCTGTTGGTGTAAATTAGTTCAACCATTGTGGAAGACAGTGTGGTGATCCCTCAAAGATCTAGAAATGCCACTTGACCCAGCAATCCCATTACTGGGTATATACCCAAAGGAATGTAAATCATCCTGCTATAAAGATACAGGCACACATATGTTCACTGCAGCACTATTCACAATAGCAAAGACATGGAATCAACCCAAATGCCTATCAACGATGGACTGGATAAAGAAAATGTGGTACAGATATACCATGGAATACTATGCAACCATAAGAAGGAACAAGATGATGTCCTTTGCAGGGACCCGGATGGAGCTGGAAGCTATTATGCTCAGCAAATTAACACAGGAACAGAAAACCGAACTCGGCATGTTCTCACTTATAAGTGGGAGCTGAAGGATGAGACCACAAGGACACATAGCGGGGGAACAATGCACTCC
Organism: Homo sapiens; assembly: GCF_000001405.40. Lineage (NCBI taxonomy): Eukaryota > Metazoa > Chordata > Mammalia > Primates > Hominidae > Homo > Homo sapiens. The sequence continues at coordinate 36,035,255 of NC_000010.11, read as the reverse complement.
AGGGAGGGTTGGCAGGGGGTTGGGGAAGAAGAGCATCAGGAAGAATAGCTAATGGACGTGGGGCTTAATACCTAGGTGATGGGTTGATCTGTGCAGCAAACCACCATGGCACACGTTTACCTATGTAACAAACCTGCACATCCTGCACATCTACTCTGGAACTGAAAATAAAAGTTAAAGAAAAAAAAGAAAACCAGATAGAAAGTATGGGAGGGAGCTTAAGAGATAAGAAAGATGGATCCAAAAGTACACTATTTATTTATGGAAGTATCAGGAGAAGAGAATGAAGTAAAGGGTGGAAAATAATCAAAAAAAAAAAAAAGGAGAGAGAGAAAATCTCTTGAGTTGAAGATGGACTTATTAGGACAAAATGCCCTGCAACTACCCTGAGGAAAGACTGCACTAAATTACAGAGAATCAACAATCAAAGAAATTAAAAAAAAAATTCTGAAGCTGAAGATGAACTGGAGTCATTGAAAGAAAAGTGCTTACCAAGTTGCTGGACAAGAATATTTTTAAAAATACACCTATAGATGTCTCCTCACCAAAACTGTATAAATAGAAGAATCCAATTTTCTAGCAACAAAAGTGTTTACCTAGTTGAGAAAGAAATTCAAACTAACATAGTATTTCTCCACTGTAATTTTAAACCCTAAGAAACCATCAAATCATTTTTAAAGGGTCCTGGAAAATAATTTGTCTACAAATGTAGGGATTTCATATATGCTTCTCTGCTGTGACAGGAAAGTAACCACAATATTTATTTTTGGGAAGCATGCTTACCAGTTGGCTTTTCTCACATAAACACATTAAACTGAATTAAAGATTTGCAACTCTTCCATAAAGGAATTATTAGGATTTTTCTCCTTTTGGACAAAGGTTTTTCATCATCTTATGCTTTCTATAAACTGTAGCGTCATAATATAAAGTATTTGGAAGGAAGAAACTCGAAAAGCATATTGAAAATATTACTAGATTTTAAAATTGATAAAAACATAGTGTATCATATTCATGTGCTCAGATATAGTAAAACTGATTCACAATTGATAACAAATCTTGTACATTAATTTAAAATAAGATCTTTGTGTTATTTCATAAACAGAGCCTGATTTGTATCAACCATGGTGTGGGAAAGTATGATATAGTTGTAATTAAAAGAATGAAGTTCCTGAGAGCATTTTACATTTTTCATTCCTCTGATGATCCCACAGAATCATTCCCACTCTCTGGGAGAGCCTCTTATCTTATCCATTAATAACAAAGCAAAAGACATGGTTAATGGATAATTATGTTTCCTGGGATTTTGGCTTTTGTGGCTGATATACTTCACCTTATTTCATATTACTCTTACCATAAAAGGTTCTCTGGTATATTATTCATCAATTATTTCCACTTTTAAGTGGTTTAGCAAAATGCCTACTTATTATTAGATAATTCAGAGAATATATTATTTCAGAATATATATTTTATCTTACACATATTGGCATCCCACTAGAAATAGTATGAATAGAAGGACAATTTGTACCACTATGAATATCAGTCTAAAGCAAATAAGTCACTCATGTTACGCAAATGTCAAATATTCAGATCAAATCACATGAGTCTTACTTGTTCTATTTTCCTATAATTACAACTATCATACTGAACCCAACACAGTTTACATATCACATTCAGTAACTTACTAATTTTACAATACAGAAATACATACATATATAGTATTTGCAGATCACCGCTTTTAATATTGTATGATTTTTATTTCAACTGAATTAAAGCTTGTTTTTAAAAATTGCAAGCCTACTCAAAACAGAAATTATGTATATACATATATATTGTCACAATTTTTCCAGGCATCCTGATGTAGGTGATTAGATGAAAGACTCCATTGCTTTACAGGTTCAGTCTCAATATTTAGGTGAAAAGTATGCTATAAAACTAATACTCTATTTCTGGGGAAAAATGTGCAGAATAGTTTTCCATCTATGCCTCTCCTGGGATCATTTTAGATAGACAACCTAAACATCAGTCCGAGCTTCCTTTCTCTGTATATTGTTAAGTGTTTCCTGGTGCTAGAACACTTCTTTGAACTTACGTTCAGGTAAGACCCTCATGCTTCTCGAGAGTTTTGTCTGATCATTGAATACCCACTGAGCTTGGTCTTTGTTGTCTTTCCATTAGAAAGTGAGTGTAACATCAGTACCCAGTGACAGTTGTCCCTATCAGATCCCTTTCACTATCTTTCCAGGTAGGGGACAGGTCACCAGGTGTACATTTCCTATTCGACATTGTTTTAAAGCTTCTCTTGCTTGTAACAAATACTTTTGTATCTTTTAGTTTCTCCAGTAACACTAAATCTCTTGAGATTTCTTTGAAAGAGGTAGTCTCAGATTAAAATCAGTTCTTCCTTCAGTGTCTTTACTGAAAGAAGTGAAAAGAATTAGATGGTGAATATCATATACTTTCCCTGATAATATCTCCCTTAATGCTGAAGTGCTGTTAGTATTCTGTGCTCAGATCCAGCAAGTGCCATTTGTTTCCCTCTGAGATCAGCAGCTCAAAGCAGAAGAGCCAATAATCCATCTTTCAGAGGCTGCTCCTTTCAGTTACAATAAATTTTGATGGAAAGTGGGCAAATTTTGAAGATAATTAGAACATACTATCTTTCCTCTGTTATTCCCCTTGACATAATAGCTTAGAAAATATACTTTATAGTTTAACAAGAAGCTCATTTGCTCAAAGCATGTGTTCCAAATGCATCTCCAGGTCATTCAGAGATATGGTGATGCCTCTCAGTGAGAGGTGTTACTGGGGAATGAAACATGGATATGCTAGCAATAGCTAAATATGTTAAAATGTTAACATATTTTGCTCATTTAAGGTGACCCTTCTTCCAGATACTCTACATGTACAAAACAAATAGTCAAAAGGAATTTGCAGTCTAGAAAATGGGCTACTTTAGCAGACAACCTCGGATCGATCCACCTATCTTCTCTATATTTTAAAGGTTTCTCAGATACACACTTTTCTCCTTTAAAAAAAAAAGAAAGAAAGAAAGAAAAAAAAAAGCTAGTCATCAGGTAACTACTCTGCGTCAGGCATTGCACATGCTGAAGAGACAGTGAGCAAAGACAGAGGTAGTCCCTTTCACAGGATCACCAGTGCCTAAGTGTCCAGGCTACTCCGTTAATGTGCTCCTATGAGGCAGGGTAGGCACGAGCATCACCATGGGACACCCTCAGTTTTCACAGTGAAGCCTATCAAAACGTATGTGGCTTAGCAGCTGGGAAATCAGATATCAAGAGAGTTCAGTGACAAGAATGAAATATAAATTTTAGAAACTTCTATCTCTCTAAAAGCTGCCTGTCAGAGGATTTCTATAAAGTTCTAGCACATCTCAGAAACCAGAGCTAAACGAATTCCCCATGAGATCCATAAATTATGAGACGCACTAAACAAAAGAAAACTGCCAAATTTCCAAAAGCAATATATTTTAATAAGCTTTATCTGAAATCTGGTCATACCATAAGGACAGTTAGAAAATAAAAAATAACCTGTCCATGAACCTTGAATGTTACGGTCGTCTAATATTTCCAATAGAATTCATGGATATGACTAAATTTTGTTTTCAGGCTGCCTGTGTGAAGATAAACCATGTCTAGTTAGCTTTAATCCACCTTGAAGATAAATCTTGAGGCCGGGCGCAGTGGCTCACGCCTGTAATCCCAGCACTTTGGGAGGCCAAGGTTGGGGCGGTGGATCACCTGAGGTCAGGAGTTTGAGACCAGCCTGGTCAACATGGCAAAACCCCGTCTCTTATTAAAAATATAAAGAATTAGCTGGGCATGATGGTGCATACCTGCAGTGCCAGCTACTTGGGAGTAAAACCTTGGACCTAAGGTACAAAGTCTGGGTTCTCTCCTTGACTCCCCCATAGCACTGTGGGCTTCCCTCTTAAAGGCTGTACCACACATCCTTGCAGCTGCTGGTTTTCCCGCCCATCTCCTTCACAGTCTAATGTCATTGTGAAGACAAAGTTCCCGTCTGCCTTGCTCACCATTGTGTATCCCAGTGCCTGGCAAATAAAAGGTACTCATAAAAGTTTTTGAAAAAATAATCAATGTGTACTTGAAATGTAGAAAAATATTGTATAGGTATCTATGATTAACTATCTTATTCAAATCAAATTGATTTCATTTCATATACCCTTAGGAGTTTATTTTCATTGTCCTATCTGTGAACTATTCAAGTCAAGGTAGCTCATGTCAAGAGCATGGCTCTGGAGTCCAATCTTTTTGATCAGATCCTGGTTCCATTGTGACTTCAAGTTACTTCTCTGTTACTTCAAGTTACTTCCTGTTAGAGAATTGTCAGTGTAAGGTAAGGTAATTACTGCAAAGTATATAGCCCAATACGATGGCAGCTGCTATTTTTGTTTGCCAATGTTATTTTCATTAGCAAAAGAAAGTAGATGATAAGGCAATCTCCCACCACACAGGGAACCAGACAGGCCTTTGGCTCACACCATTAGCTGCTGTTGGCAAGCTTTTCACTTTCAGAGGTTTAACCTCAAAACTAAGTATGGGCCTGTGACCAAAATTAAACATGTCCATTGTCCACTCCAATGAAGTTGCTGATGTAGAACTAGCAATAAACTTTAACAGAGCAAATGTTTTCCTAGCTAGTCTCGTCTCAAATTTCTGCTTAACATATCTACGGAAACCCACAAAGAACAAAACAATAATAATGAATTTTACTTCAACCACAAAACACCGTGCTATATGTAACATGCTTTCCTTCACAATTAGCATTTGTGTAATGCCACCACATGCAGCCTTTCTATAGGGTAGTTTAACAGTTCAACATCCAGAAAATAGATGCACAAAGATGTTCAACACAGTGTTGTTCGATACAGCAAAATCAATTTCAAATCAAAACGTCTGCCACTTGGTTAAATTAAGAATTGAATAAAACTGTTTGCTTGAGGATTTTGGATTTTTAATTTGTTTTTTTCTATTAACAATTTTAAAGTTTGTAATGAGAAAGTCTTTATCTTCCTATGAGAAATATACTTTAAAGCTACCTAAACAATAAATCAATATAAGAAAAATAGAGAAAGCAAGAAAATAGCAATGTTTCTGGAAGGGTGTTAACCAAAATGTTAAATTACAGGAGTCATGTTTTAATTATATATATATCACAGTGTTTAAACTATTATTAACTATATGTATTTCCTTTTTTGATTTTCTGCCATGTTTGGAAGACAGGTGTGATTTACAGGACAAGAGCCATCACTTATCCATCTCTACAGAATTTATTGCAGTGAATAATAATTATTTGTTGGGTAAATATAAATGAATAAATGAGTGCACTGTTGAACAACATCATAAAAATCATACACATTTCATCTGAGAGAAAAAGCAATGAATTGGCAGCCTTGGGAAATAGGAAATCTCTATTAGAACATTATGGGCCAAAATCCTCTTTTATTATTATTATTATACTTTAAGTTCTAGGGTACATGTGCACAATGTGCAGATTTGTTACATATGTCATGTTGGTGTGCTGCACCCATTAACTCGTCATTTACATTAGGTATTCCTCCTAATGCTATCCCTCCCCCTCTCCCCCCACCCCATGACAGGCCCAGGGTGGGGAACATCAAAATCCTCTTTGCACTGGGAAGAGAAATGGACAAAGTAAACTAGTTCTTGAATAATGTTTAGAAAATGATGGGGTCTGGGCATGGTGGCTCACATCTATAATCCCAGCACCCTGGGAGGCTGAGGTGGGAGGATGGCTTGAGCCCAGGAGTTAAAGTTTACGGTGAGCTAAGATCGTATGCCTGCACTCCAGCCTGGGCTGCAAAGCCAGACCCTGTCTCTAGGAAAAGCAAATGATGGAGTTATGTTTTGCATCCTTCTTTTCCCCCCTCTCAATTTCACATTCAGACACTCAGGATCTGCCCATTCCCTCCCACTTTGAACAAAACCTGCTTTCAGAAAGTATCCGGTATCTGTCATGTATATGTTGACATGAATTCAGTTCATTGTTCCCCTTCCCAGGTGTCTTGGTGAGATTTAGCTGGATAATCTCCTCCTGCTTTGTAGTGGGGTTCTTTGGTCATCACCTGACTCCAAAGCGATACCTGTGGGCCTCAGATGTGAAGCTGGCTGAGGAGACTTGCTTAGAATGCAGCAGTTTAGGCACTAATGTTCTGTTTGAAACGGATTGTGTAAATGACTTTTAGTTATGTGTCTTAAAAAGGACTGGTGGCTTATGTTCACCTGAACAGCCTCAGCCCCAATGCCTAGACCCCACTGATGAGAAAAACAGTTCTGTAACTACCTGTGTGGTCCCTGCAGATGCTATTGGACAATTTGAACCCTGAGAGCTGGCCACTCTCACCAGAGGTAAGCCAGTTAGGAGCACGTCCAGCTGGCTCCGTGGGACATAAGGCCCAACAGCTGTAGCTAAGGCCAGCCTAAGGCCCCAGGACATACACCAGGTCCTGACTTGCTGCTCCTGTGGAGTACCGGTGATGAAGGGATTGCTCCTCCATTGAGTGGCCAATACCTGGTTTCCACGAAGACTCTTTCGGAATGACTCCACCTGCCTCTTTCCTTCATCTATGCATCAGGAATCTGACAGATGGCTGAGCAATGAACACTTAGACAGAAATCACAGGACAACGTGCTTGTGTTTCACTGGTACTCTTGACTGTGCCTTCATGTAAAGGCCCATGCATTGAAAGTAAAAATTAGCTGCCTTTTCTCTATAACTTGAACCAGTGTATCATGAAAATTATAGGATGAAAAGCTTTGACTCCATTAAAGGAATTCCTGACACCAATAGTTATGGGGATTAGTTTGAGGGTTCTTGAGGCCATTTCCAATCGGCCATTCCCATCAGGCAAAACTTTTCCCCACCAATGAGCAAAGGCCATTCTGAGACCAAGTTGAAGGTTGTTCTTTCCCAAAACAATGAACAGACCTCTTTCCCTCCCAGCAAGACATAGAAGCACCTGCTCTGTGCATGGATTCTTATTTAGGAACTCAAAAAGTAAGGAGGGCTTACAATGATTATGAGAAAAGCTAATATTTATTAAGGTAAAAATGCTCTCATAATCTTATCTTTCCATGACTCTTATCCACTGAAAAAAGCAGTTGGATTTCCAAGTTATAGGGAAATTATTTTGTAAATTTTCCTTAAAAATTTTATCTAAGGACCATCTTAAAGTATCTAATAATCAGTTTCCAATCACTCACTTAACAAGTATTAATGTAATATCTAGTTTGTTTCAGAAACTGTGCTAGCTGCTAGGAATACAGGGGTGTAAATGACAGAAAATGCAGTTGTTCATTCTGATTAGTGAGAAAGAAAGACATTAATTCCCCATCCTGACACCAAAACCACCCTGTCAAGGTGATCGGTGGCCAAAGCTTAGCCGATCTGATCTCCCTGCAGCATTTGATGGTGTTGATGATCCCTTCCTCATGGGATCAAAGGAGGAGATTCCATCCTCCTTTTTGCTGATGGAGCTTCTCATTATCCTGGTTGTTCTCTCCCATCTCCTCATCTCCCTGACCACTGTTGGAGTGCCCAGAGTTCTGGTTTGACCTTTTTTCTAGTCTATACTACCCTCATGGTAATTTCTTGTGGGCACAAGTCTTCAACTATCTTCTATATGCTGATAACTCCTAGATTTATATCTCCTGCTCAGCCACCTTCTTTGAACTCTGGACTTATATATGCAACTTTGATATCTACAACTTGACTATTTAGAAGGCATCACAAACTTAACACATCAAAACTTAACTCCCATTCCTTCCCCTAAATCCTTCTCTACCTTCAGCCTTCCCCATCTTGGTCAATGCCCATTCCATCCTTGCAGTTGCTCAAGCCAAAACTCCTGACACCTTTCTTAATCTTACATACCCCACACTCCAGCCATCTGGAATCCCTTTGGCTCTGTCTCCAAAACATAGCCAGACTCTGACCTTTTCTCTCCTCCTCCATTTCTCATCACCACATTTCACAAATGTGAAGGAATGTGATTGTCTCTTGCTCAAATGATTGCAATTTTCCCACTGACATCCCAGATTCCATTCCGCGTCTCCTAAAGTCAATTCTTAACATATGAGACAAAGCGATCCTTTGAGAACTTGGCTCATTGTCACTCTCCTACTAACAAGGCTTATGAGGCTCTATGTCATCCCCTTCATTGCCTCTTTAACGTCGCCTCTCAGAACTATCCTTTGCTAAGTGCTCCAGCCACAGGGACTTCCTTAAGAATGTCACCAAAATCTACCACCAGTGACCAGCATCCTGCCTCAGGGATTTAGACTTGCTGTTTTCACCTCCTAGAATGCTCTTCCTGAAATAACTGCTAATTCCATTTCCTCATCTGTTTTTACTCAAATGTATCTTCTCACTGGAGCCTTTTCTGACCATCCCATGTAAAACCACAGCCCCTCCCAGCCACTAGGATTTCCCTTTTCCTGCCCTAATTTTCTCCATAGCATTCATTAGTATGTGACATCCTCATATTTTTTATATTCGTCTTATTTGTTGTCTGTCTACCTACACAGAAGCCAAAGTTTCATTATGGTAGAAAGTTTTCTTGTTTTATTTACTAATGTTACCTCAATACGTAGAACTGTATCTGGCTCACAGTAAGTGTTAGACACAATTTAAAAAACACAATATGTGATAAAATAAACAAGTAAACAATTATACAAATATTTTATAATTGTAATAGTTATTGGTGTAAGGTTTTATGATGGGCAATGTGAGAGCAGTTGGGAGGGGGCAGAGGTGGCTTCCATGTAATGTGACAGCTGAGAAAGAGTGATTTGCTCGCATTAGCTGTGGGAAGAGGAGGGAGAACATCCGGAAGAGTCAGCGTAGTGGTGACCAGGAGGCAAGATTATGTGGTCCAGGACCCAGAGCAGGAGGACGCTGCTGGAGAAATAAGCGAAGCAGAGGGTGACTCGATTCAGGGTGGGTGTGTTAGCAAGAGCTCAGTCTCAGAGGGCATGTGAGTCATGGAAGTAATTTTCATTTTGTCCTAAATGGAGTGAGGGGCCAATAAATCATTTTAAGAAGAGTGGCATGATTAGATTAGCATTTTAGAAAGTTTACTTTTACTCTAATATGGAGAATAATTGGAGGAGGCAAGACCAAGGAGGCAGTCCCTCCCCTCATGGGGCATATATTTCCCACAGAGAGACAAAAAGGAATAAATCATCAAAGGTTGTATTTTATCAACTCAAATCACTCTTTTTTTTTTTTCTTGAGATGGAGTCTTGCTCTGTTGCCCAGTCTGGAGTGCAGTGGCATGATCTAGGCTCACTGCAACCTCCACCTCCTGGGTTCAAGTGATTCTCTTGCCTCAGCCTCCTGAGTAGCTGGGATTACAGGTGCGTGCCACTATGCCCAGCTACTTTTTGTATTTTTAGTAGAGACAGGGTTTTGCCATGTTGCCAGGCTTGTCTCAAACCCTTGACCTCAAGTGATCCTCCCGCCTTGGCCTCCCAAAGTGCTGGGATTACAGGCATGAGCCACCATGCCTGGCCTCTCAAACCACTCTTTTTTATTCACATTTTTTAGTTTCTGAAGTTGGGATGTGGGTTACAATCCACAGTGTCTTAGATCTGATAAAATGTGGTAAAGCAGAAAACATCAGGCCATAAGAAGTGCTGCAGTATAAGGAAAACATGACGATATGCAGAGAGCGGATGTGAGGTTGCGAAATGTATATTTGGTCTTTGTCCTAAAATCCTTGGAACCTTTAAAATGGCAAGTGTCTTTTTGTATGTTAATAAGTGGACTGGTGACTAGCAGCCCCTAGGTACCTTCAGGATTCGGGCTGGTCACCCAAAGAGCCAAGGCAAGATTAAAGGGTTGGGACTTCCAGCCTCACCCCACAACCTCCAGGGAGCAGAGAGGGGCTGAAGGTTAAGCCAATCACCAATGGCCAATAATTTAATAGTCATACTTATGTAATGAAGCTTTTGTAAGAACCCAAAGAAAGGAACAGGATTCAGAGAGCTTCCAGATAGCCAAACATAGCCGGGCACGGTGGCTCACGCCTGTAATCCCAGCACTTTGGAAGGCCGAGGCAGGTGAATCACTTGAGGTCAGGAGTTCAAAACCAGCCTAACCAACATGGTGAAACCCTGTCTCTGCTAAAAATACAAAATTAGCCAGGTGTGGTGGTGCATTCCTGTAATCCCAGCTACTTGGGAGGCTGAGGCAGGAGAATTGCTTGAATCCAGGAGGTGGAGGTTGCAGTTAGCCAAGATCATGCCATTGCACTCCAGCCTGGGCAACAAGAGCAAAACTCTGTCAAAAACAAAACAAACAAACAAAAAAAACCAGCCAAACATGTGGGGGCTTCTGGAGGGTGGTGCACCCTGAAAGTGCATGGGAGCTCCATACCCTTTCCCGCATACCTGGCCCTATGGGTCCCTTCATCTGTGTCCTTTGTAATGTCCTTTATAAGAAACTGATAAATATAAGCATTTCCTTGAGTTCTCTGAGCTGCTCTTGCAAATTTATCAAATTGATAGAGGAGGTTTTGGGAACCCTGATTTGTAGCTGATTGGTCAGAAGTGCAGGTAAACAACTTAGGGTTTCCAATCAACATCAATGGTGGTGCTTCATTTTTTAGGACTGAGTCCTTGACCTGTGTGATCTGACTCTGTCTCCAGTTGGACGGTGTCAGAATTGAATTGAATGAGGAGACTCTCAGCTGGCATTCTCTGAAGAATCGATGGCTTGCTTGGTGGTTGAAGAAAACCCCACACACATCTGGTCACAGAAGGATTCTGTGCTTAATATTGTAGGATGAGAACAGAGAAATAAAAGTTTGTTTTTTCTACAGTGAACACAAGACCACTTTGGCCTGAGTGGTCAGGGCAGCCCTTTCAGAGTGGTGGCATTTAAACTGAGATCTAAATGACCAAAAGGAGCCTTCCATGAGAGGACATGGCCAAGCAGAGGCAACAAGGAGTCCCAGGACTCAGGAGTGAGTTTGGTGTGTTTATCAGTTACCCATTGCTAAGTGACAAAACAACCTCAAAACCTGGTGACTCAGCCCAACAATCATGTATTTGTCACAACTCTGTGGCTCAGCAGTTTGGGTTGGGCTTAGCCCATGATGGTTGGGCTCACATTATGTCTGGAGGCTGGCAGAGATGGAGGAAAGTGACTCCTATGTCTCTCATGAAGCAGCAGAGTAGTTGAGCCTTCTTCCAGCCAGAGAAAAAGAAATCCCAAATCTACAGTGTTTTTTAAGCTTTTTCATATATCATATTTGCTCTTGTCACAAAGGTCAAAGCAAGTCACATGGCCAAGACTGTAGTTAATGTGGGAGGGCCACACAAGGACATGGATCAGAGAGGGGTAATTCACTGGTGTCCTTACGGTAACAATACCTGACAATGAGCTGAAGGAAGAGAAGGAAGAAGGATAGAGTGAAGGGAGGTAGCAAGTTTGAAGAGGTAGGTAAGTAGGGTTCAGATCATGGTCTTTCTTTATAGACCAGAGAATGTCTGGTTGTTTTCTAAGTGGACGGGGAGACACCATAAAGTTTTAAGCAGGAAAATAATTAGATCTGGTTTACATAGTTCAGAGTGCCTCCTTATCATTGATCATTACCAATGTGTCTTGTAATTGGACAAGAATGTGAGCAGGAAGGCCAGTTAAGAGATTGCTCTGTCAGTGGTCCCAGGAGAAGACAGTTGTGGCATGCCTATGGCATGTGGCAGAGAGATGAGAAGCAGCAGCTGAACAGAAGAACCTTAGAGGTATCACTGAGGCCTGGGTTAGATCTGGGTACGAAGGGCATTGAGAGCCTTTGTCTCTGTCCAGTAACAGATCCTGGTTTCAGCAGCTCAGATGGGGCCCACGGCCCAGGCAGGGCTCTGTAAATTTGCTAAAGAAATAAATACGTTAACAAATTAATTACCATCTTGATTTTTGGTTTCTGTTGTAACTACCTGGACAGAAACTGGCTGCTAACTGATTCACGTGTTTCATCCTACTCTGGGGTGAGTTTTACTGCAATTTTTACTGTAATAATTATCTATTGCTATATAGCAAACTATCTCAAAGTGTAGTGGTTTAAGACAATACGCACTATCTCGATTAGGAATCAGGAACAAGTTGGCTGGATGGCTTAGGCACAAGGTCTCTCGTGAGGCTGCAGACAAGATGTTAGCCAGGACTGCAATCATCTGAAGGCTCAGTTGGGGTTGGAAAATCTGCTTCTAAGGTGGCTTCCTCACACAGCCAGCAATGTGGTGCTGGATGCTGGTGGAAGGCCTCAGCTCCTCCACACTGGGCTCTCCCATGTGGGCCCCTTCCCAGGCTGCTTGAGCATTCTCACAACATGAAGGGTGGCAGCAAAATGTGTATCCTCTTCATGACACAGACTTGGAAGTCTCACATTATGACTTCACCACATTCTAGGTATTAGAAGCAAGTTACTGTCCAGCCCACATCCAGAGGGAGAAGAAGTAGATATTTTACCTTCTGAAGGGAGGTGTGTCAGAGTATTTGTAGGCAATACTAAAGCCACCAGAATTATTAATGACATTCACCATCTTTTGAGTACCCAACAGGAGTCAAGAATTGCACTAGCTATTTTATGGACACTATCTCATCTGACCCTCACACCAGCATCTTACAGATGAGGAGACAAAATCTCAGAGGATCTGCAGATGTGTCTGAGATTTTAAGGCTAGAAAGTGATAGAACCAGGACTCTAAATTCTATCAGTCTGACTCTGAAACCTTCCCTATTTTTGCCTTGCTGCATCTGGGCCTTTTCCCAAACAGCACACAGAACCTTAAGCAAAAGCTTGGCAGTTCGGAAACCTAATTTCATATAAGGCGTCATCTGTCTGTTTTAAACTATGTGCTACTTGGAAGCACTGACCACTTTGTTGCACACATAAAATTATACTAATGTGAACCTCATTATTTAGAATTGGTGATAATGATTAAGCTTATCACAAAGTTTAAATGTATTAAACAAACTGATGGTATAAATAAGATTTCATTTAAAATATGATAGCTTTTGGCTTGGTGCCGTGTCTCACACCTATAATTTCAGCACTTTGGAAGGCTGAGCTGGGTAGATTGCTTGTGCCCAGCAGTTGAAGACCAGCCTAGGCAACATGGTGAAACCCCATCTCTCAGTTAGAGACCAGCCTGGGCAACATGGTGAAACCCCACCTCTACAAGAAACACAGAAATTAGCTTGGCATGGCAGTGTGTGCCCATAGTCCAAGTTACTCAGGAGGCTGAGATAGAAGGATAGCCTAAGCCTGCGAGGTCAAGGCCGTAGTGAGCTGTGATCCAGCCTGCAATACAGCCTGGGTGATAGAGTGAGACTCTGTCTCAAAAAAATAAATAAATCATAAATCATAACCTGTGATAGCTTTCACAGACATTGGTTATGCAAAATTCAAAACCATAATGTTTTCACTAAGGCCTTACAAGATTTATACGGTCTAAAGTTTCTTGGATGAGAGTTCATGTCTCTTTTTGTGCCGGAAACAATTAATGCTAAAAATTTCTAAGACACACGGTTTTACTGGTTCACTGTTTCAAGCTGACTTTCTTCCACATCCCCTCAAATACTTGGTGTTTTAGCCTTGAACCCAAACTATTAACAATAGGATGCTAAGAAGGAAACATCTTTTGCGGAGTGTCTCTGACACTTTTAGATATGCTAAGAAATGTATGTTACAGCTGCACATGGAAGCCTTCCTGCTGAGTCTGGAAATATGTTTACCTCAAATCATGGTTGCCATGAAAAATAAGCTTATTTTGTAGAACCCTGAACATCTGTCTTGAACAATGCTGGCTAACATCAGGAAAAATGGAGTGGAATTCAGCCTCTGCAGCTCTGAGAGAGTGAGTCAGAATGGCATTTTCCAGTCTCCAGCCTACGGTGGGTGCCTGCCTTCCAAATTGGCTCACACCTATGTCTGAAGCTGTCCCAGGAAAGGCTGAGGATGTGCCCTTGGGCTTTCAGGGACTCCTTTTAGAATGTTTCACTGGGAGTTTCTTCTCTTTCCCAAATGCATTTTCATTTTTTTTCCTGCTGAGCCACTATTGCCACTGTCCTCAAAGAATTTCTACCTAATGCATGCACAGCCCATGGTCTCTCTCACATCTTCTGTCCCTCACTCCTGGTCTACCACACCTTCCCCCTCATGTACACAATGTACACAGTGCCTGTTTTAGATGCCTTATCTACTCATTTTGAAGACAAAGTTTATTCTGGAGGAGGCTGAATAATAATAGCTAACATCTATCAAGAGAGATTACCGCGTGCGCTCTTCCTATGCTCACACTCGCCACCCTCATCCCAGCCCTGAAAGGAAGGTGACAATACTGCCCACATTTTATAAATGATGGGACCAAGTGACATACCTGCAGTGACAGAGCTAACAACAGGGCAAAGGCGAGGTTCAAACCCCCATCCTTAATGACTCTGCCCCGGCTGCCTCTCAAGCAGACGCTGGCTGATAGAAAGGTAATTCAGTCTCAGTGCTCAAAAAGGTGTAACCTTCATCTCCAACATGCAGATTGCTTTTGCTCCCTCAGCGCCACATTTCAGGATGTTTACAATTCTATTACCACATGGCTCATTATTCCACAGATTTGAATCAATCAAATCAAGCCCTCCCAAAAACACAACTAGATACTAGCTGGTAAGAGACCAACAGACATGGTATATGTTTCTGTCATTATCTTCCTCAATACTATAACAGCAAATACTAATATTTTACATCAGAGCTAAAGAAATAATTTGACTTGAGTCACAATCTCGTGCTATGCGATAGAGACAAATTGTACCTTCGTGACTTTGGAGGCAGATGACCTGGGTTTGAATCCCAGTTCTACCACTTACAACGTGCTTGTCCTCTGTGCCTTAGCTTTCATATCTGTAAAATGGGCATCGTAGTGTTATCTACTCTGTACGCTTGAGGGTTAAAAGAGTTAATACAAATTAAGCTATCAGAACAATGCCTGACAGATGAAAGGAGCTCTTAAAAATGTTAGCTACTATTTAACTTCAGCAGGTACTATTCTCATCCTCACTGCATACAGCTATAAGTGTATAAGCACCCCCGGGTTTAGATATGATATTCTAAAGTTTTCAGTACTCCGCAGTGTAATCTTTAATTCCCCAATGTCTTTTTTTTTTTAATGCTGCTGAGTGGCAGACTGTCCTCAGAGACAGCCTCAGGGTAAGAGGCAGAGAGAGGCAGCACAGCCAAGGGAATGTTGACCTTTGGCTCTTGCCTGTGGCTGAAGAGTGACTCTCCCTAGAGTCTGCAGGGAGACAGTCCTTGGGAGAGGTGAAGGTTATGCTCTGCTAGGGCTAGAAGTACATACACATCTGCTGATAAACCCCAAATGAGGTGACACCTGCCTTCCCAGGTGTCACTCAGGCGACTGGTGAGACGGACAGATTGTCCCTTCTAGCAGTTCAAGCCTTGAGGCTCTTATTTTCACCTGTGCACAAATAGAAGTCATTCTTGAGGCGAAGGAGGAAAAATAGGAATATCATCATCACTAAGTATGGCCCCATATGAATCCTGGACCCCTAAGCGGTGCACGTTCAAGAGGAACAGAATGTGAGACAGTGTAGATGCTTCCCTACAAGCCTGTAGGATGCTAGGGGCAATGTGACCAAATTCCAGTCCACAGAAATGACATCAAAGAGAAGCTGGCTGGAAGTGGAAACAGAGATATATTTTGTAGAGCAGCAGTCACCAAACTTTTTGGCACTAGGGACCGGTTTCGCAGAAGACAATTTTTCCAGGGACCAAGGGTGGAGGGATGGTTTCAGGATGATTCAAGCACATTATGTTTGTCATTAGATTCTCTAAGGTAACCTAGATCCCTCACATCCACAGTTCACAGTACGGCTTGTGCTCCTATGAGAATCTAATGTCCCCTCCAGATCTGGCAGGAGGCAGAGCTCAGGGAGTAATGCTGGCTCACTGGCTGCTCACCTCCTGCTGTGCGGCCTGGTTCCTAACAGGCCACTGACGCATACCAGTCCACGGCCTGGGGGTTTGGGACCCCTGTTGTAGAGGACAGATCTTGAAATTTAACCTTAATGTAGAGGAAGGAGTGGGAAGAACAGGACCAATTGTCTTCACACAGTGAGAACGATTGCTGGGACAGACAGTGGGGCCCAAGTAGCTGAGGCACTTGGGAGCTGAGGAGCCACTCAGAGACGTGGTGTCAGCATGGAAGAAGTAAAGGCCAGAGAGTGAGAGCAAACAAGCAGACCACTATTCTGTAGGAAGACAATTTCCACTTGGATGATCTTGACACAAAAGGTCTTCAAAATGCTACACTGAGACTCTCCAAAGAGTCCTCTTTGGGGTTCAGTCAGAATGGCTTCATGATACAAGTGTTCTCCTGGCACGCTGACACACTCCATCTCAAAGAATAGGAATTTAAATTTTTATATAAACACTTTCTAACTCCACATTCGGTCTGGCTAACTGTTGATGAAGAAAATAATTTCTTTATTAATCAAGTAACTTAAAGGAAGAGTAAATAAATGTGTCTTGACATGGGCATTAGTGAAATGCAGAATTCAAGGGAAAAACAAGGTAGCATCTTCCTAAATTTTTTTCCATTTCTAAAGAGGGTTCCTTTGATGTTGTACTTTTAAACATATTTAGGGATGCGTTTTAGATGCTTATCTTAGAACCTGGGTCAGAAGGTTCTATCTCAAAATCAGCTGGGAGGAACATGGTATTGTTCTCTGACAGCTTGCTGCTTGTTATGGTATGCTCATCACATTAAACCTTTTTTATTTGCAGAATATAGACTAGCCAGCCAAGCAAGTAAAATACAGTAATAATTATATTGAGTTTGCATGAGAGATACAAAGAATCCACCCCACTGGGTCAGATAAAAATCCACAAAGTTAAACAATGTGTGTCATTTGGAGAGCAGGGCCTTAGAACTCATAAAGCCATATAAAGGAAGAGGGAAATCTCACATATTTTAATAGAGAGAATAATAAGTTTTAATTTTCTACATGTCCATGCTGATTAACTTATCGAGTAATAAATTTTTTCTTTAAGAGCCACATTTTGCAAAAAAAAAATAGTACTTTATCTATAAGCAACATATTCAGGAATAACATGTTGCTTATAGATTCAAAAAATTATTCAGAAAAACTTTTCAAAAAATTATTATCCAAAACATAATTATTTTTAAAAATCTATATTAAAAATATTCAAAAAATTCAGGAATAGTTTTTGTTTATTCAACAAATATATTTATTTTTCATGCAAAATAAATCACATATAAGAAGTCCTTAGCTCATATATCAGGTTCCCTATACAAAATTGACTCGTAAGTCACTTGTTTAGAAGTTAATTTGTTGGTTAATAAGAAATCAATACTCATACGACCAATACTCAACTGCATGTTATGAGTATATTAAAGAGACATAAACATAGTCTGTAGTCTAATTGGTGAGACAAAACTGATATGCGTGCATTGCTAGTAAACAACTGAAGGCAACAGTGTAGATTTTGTGGTGAGATAAAGAAAACACGTTGAGGTCTAGAGGAGAAGTAAGACCTGTAAGGTTTGTTTCCCAGGAAGCTTCAGGTCAGAGAAGTGGACCTTGGACACAGACTGAGACAGGATGAGGCTGGAGTGAATGTCAAATCCACACTGCTTTTTGGTTCTACTGGAAAGTTCTCTCCTTCAAATTTTGAAAAGAATAACATGAGTGAAGGGATTGCATATTCTATGTTCATGAGAGTCAGGATACTGGTCTGATTAGAATGAGGAGTAACTGCGTTATTCATTTATCTATTCAACTGTATTTGAATTAGTCCGTTCTCACACTGCTATAAAGAAATGCCCAAGATTGAGCAATTTATAAAGGAAAGAGGCATAACTGACTCACAGTTCTGCATGGGTGGGGAGGCCTCAGGAAATTTACAATCATGGCAGAAGGCAAAGGGGAAGCAAGACACCTTCTTCACAAGGCAGCAGAAGGGGGAATGAACACAGGAGGAACTACCAAACACTTATAAAACCATCAGATCTCATGAGAACTCACTCCTATCACAAGAACAGCATGGGGAAACCGCCCCATGATTCAATTACCTCCACCTGGTCTCTCCCTTGACATGTGGAGATTATGAGGATTATGGGGATTACAATTCAAGATGAGATTTCGGGTGGGGACACACACAAACCTTATCAATATTTAAAAGCCAACTTGGTTTTGAAAGAAAGGAAGAGTAGTTTGGAGGTAATGGGGAAACGAACAGGTCACTGAAATTTTTTGAACAGTGGCACAGTGTTCCAGAAGTGGTGTAATACAAAAAGTTATTCCTACAGCAGCGTGAGGATGTATTCAACATAAGATGAAAACCTGCTCATGAATGTTAAGAAAACAAGGAGAAACAGATGAGGAAAAACAAGAAAATAAAGTAACTTTCATTTCATTTCATATATTGCATGTATAGTTTGATTTTTCCCTTTTAAAGCATTTCAAAACAAAACAAAAAAAAAGAGGCCGGGTGCAGTGGCTCACACCTATAATCCCAGCACTTTGGGAAGCCGAGGTGGGTGGATCACCCGAGGTCAGGAGTTCGAGACCAGGCTGGCCAACATGGTGAAACCCCGCCTCTACTAAAAATACAAAAATTAGCTGGGCTTGGTGGCAGGCACCTGTAATCCCAGCTACTCGGGAGGGTGACGCAGGAGAATTGCTTGAACCTGGGGGGCAGAGGTTGCAATGGAGTGCACCATTGCACTCCAGCCTGGGCGACAGAGCAAGACTCTGTCTCAAAAAAAAAAAAAAAAAAAAAAAAGAATGACATGATGTAACAAATAAGCATTAGCTAATAACAAATGTTAAAAATAAATAATCAGAAAACAATGTTTACCAGAAAATAATAAAAGAAAGTACAATGTCACAATATAAATAACATCATGCAAACTAAAAAGCAATGCAGAAAGCTAAAATCTTACCAAGATCAATATTTCACAATGATAAAATTCACCACAATGTGATACTTGAATTTTTATATTCATACATTTTCCTCTTCATAGAGGTTTTTTTATATAATAAAAATATTTTATGTCCCTATGAAAAAGGTAGAATATGATTCATATGCAAGAGTCTTTTACGTGTGCACAGATTATAATTTCAAAGAAAAACACCTAATGGACAATACAAAAGTTGGAAAGCAATAGAAATTCACCAGCATCAATATTCAAATGATATGCCCACTAAAAGAGCAAATGTGTGCATAAAGCTCCTTGAGTTTAAAGAATTTTGTATAATTACCTTCTTGGTATCACTTTGGGCACATTATTTGGAAAATCAAACCACACACACAGATACACACACACACACACACACACACACACACACACACGCCTAACCAAACTCAAGTTGCAAAGTAAAATGGACAGCTAATTCAATTATCCAGTTAACATGAGCTTCTCTTCCAAAATCTCTCTCCTCTCCCTATGTCATCATCGACTCTATTTTTAGGGTATTTTAGGGGAAAAGAAAGACTTTGGCTAACTTCTCAAAAGTAATAGGCTCATTTCGCTCCTTCACACTGACATAGCCCTGGCTTGCTTGGACAAGGCAGGTGACAGGCTCAGTGTCACCTCTCCCTTCCCTAATGATAATGATCCTCAATACTCACTTAGCAGCTTCCTCCTGAAACCTGCAGTGTTCTGCCTCGGGCTGTCTCTCTTAAGAGAATTTGGACACAGCTTCAAGATTTGATTATTCTGACTCCCACCGTTCATTAAGATGGCACCAAACGCACAGAGTCCAGGGACACCCGGAGTGTCCTAATTCTGCACACAGTTTAGTCTCCATTTCTGGCTATTTGCATCTATCTGGAAAGCGAACCACATAATCCAACCTTGCGCAGCCCACGCAGCTTCTGTTAGTTTGATAGAATAGAGGTGGTCCTGTTACTGCTCAAGCCTGGTCATTATTTCCACTCCCCATGCCCTGTAGTCCCTTCTCATGCCATCTCAGACTAATGGTTAAAAAAATGACAAAGAGCAAAGACAGTCGCTGCGTGCACAGGGCTAAGTGGTGTCATAAGCAACGTCCCCCTCACCTGTCTGTTGGCGACATCTGTGTCTCCTCACTGTGAAGGGCTGGCAGTGACAATGAACTGGGAGGCCTAAGAGCTTCACCTGCTCCCAAGGTCTGTCTTCATAGTCCTCTCCTACTAGGAGCTTTTGACATTTTTTCCAGAGAGCACTTTTTGAAAAGATAGGCAAGGGGCCTGATCTACTCGGTGAGTTCAAAGCTTCCACTGAAGTAAATACACTGACAATTCTGCCAAGCCCTCAGTTCTCCCGTTTATTGTTTGCACTATTGTTTTTACTCCAATCTTTCAAAACAACTGGCACTCACAACGGATAAGGTGACCTCAGCTCCCAGAACCCAGGTGTTTGCCCCTGTCTAGTTGCCTCCTTCCCACCTGAGCTGGCCATGTGGGAAATTAGTGCTCTGGTGAGGCGTGACTCACTTAGGCTCACTGCGATCAGAATCGCAGTCCCCAGTTTCTCTGGACAAATGAAAGAATTCAGCATTTTCATAGCTCCCGCGTTTGGAGAGGACAACTACAGACCTTGCCAAAAAGATCCAGCCTCCGACCAGTCATTTTCTATTAGCTGATACATTTAAGTGATCATTCAATATCTTGGAAAGGAAAAGGTAAGCGTGCTGGTCTGAAAAACAAAGCACTGTCTATAAGGAAACAAGACACCCTGATTTTTTTTTTCTACATTTCCACACTTAAAGAGAATCCCAGACCAAGAGGCAGGAAGAGCTCTCAGATGACCTCCTCTCCATTTCCTGTCAAAAGAGAAAAAGACCACTGCCCCTCCATCCACCGTGGAAAGCCAGGGTGCACCACTTCAGACATCTTAGGGCTCAGCAAACTTTCTTCATTACAGTGAATCTTAGTGCTTCTGACTGGCTCATTGCTTAATGAGAAAAGAGAGAAATGCTTGGAATTCCTCCATAGATTCAGAGTCAAAAAACAAGGAAAAGAAAAATGTCTCCCTACAGTGGATAAGCTTTAAAAATATCAAAGCATTGCTTTATGGAGCAGAGATCTACCAGAACAATAGGTGGAGAGTGGAACTTAAGAATTTATCCAAACGGTGCTGGGTGGGAAACAGAGTTGGAACACGGGCTTTGGAGCTGATAGACAGCACAGTCCAAGGACCCCTTCCATGAAGAGAAAGGAACTGAGCGACTGTCCACTACCATCATCTCCCACCTACCTCTGACTATGTCTTTGCTCATTAAAAAAAAAAAAAAAAGACTGATGGATTTATTTATTTGGCAGCATTTCAATGGTTACAACAAGGAAAAGCCAGCACTTACCTGGTATATTTGATCCCTACAACAATGTGACCTAGGAATATTGCAAATCCCATTTAACAATTAAGAAAACAATTATAGTTTCTCAAGATGGCTGAATAGGAACAGCTCCGGTCTACAGCTTCCAGCATGAGTGATGCAGAAGATGGGTGATTTCTGCATTTCCAACTGAGCTTTGAAGAGAGTAGTGGTTCTCCCAGCACGCAGCTTGAGATCTGAGAACGGGCAGACTGCCTCCTCAAGTGAGTCCCTGACCCCCAAGTAGCCTAACTGGGAGGCACCCCCCAGTAGGGGCGGACTGACACCTCACACGGCCGGGTACTCCTCTGAGACAAAACTTCCAGAGGAAGAATCAGGCAGCAGCATTTGCGGTTCACCAATATACACTGTTCTGCAGCCACCGCTGCTGAAACCCAGGCAAACAGGGTCTGGAGTGGACCTCTAGCAAACTCCAATAGACCTGCAGCTGAGGGTCCTGTCTGTTAGAAGGAAAACTAACAAACAGAAGGGACATCCACACCAAAAATCCATCTGTACGTCACCATCATCAAAGACCAAACGTACATAAAACCACAAAGATGGGAAAAAAACAGAGCAGAAAAACTGGAAACTTTAAAAATCAGAGCGCCTCTCCTCCTCCAAAGGAACACAGCTCCTCACCAGCAACGGAACAAAGCTGGATGGAGAATGACTTTGACCAGTTGAGAGAAGAAGGCTTCAGACGATCAAACTACTCTGAGCTACAGGAGGAAATTCGAGTCAATGGCAAAGAAGTTAAAAGCTTTGAAAAAAAATTAGACGAATGGATAACTAGAATAACCAATGCAGAGAAGTCCTTAAAGGACCTGATGGAGCTGAAAACCAAGGCACAAGAGCTACGTGACGAATGCAGAAGCCTCAGTAACCAATGCGACCAACTGGAAGAAAGGGTATCAGCGATGGAAGATGAAATGAATGAAATGAAGCATGAAGAGAAGTTTAGAGAAAAAAGAATAAAAAGAAATGAACGAACCCTCCAAGAAATGTGGGACTAAGTGAAAAGACCAAATCTACGTCTGATTGGTGTACCTGAAAGTGATGGGGAGAATGGAACCAAGTTGGAAAACACTCTGCAGGATATTATCCAGGAGAACTTCCCCAATCTAGCAAGCCAGGCCAACATTCAGATTCAGGAAATACAGAGAATGCCACAAAGATACTCCTCGAGAAGAGCAACTCCAAGACACATAATTGTCAGATTCACCAAAGTTGAAATGAAGGAAAAAATGTTAAGGGCAGCCAGAGAGAAAGGTCGGGTTACCCTCAAAGGGAAGCCCATCAGACTAACAGCTGATCTCTCCACAGAAACTCTACAAGCCAGAAGAGAGTGGGGGCCAATATTCAACATTCTTAAAGAAAAGAATTTTCAACCCAGAATTTCATATCCAGCCAAACTAAGCTTCATAAATGAAGGAGAAATAAAATCCTTTACAGACAAGCAAATGCTGAGAGATTTTGTCACCACCAGGCCTGTCCTAAAAGAGCTCCTGAAGGAAGCGCTAAACATGGAAAGGAACAACCGGTACCAGCCACTGCAAAATCATGCCAAAATGTAAAGACCATCGAGACTAGGAAGAAACTGCATCAACTAACGAGCAAAATAACCAGCTAACATCATAATGACAGGATCAAATTCACAAATAACAATATTAACTTTAAATGTAAATGGACTAAATGCTCCAATTAAAAGACACAGACTGGCAAATTGGATAAAGAGTCAAGACCCATCGGTGTGCTATATTCAGGAAACCCATCTCACGTTCACAGACACACATAGGCTCAAAATAAAAGGATGGAGGAAGATCTAACAAACAAATGGAAAACAAAAAAAAGCAGGGGTTGCAATCCTAGTCTCTGAAAAAACAGACTTTAAAACAACAAAGATCAAAAGAGACAAAGAAGGCCATTACATAATGGTAAAGGGATCAATTCAACAAGAAGAGCTAACTATCCTAAATATATATGCACCCAATACAGGAGCACCCAGATTCATAAAGCAAGTCCTTAGTGACCTACAAAGAGACTTAGACTCCCACACATTAATAATGGGAGACTTTAACACCCCACTGTCCACATTAGACAGATCAACGAGACAGAAAGTCAACAAGGATACCGAGGAATTGAACTCAGCTCTGCACCAAGCGGACCTAATAGACATCTACAGAACTCTCCACCCCAAATCAACAGAATATACATTTTTTTCAGCACCACACCACACCTATTCCAAAATTGACCACATACTTGGAAGTAAAGCTCTCCTCAGCAAATGTAAAAGAACAGAAATTATAACAAAGTATCTCTCAGACCACAGTGCAATCAAACTAGAACACAGGATTAAGAATCTCACTCAAAACCGCTCAATAACATGGAAACTGAACAACCTGCTCCTGAATGACTACTGGGTACATAATGAAATGAAGGCAGAAATAAAGATGTTCTTTGAAACCAACGAGAACAAAGACACAACATACCAGAATCTCTGGGACGCATTCAAAGCAGTGTGTACAGGGAAATTTATAGCACTAAATGCCCACAAGAGAAAGCAGGAAAGATCCAAAATTGACACCCTAACATCACAACTAAAACAACTAGAAAAGCAAGAGCAAACACATTCAAAAGCTAGCAGAAGGCAAGAAATAACTAAGATCAGAGCAGAACTGAAGGAAATAAGAGACACAGAAAACCCTTCAAAAAATTAATGAATCCAGGAGCTGGTTTTTTGAAAAGATCAACAAAATTAATAGACCACTAGCAAGACTAATAAAGAAGAAAAGAGAGAAGAATGAAACAGAAGCAATAAAAAATGATAAAGGGGATATCACTACCAATCCCACAGAAATATAAACTACCATCAGAGAATACTATAAACATGTCTACACAAATAAACTAGAAAATCAAGAAGAAATGGATAAATTCCTCGACACATACATCCTCCCAAGACTAAACCAGGAAGAAGTTGAATCTCTGAATAGACCAATAACAGGCTCTGAAATTGAGGCAATAATCAATAGCGTACCAACCAAAAAAAGTCCAGAACCAGATGGATTCACAGCCGAATTCTACCAGAGGTAAAAGAGGAGCTGGTACCATTCCTTCTGAAACTATTCCGATCAATAGAAAAAGAGGGAATCCTCCCTAACTCATTTTATGAGGTCAGCATCATCCTGATACCAAAGCCTGGCAGAGACACAACCAAAAAAGAGAATTTTAGACCAATATCCTTGATGAACATCGACGCAAAAATCCTCAATAAAATACTGGCAAACTGAATCCAGCAGCACATCAAAAAGCTTATCCACCACGATCAAGTGGGCTTCATCCCTGGGATGCAAGGCTGGTTCAACATACACAAATCAATAAATGTAATCCAGCATATAAACAGAACCAAAGACAAAAACCACACGATTATCTCAATAGATGCAGAAAAGGCCTTTGACAAAATTCGACAACCCTTCATGCTAAAAACTCTCAATAAATTAGGTGTTGATGGGACATATCTCAAAATAATAAGAGCTATCTATGTCAAACCCACAGCCAATATCATACTGAATGGGCAAAAACTGGAAGCATTCTCTTTGAAAACTGGCACAAGACAGGGATGGCCTCTCTCACCGCTCCTGTTCAACATAGTGTTGGAAGTTCTGGCCAGGGCAATCAGGCAGGAGAAGGAAATAAAGGGTATTCAATTGGGAAAAGAGGAAGTCAAATTGTCCCTGTTTGCAGATGACATGATTGTATATCTAGAAAACCCCATCATCTCAGCCCAAAATCTCCTTAAGCTGATAAGCAACTTCAGCAAAGTCTCAGGATACAAAGTCAATGTACAAAAATCACAAGCATTCTTATACACCAATAACAGACAAACAGAGAGCCAAATCATGAGTGAACTCCCATTCACAATTGCTTCAAAGAGAATAAAATACCTAGGAATCCAACTTACAAGGGACGTGAAGGACCTCTTCAAGGAGAACTACAAACCACTGCTCAAGGAAATAAAAGAGGATACAAACAAATGGAAGAACATTCCATGCTCATGGGTTGGAAGAATCAATATCGTGAAAATGGCCATACTGCCCAAGGTAATTTATAGATTCAATGCCATCCCCATCAAGCTACCAATGACCTTCTTCACAGAATTGGAAAAACTACTTTAAAGTTCATATGGAACCAAAAAAGAGCGCGCATCACCAAGTCAATCCTAAGCCAAAAGAACAAAGCTGGAGGCATCACACTACCTGACTTCAAACTATACTACAAGGCTACATTAACCAAAACAGCATGGTACTGGTATCAAAACAGAGATATAGATCAATGGAACAGAACAGAGCCCTCAGAAATAATGCTGCATATCTACAACTATCTGATCTTTGACAAACCTGAGAAAAACAAGCAATGGGGAAAGGATTCCCTATTTAATAAATGGTGCTGGGAAAACTGGCTAGCTATATGTAGAAAGCTGAAACTGGATCCCTTCCTTACACCTTATACAGAAATTAATTCAAGATGGATTAAAGACTTACATGTTAGACCTAAAACCATAAAAACCCTAGAAGAAAACCTAGGCAATACCATTCAGGACATAGGCATGGGGAAGGACTTCATGTCTAAAACACCGAAAGCAATGGCAACAAAAGCCAAAATTGACAAATGAGATCTAATTAAACTAAAGAGCTTCTGCACAGCAAAAGAAACTACAATCAGAGTGAACAGGCAACCTACAGAATGGGAGAAAATTTTTGCAACCTACTTATCTGACAAAGGGCTAATATCCAGAATCTACAATGAACTCAAACAAATTTACAAGAAAAAAACAAACAACCCCATCAAAAAGTGGGCGAAGGATATGAACAGACACTTCTCAAAAGAAGACATTTATGCAGCCAAAAGACACATGAAAAAATGCTCATCATCACTGGCCATCAGAGAAATGCAAATCAAAACCACAGTGAGACACCATCTCATACCAGTTAGAATGGCAATCATTCAAAAGTCAGGAAACAACAGGTGCTGGAGAGAATGTGGAGAAATAGGAACACTTTTACACTGTTGGTGGGATTGTAAACTAGTTCAACCATTGTGAAAATCAGTGTGGTGATTCCTCAGGAATCTTGAACTAGAAATACCATTTGACCCAGCCATCCCATTACTGGGTATATACCCAAAGGATTATAAATCATGCTGCTATAAAGACACATGCACACATATATGTTTATTGCGGCACTATTCACAATAGCAAAGACTTGGAACCAACCCAAATATCCAACAATGATAGACTGGATTAAGAAAATGTGGCACATATACACCATGGAATACTATGCAGCCATAAAAATGATGAGTTCATGTCCTTTGTGGGGACATGAATGAAGCTGGAAACCATCATTCTCAGCAAACTATCGCAAGGACAAAAAACCAAACACCACATGTTCTCACTCATAGGTGGGAATTGAACAATGAGAACACATGGACATAGGAAGGGGAACATCACACACCGGGGACTCTTGTGGGGTGGGGGAGTGGGGAGGGATAGCATTAGGAGATATACCTAATGCTAAATGACAAGTTAATGGGTGCAGCACACCAACATGGCACATGTATACATATGTAACTAACCTGCACGTTGTGCACATGTACCCTAAAACTTAAAGTATAATAATAATAAAATTAAAAAAAAAGAAAGAAAACAGTTGTAAAAATACAATTTTTAAATTTATTTTAATTGGGCTTATTCAAGTTCAATTTCAGATGAAAGGAATGGACGTGGGATGGGAAAATGGCAAGTCTGCCCTTCTCTTGTGAGAGACTGTCCCCATCCCTACCGACTGCTGCCCACTGCCCACTGCTCCTGCAGCGGATTCTCCACCGACCTTTTCAGCAAAGATCATCTTGGCTTCCTAACTTTGCCAGCATCTTCTTCCTCGGTGTCCCAGCTAATGCCCCTGCCTGCTCACTGATCCTGAGTCCTAAGCATTTTATTTTTTAAATTTCTGAATAGCATCTAATGAGCAGGACCCTCTATCTCGCTAGTCACTGTCCAGCTGGCTTGTATTTGTCCTTGTCCTCCAGATGTGGCTTCACTGCGCACTCCCAGGCAAACAACAACAGCAACAGAAACCAATCTGGGTGGGGTGAGAGTGTGCTTCAATATCGTCACTGGGAAGTCTCCTCACAGCTTTCCTTACACCCTCCCTCAGCCACTCCTCCCCACCCAGGTAAGGCAGAGAGAGCTGAGAGTGGACACGCCATAAACAAGAGCCAGAACCCACTGTCTCCAGGAAGTGGCTCATGTCCTAATGCCTTATGAACCATGGCCTTTGTTTAGGTTGCTTGCTCTCCTTCACTGATAATGAAAATCAAGTTAAATCAACCAGCTATGGTACTTTGAATTTAAAAACTTTAACAGTGTAGAATTTAAAAATAGTAAAGGAAATCAAGAACAAGTTGCAATCACAGAATTCTAATATCTTACTGTTATTCACATGGGTAGAGTTTGTGAAAAAGAATTAAGTAGCCATAGCTC
Organism: Homo sapiens; assembly: GCF_000001405.40. Classification (NCBI taxonomy): domain Eukaryota; kingdom Metazoa; phylum Chordata; class Mammalia; order Primates; family Hominidae; genus Homo; species Homo sapiens. Next base: position 36,007,258 of record NC_000010.11, on the reverse strand, counting down.
CATCCTAGTTAACTAGTGGGTGTGCAGCATTCATTATAAAATATAATATTTGAGGAGTGCAGCAGAGAATTGCTAAGACTAGCAGAGATCAACAGAAAGATGTTATTTTATAGGGGTATATTTAATGATGAAAGGGAGAGAGAGAATGAGGGTGGGGAAAGGGAGGAGGGAGGGAGAGAGGGAGAGTTCACACATCTCCTGAGAGCTCATGTGGGGAGACAGAGAGCTGGTCTCCCTATCCCCACTTCACTCCTCTTTTCAATGCATCCTCCACACTGCTGCCAGGATGACCTCTAAAATAAATCTGATGATGCCATGGTCCCGCACGCACTTAAAATCCTTCTGCAGGCGGCAGTGGTAGCTTTCAATTCTTTTGAATTGGGACTCACAGAAAGAAATAAATTGTATACAAAAATTAGCTGGGTGTGGTGGTGAGCACTTGTAATCCCAGCTACTTGGGAGGCTGAGGCAGGAGAATCTCTTGAACCTGGGAGGCGGAGGTTGCAGTGAGCCAAGATCACGCCATTGCACTCCAGCCTGGGCGAAAAGGGCAAAACTCCATCTCAAAGAAAAAAAAAAAAAAGAAATACATTTTACATCATGATCCAGTACACATACACATGTGCACAGGCATATTCACACACACAGCCAAAAGATCAGTTTCCTGGAGGACAGATTGGTGGTTGCCAGGAGTTGGGGAATGGTAGGGGGCAGGTGAGCTACAGGGGTGTACACAAGGGAGACTTGTGGTGATAGTCTGGCTCTGTATCTTGGTGGTGGTGGGATTACAGGAGACTACACATGCAACGGAATCACATGGCTCTATATATGCCCATTCAGGCCAATGAGCCTGTGCATAACTGGTGAAATCTTCATAAGCGCCATGGGTTACACCAATGTCAACTCTCTGGTTCTGATGTTGTACTGTATTTGTGAAGGTTACTAACATTGGAGGAGGCTGGGGTGGGGGTGCATGGGACCTCCCTATACATTTCTTTGCAACTTCCTTTTCATCTGTAATTGTCTCGAAATAAAACATTTTTAAAGTTTTTTAATAAAAGAAAAATACATTTCATGAACAAAAATAAATTTCACCCTTAGTATAGGTGATGTATTTTTTAATTCTCTTCCTTTGGATACTTTGTTGTTGTTTTAAATGTAGGCTGTGACCCCCTGCCCTAATGATTTCATGGCCTGTTACAGGATTGTGAGACCCACAGTTGGAACACCACTGACCTAGGGAAGAAAACCTTAATTCTTTAGCGTGATCAAGCCTCAGCCATTCTATTTTCATCTCCCATTGCTCTCTCTCTCCATCAGTCTTATTCTCTAATCCCAGGAAATGCTTCACCAGCCCCCAGCCATTTTTCTCTCTGTCTTGGTCCCTTGGACTATTCTTTTGGTTTTTTTTTTCCTAGTCAGTCAATCTTTTTTTTTTCATCATTTATTTTTTTTTTATTTTTCCATAAGTTATTGGGGTACAGGTGGTATTTGGTTGCATGAGTAAGTTCTTTAGTGATGATTTGTGAGATCCTGGTGAACCCATCACCCAAGCAGTATACACTGCACCATATTTGTAGTCTTTTATCCCTCACCTCTCCTCCCACCCTTCCCCCGAAGTCCGTAAAGTCCACCGTATCATTCTTATGCCTTTGCGTCCTCATAGCTTAGCTCCCACTTATCAATGAGAACATACAGTGTTTGGTTTTTCATTCCTGAGTTACTTCCCTTTAAATAGTAGTCTCCAATCTCATCCAGGTCATTGCCAATGCTGTTAATTCATTCATTTTTATGGCTGAGTAGTATTCCATCGTGTGTGTGTGTGTGTGTGCATATATATAACAGAGTTTCTTTATCCACTCATTGATTCATGGGCATTTGGGTTAGTTCCACGATTTTGCAATTGTGAATTGTGCTGCAATAAACATGTGTGTACAAGTATCTTTTTCGAATAATGACTTCTTTTCCTCTGGGTAGATACCCGGTCAGTCAATCTTCAATGTTAGCTCAGTGCCAGTTTTCTGACAACTTACCCACCCAGATACACCCTTTCCTCTGAGTTTCCTTGGCATCTATTGAATTTCACATCACAGTACGTGCCTAGATTTTTCCATTCAATGGTTAATAATTCATGCTGGGGACCATGGTTTGTTCAACATTGGGCCCCAAATGTTTGTACAGCCTTAGGACAAACTAGTATCTCAATAAATGAATGAACAAATGAATGAAAGATCGAGGTGAGAAATATGTCAGCCTTTGCCTACCTCGCCTTGCTTCTGACTCAAAACTAGTTGGACAAATTCTGTGGGGGTCTTTGTGTATTTTAGTCACATTTGAGTTTATTCTGATAATAAAAATACATCCAGTATAGAGAATTTGGAAAATATAGACAAGTGAAAAAATTAGAAAGAAAATCATCCTTAACCTCACCCTCCAGAGGCAATCATCACTAATATTTAGGTGTTTCCTTGAAGTGTCTCTATGCATAAATTGTATATAAACACATGCACGCACATATTTTATAAAGTTGGAAACACAATGATTATGTAGCTTTATGTCATTGTTTCTTGATTTTTAGCATCTTCCATATCATTCAATATTCTTCACCATTTCTGAAAACTTCATTATAGGAATGAACCAATGCTGCTCTGGTTGAACACCTAGCTTGTTCTTAGCTTTTGCCACTATAGGTAGTGCTGCAATGACTGTCCTTGAACATGCATTTTCATAAATACACACACACACACACACACATATGCATCCCTCACCACCACTGTGTAACGCCATGTTTTCATTTGCTATCTAGATAAGCAAAAAAAAAAAAAAAAAAAAAGTATTCATTTTCATGGGTTGTTAGAGGATGGGAGTGCCCGAAGACCCTGACACACTTGACCAGGGTCAGGCCTCAGGACACTGTGACCTGGACCAAGGGTGTATGGGCTGGCCTTTTATCATTTGAGAATTTGTTCTCTTTTAATGCTGTTGATGATAAAATTCTTAAAATAGTGTTGTCCAGATGACCTAGGAAAACATGCACTCCCCCCAGTTTCTGAGCCATACAAATGCATATATGCCCGACACAGCAAAGACACCCAATCTCACTCTTGTCACAGCTCTGCGCCAGGGCTACAGGTCCCTTTTCTTGACTCTCTCTCTCCATCTGCCCCACTGACATGCATGTCCTTCAGGGGAGCAGCAAACTTCAGCCTTTTTCTGGCCCCTTCCAGCCGCAGGGACCCTCCTGCCTGGGGCTCTGCATGGAGCGGACACAGCCCAGCCCATCCGCATCCATGTTGCCTGATAGCTTCAGGGCCACACGAGGCTGGGGTGCAGCGCTGGGGCCTGCTTTGCCAGCCACAGAGCCCTATGGCCCCAGGAGTCTGGGGATGCTCTGCTCCTGCCTCTGGCTGGTCGGCCTCTGTGTACTGGGCCACATCCCAGTCAACGCACTTTGCAGGCAAGCAGCCCCTGGAATTCCATCTGCCTCCCAGTGTCCAAAGCAGGGGCATTACCAGCCACCCCCAACCTCCCACACTCTCCAAAGGATTTTTTTTTCCTTCTCTTTCTAAAGGCAGGCACAGATACATCCTTCCTGATCAAGAGAAGCAGGTACACATTGCTTTGGCCTTAAGAGTGTTTGGAGAGGGGACAGGGTTCCAGCCTGCCATTAGGGAATGGGACTGCCATTCCCTAATGGTGTGACAACAGGAACGGGAGGTCATTATTTCCCTGTGATTTTCTTTGTGGTATTCTCAGTTGCCTGAACAGAATGAGCCTGGCATGAGGTCATGATGATGAGCGTGCTCTGCAAAGCATTACCTTCATGCCCACCCATGGTCCCATTGTGCAGGTGGGCGGTATGGGGCACCGTCCTGGACTGCGTGCACACACACCCTCCCGGGCTGGGGCACCTCACCTGGGGTGGGAAACGCGCCTAGGAGCCAAGCAATGAACAAAGAACAAAGCCAAGCTCACATCCCTCATGCTCTTTGCTGTCTAGCACACTCCATCTCCATGTGGTGCTGGCTGTCATTGTGCCCGGGGTAAAAATAGCTCCACTTTCAAGCTTCACCTTAACAAATTAGGACAAGGGTGAGAGGCCAAGGTTCTAGCAGAGGGATCCTTCGTGGAGACAATGGGATGGCCCCTTAGACCAAAGGGAGGTCAGTGCTGGGGGCAGAACCTTCGCTAATTTGCCTCAACTCACTTCGTCTGGCTCTGGCACCACCACCCACCTAAAGATCCGACGCATGTTCCTCGATGCTGAATGGGCTTTGAAAAAAATGAATATGTTCCACAGAATCTATTTATCTTGGGGGAATGAATATAATTCCAGTCAGCGTTCAAAAGGCACTATTTTTTTTTTTTTTTTTTTTTGCCTGCACAGTAGCATATGGTTAAGGTAAGGTAACGTGTCAAGCCAAAGTCTTTTGTGAATCCAGGGCAAAGCTCTTTCTCGATGACATAAGGTAATTATGAATAGAGGGGTGATCCTCCTTCAAGTCCAGCAGGAGCTCAATTCCAACTATTCATATTGGTCATACCCACTTGGAATGACAAAATCATTTGATGGACGGTAGACAGAGATATGCATTATTCACAGAAGCATTTTCAAAGGAATCCCATAAATTATAGGCTTCCTGCAACTGAAAGTTCCAGTGAGCCAGCAGTGAATGCCAGGGGTGAAGAGGTGTAATCAGTGTGAGTATTGTTCCTGGTTAATTTGTCCCTCATTCGTGGCTACATTTTACGCCCTGGGAAGAAGGCTCGCTCTCTGATTTCTCAGTGATGCCTTTCCTCTTCCCAGAGACAGCCTAATTCACTGGTTCTTGACCCTGCTTTTTAGAATCCCAGTGCCAGGTTACACCCTAGAGATTCTTCATTGATCTGGAGTGGGGTCTGGACGTCAGTATTTTTTTCAGTCTCCCCAGTTGATTCTAATATGCAGTCAGGGTCTACAAACAGTGATCTAATGACAAGTCCTTAAGAGATTTGCACATCTTTTAACCAATTAGGAAAAATTAAGTTGTGTTCTTTAGGAATAACTTCCCAGTAAACTTAGATTCCAAATAAGTAAACCACAACCCATATAAGTCAGGATTCTCCGGAGAATCTGGTGTGTGTGTACACACACACACACACACACACACACACACACACACAGAGGGAGACAGAGAGAGAGAATTATTTTAAGGAATTGGCCCATGTGATTGTAGGGGCTGGCAAGTCCTAAATATGCAGGGCAGGTCAGCCGGCAAGAGACTAAGGAAAAAGTTAATGTTGCAACTCAAGCCCAAAGGAAAGCAATCTGGAGGCAGAATTCCTTCCTCTTTGAGGGACCTCAGCTTTCTCTCGTAAAGTCTTCAATTGATTGGGTGAGGCCCATTCACATTATGGAAGGTAACCAGCTTTACTCAGTCTGCCAACTTAAATGTTAATCACATCTAAAAAAACCTTCACAGCAATATATAGACTGATATTTGACCAAACAACTGGGCACCATTGCCAAGCCAAGGTAACATAGAAAATTAACCATCACAGTCACTTTCAATTGATGAATCTGTACAGAGCTTAGATGACTCAGCTCTGTGGCTATGCAGAAAAGTACATCAACTGTGCTTCCCAAATCTTCTCTCATTGTTTTAATTATTTAATGTTTGGGTCTCCATAGAGGACAAGTGTCATTCCTATGACTTGATGGGCATCAGTAGGGCTGAAGGGTGCTGCAGAGCAATGCAGGAAGCATTTGGGGTTGAGGCCTTGAATCAATTGAAGAGGAAGGACTGATGAGATCTGAGACAAATGGATGCATCAAACTAGGACTCAGGAATACAGCAGCAGCCTCTGCTGCCACTTAGGGACACCAGGTGGGGAGCTGGAAGCTCTTCATCGTGAGGCAATACCTCACACAAGGAGTTGAATTCCTGCAGATGGGGAAGGAGTAACAAGTAGGTTACCACATTCAGTGGCAGGATAACTCTGTCCCAAACCCTGTAAGCAGGGAGCCACAGCCACATCTATAGGGAAAGATCTACTTGGCACGACGGGCCAATGAAAATCATTGTCATGTCTGAAATATGTCCACAACATAGTTGTAAACAAATTCCAGTTCACACTCCAGTATGAATAAAGTATAGACTTTAATCCCAAATTGAAATATAAGATACGGCAATCAAAAGAAGGAACTCTTACAAGTTCATGATGCTAGATACCCCCTGCTTTCCCTTCTAGACTCACACCTCACTCCTTCATAATTCTGGCTAACAGCTCAAGGGCATCAGCCCCTGCTCCCTGGCTTCCAGCAGGAGATGGAGCCAGAGACCAGAGGGAGGGAGACAGGTTGCTGTCTTAGTCCATTTTGTGTTGCTCTAATGGAATATCTGAGGCTGGCTAATTTATAAGGAAAAGAGGTTTATTTGGCTCACAGTTCTGCAGAATGTACAAGAAGCAAGGTACCAACATCTGCTTGGCTTCTGTTGAGGGCTTCTGCTTCTACTCATGGCAGAAGGTGAAAGGGAAACAGTGTGTGCAGAGATCACATGGTAAGAGAGGAAGCAGGAAAGAGAGGGGAGATGTTGGGTTCATTTAACAACCAGCTTTCATGAGAACTAATAGAGAACTCGCTCACCTTGAAGGAGGGCATTAACCTACTCATGAGGGATGTGCTCGCATGACCCAAACACCTCCCATTAGGCCCCACCTCCAAATTTCAACATGAGATTTAGTGGGGACAAACAAACCATGTCCAAGTTACAGCAGATAGAGAATACAATCCCCAGAGTTCCACCCTGCAATGTGGCCACGGGCTGACTGACAACATCCCACACCCAAGCTTCCACAGGTGACCTTCTGCACAAAGCCCTCTCTTTCTTTACTGGCCCAGGGTTGCAAGGTGGCCCATTGTTGCTTGTCCTTGGAAACTGCCTGTGTGCCAGTCAACAAGGATGGAGAAAGGTGGCGAGCAGAGGGCATATAGCACCAGGAACCTACAAGGGTTCCCTACACACTGTCCATGCCTTTGTCAATGGTTTCTCTGTCCCAGTCAAGACGTTGATTGACACAGGACCACTCCATTCAGAGGACCACTCTGAACGTGAGACTTGAGCTGCATCCAGTGAGCCCTGGGTTCTACACAAATGGCAATGATCCAGCTGAGTTCACAAGCGAGGTCAATACACCATGGGCTAAAGCCAGAGTGAGCCTCTGCCACGTCACATCTGTGTGACCTGAGAAAACTCTGAGCCTCAGTGTCCTCATGTGTAAAGGAATATTAACTTTATGTCCTAAAGAGAGTTGTGAGGATTAAATAATTTAATACATTTAAATCAAAGAAAAATGCCTAGTATATAAGGCACTGTTTATAATTTTTTTTTGAGACAAAGTCTTGTACTATCACCCAGGCTGAAGTGCAGTGGTGCGATCTCAGCTCACTGCAGCCTCCATATCCTGGATTCCAGTAATTCTCCTGCCTCAGCCTCCTGAGTAGTTGGGATTACAGGCACATGCCACCAGACCAGGCTAATTTTTGTATTTTTAGTAGAGACGGGGTTTTGTCATGTTAGCCAGGCTGGTCTCGAACTCCTGACCTCAGGTGATCCACCCACCTTGACTGTTTATAAATTTAAGTCAATGGTTCTCAAAGTGTGTTCACAGACTCCTAAGGGCTCCAGAGACCCTTCAGGGACTGCATGAGGTCAAACTATTTTATAATAACAAAAATACATTATTTGCTGCTTTCTCACTTTGTTGACATTTGCATTGGAGGTGCAAAAATAACGGTGCATAGAATGGTGACACTATCACAAAAATCAAGGCAGTGGCACACACCGTACTACTGGAGATCATTCATTGTAGTCTTTGCTGCCACATGGTTGCAGAAAAAAAAAGAAGACGGGGGGGAGGAGGAGGAGGAGGAGAAGTCAGTGTCACCTAAGAACTTAAGAATGTCCTTGATGGAATGAAGTAAATTTATGAATTTTACTAAATCTCAATGTGTGAGTGCACAATTTCTAATATTCAGTGTGACTAAACAGGAAGCATGCATAAAGCACTTTTGCTGCCTACCAAGGAAGGTCTAGTACTTGTGCAGTCATTCAAATTGTGAGCAAAACTAGCCACTTTTTTCATGAAATACATTTTTACTTGAAAGAACTATTGACAGAAAACTATAGCTACTCAGAGTTGAGTATTTATCAGACATTCTGTCTAAAATGAATTATATGACCCTGTCATTTCATTACAGAACTTGCAGCCAATGATGTAAATGATGTAAATTCTTTGTAGATTTCAAATGAAAATGAGAATGTTGGAAAGCTTGTATCTGCCACCATGAGCATGATAGCTTCTGAATACTTAGAGACTTTTCTAATATGAAGGGGGATGATATTAACAAATGTGACTTTTTTTTCGAGACAGGGTCTCACTCTGTGGCCCAGACTGGAGTGCAGCAGTGCATTCATGGCTCACTGCAGCATGACTGACCACCTCGGCTCAGGAGATCTTCCCACCTCAGCCTTCTGAGTTGCTGGGACTGCAGGCATGCACCACCACACCCAATTAATTTTTTAATTTTAATTTTGCAAAGATGGGGTCTTGCTTGTTGCTCGGGCTAGTCTCAAACTCCTGGGCTCAAGTGATCCTCCCTCCTTGGCCTCCCAAAGTGCTGGGATTATAGGGGTAAGACACCACCCAGCCTAAATGTGATCTTTTGCTGCTGTTTAATGAAATGTGTCAGGGTTAGGAAGATCTGCACAACTCAGTGAACAAATATTTTCCAAATGGCCAATGCATGGTGTTACAAAATCACACACAGGTAAAGATCTATCCACACTGCGTGATGGGCCAGGGGATTACAACACAGCAGAGTATGAAGATTTAATGATAAAGTTTCAGATTCCACATTGTAACCAATGTTTAAGAAATCGCTTCATGCAAATTCTAGGATAGTATCAAAGAATATTCACGACAATTTGGAAAGTACTGTTAAACCACCTCTCCCCTTTCTAACCACATATCTTTGTGAGGCCAGATTTCATTCAGCTCTTACAACCAAAACAACATATTGCAACAGATTAAATGCAGAAGCGAATAAAACAAGCCAGCTGTCTTCTATTAAGATTTTCAAAAACAATACCAGCCTTCTTGCTAAAAACTTTTTTGTTTTTGAAAATAGAGTTATTTTTCCTAAAACTATGTTACTTATTTTAACTACAAATCCAGTAAATACCAATACAAATTACCCACATACACACAAAAATATTTGATGTGTTCAGTAATTTTTAAGAGTGAAAGGGATCCTGGATCCATAAAGTTTGAGAACTGCAAATCCAATTTCTCATTATTATATAACTGAAGAAGAACTGGGAGATGATCCCCATCAAAGTAGCATTCCCTCTCTGCCATCCTGTTTGTTAATGTTGGCCTCTCAACTTGCTATCCCTGTTTCTCTTCATCCATCCAGACTCTGCCCATTCTTCCAGGCAAATCTGAAGTGTTACCATATCCAAGAAGCCCTTCCTGGGGCTATAAGACACGCAGCCCTCACCGCCCATAACTTTCACTGCCTCATACTGTGTTCTCCAGTTGCCTAATGTTGCAGGTCTTATCACACTAAGCTGTTTGTACAATTGTTGAGAGTGGAAACTCTGCAAAGCTCTTCTGTGTCTTCCCATCCCCAGCACATTAGATATATATCTGCATAGTTAGGTTTAAATATGACCTTCCAACTTGAATGTGAGCATTACAACACATCGTAACAGATTTTGCCTCAGAGCTTCCCCGTTAGAAATCCATCTTCTCTCAAGGCCTTACCTTTTGAGCTTTGTATAAAAGGAGAATCATCTATACACAGTTTTCCCTTACCTGCTAAGCAACTTTTCTTAAGGTGAGATGATGCCTCACTCAATACATGCTAACTGGGGCTAGGGGTGAGGCACATCTGATCCTGGTTCATTATTAAACACTTCTCACTGAGCTCCCCCAGAATCTTGTGGCCCACTGCATTTTCTGTGAAAGAGCTATGTCAGAGTGAGCACCTTGAGAAGCTGGGTGAGACATGAGAATAACTATGGGAATGTGTATAGGTTAAAAAGGACATTTAAGGTCGGGCGTGGTGACTCACACCTGTAATCCCAGCACTTTGGGAGGCCAAGGCAGGAGGATCACAATGTAAGGAGACCGCGACCATCCTGGCTAGCACAGTGAAACCCCGTCTCTACTAAAAAAATACAAAAAAATTAGCCAGGCGTGGTGGCAGGCACCTGTAGTCCCAGCAACTCGGGAGGCTGAGGCAGGAGAATGGCGAGAACCCAGGAGGCGGAGCTTGCAGTGAGCGGAGATGGAGCCAATTGCACTCCAGCCTGGGCAACTGAGTGAGATTCTGTCTCAAAAAAAAAAAAAAGAACATTTAAAACCACAGACGTGATATTATATTAGAATGGTGTGATTATGGATGAATTTTTTCTGTTTCACAAATTTGTGTCATATTATTTGTATTAATTTTTATGATTCCATTACATATTTAAAATCTTCTTGTGTATTTCTCTTTCTGTAGAGATGGGGTCTTGCTATGTTGCCCAGGCTGGGAACTTCTGGCCTCAAGTGATCCTCCTGCGTTAGCCTCCCAAAGTGTTGGGATTGCAGGTGTAAGCCATCACACCCAACCACAGTTGTACATTTCTGAAAGGGACTTGTACCAGTGGAATTTCTGATTCTATATATCAAAAACCAATTACGGCTTACTCGGTGGGAATAGATACATAATGGCTAATTTTATGTGTCAGCTTGACTGGATCATGGGGTGTCCAGATTTTGGGCTAAACATTATTTCTGGGTGTTTCTGTGAGGGTGTTTCTGGATAAGATCAGCATTTGAATTGGTGGACAGATTGCCCGTTCCCATGTGGGAAAGTGGCCTTCAATCCATTGAAAGCCTGAATAGAACAAAAAGGCAGAAGAAAGAAGAATTTCCTCTCTTTGCCTGACTTCTTGAACTGGAATATCAGTCTCCTGCCCCCACACTAGAACTTACACCATCATCCCTCTGGTTCTCGGAATACCACCACTGGCTTGCCTGCAAGCGGCTTTTCTCCAGCTTGCAAGTGGCAGATGGTGGAATTTCTAAGCCTCCAAAATCACTTGAGCCAATTCCTTATACTAAATAACGTGTGTGTGTGTTGTTATTGTTGCTGTTCATTCGTTGATTCTGTTTCTCTGGAGAACACTAATAGAATGTATTATGAAATATTGGGTAGTGGGAGCTCACAAAAAAACTCTGGGAAGCGTGAAGAATATTCTCAGTATATTGGCAGAAAACAGAGGAAGCCTGGCAGTTCAGAACCTAGTCAAGTCTGCACCAGAGAGTCTGGCTAGGGTGCCAATGATGGTACTGTGTCCCCCGGATACTCACAGTGCTGGATATTTCCACAGATGACCTCACGGTGTTGGACAGGAGCATCTGATTGGCCAAGTCCAGGTTACTGGAGCAGCAAAGCACAGGGAGAGAGGATATTTGTTCCTTCCTTTTGTTTCTGTTAGGGATCTCACCAGCCCTCCCACAAAGGCCTGCATAACAAAGGGGGAGTCCCCAAGTAAGAGAGTGTTCAAATGCTAGAAAGCCAAAAGCTAGCTAATTCCGCCATAGCACTGTACAAAACCACAGCATTGAACAGGGTCATGCATAAAAATCATAGAAAATTCATTGCAATGAGTTAAATGAATGATGTTCCCCTTTCACGGAAAAAGAAAATCATGTCTTTTGAAGATAATGTTGAAAAGGCTCAATTCATCTAGACCACAGCCCGTGGCAGTAGATAGTTCAACTGACTATCATCACTCCATTTAATTGTTCTGAGCCCTGCCCATTCTTCAAGGGCAATCTTAAATCTCTATGCTTCCATAAAGTGACATAAATCCTTTTCTACTAAAACAATCACCTACCATCGACTGAGATACAGGTATTTGCAAACATTCTAGAATCTACATGAAAGCAAACGTTAAGATGAGAAGGGCCATCCTGACACCAATTACATCTTTTGAGAAAATAGCATCCCAGAAGCTGGCATTAGGCAGTGAGCAGACAAAAGGAGCATATTTCAACCATTCACAGTCTACCTGGAAATACAACATAGTGGCATACTGCAGTCCCCTGGAAAACATAGACTACAGTTAGAGTCCCACCTGCTCTATTTCCCGGCCATGTAATCTTGGCTAAAGTTACTTAACTCTCTAACCTAAAGTTGCTTCAGCTGCAAAATAGTAGTAATAATAATAATGATAGCACTTACCCCTTAGGGTTGTTGCTAAAATGAAGTGAAATAATGCACATAAAATAATTAGCAAATGTCTTATTCATCATCAATTGATTAATGTTAACTAGGATTATTATACTTTGACCTCAATTCAGATTTTAAGCTTCATTCGTGGCTAAAGTAATAATCATCCCTTTTAATATTTCTGGTTTCAGAACAAGTAGCAGGCAATGGAAATCTACTCAATAGTCTAGGCATGGTAGTTCATGCCTGTAACCCAGCCCTTTGGGAGGCCAAAAGTGGGAGGATTGCTTGAGCCCAGGAGTTCAAGACCCCCCTGGGAAACATAGCAAGAGCCCACCCCATCTCTACCAAAAAAAAAAAAATCTTAATTAAAACAAAATTTTTTACATCAAATTTACCCAACTGACATTTAAGTAGCTACTAAGACTAGAAGATAATTTAGCTATTTTAGTCATTTTCATTGTTTGCCCTGACTTTTAAATGGTTCAGATAAAATCCAATCCTGTTAAATGGTTACATCAAACATTTATATTGCAGAGCTGAAACCCAAGGACAAAGATGTGATCCCTTCATACTCAGGCAAGCAGGAAACATTTCAACTCTGCTAAGGAAAAGGAAAAGGAAAAGGAAATGAATCCACAGGCTGGGGAGGGAAAACAGGGACCAACTGCAAATAACACACACAGTTGTGAGCACCTCCAAGGTATTCCAAGACGTTATTCACTGCTGAGAGAGGAAATCTGAGTTGACATGTTATTTTCTGAGCTGGTTATTAATGCATTGGCCAGGGAAGAAGCAGGAGCAGCCTTCAATCCCATCCCCCAATTCAAAGTCAGTGTTTCGTCACCATCTCTCCTTGCTGGCTGGGAGGAGAAGGGGAAAACTAAGATTCTGAAAAAGGTGTTTAGAACAGTTAAGCAGAAAAGGAACCCGATCTTTTCACTCCTTGCATGAGTAAACAAAGCGTATGCTTTCAGTGGGAGCATCTGAAGGAAAATTCCCATTCATTGTGGGCTGGAAGAAATGCTTTCTGTTCAGCCACCAATCAATCAGCCCACATGAAGGAGGCAGTTAATGTTTTTCACCAAACTGAAAAGCTCTGGCTTTGGACTAATATCCAAGCTAAAGAAATTAATCAGGCTCTTGCTGACGACCAAGCTTCAAAATGTAATCTACATCCATGGATCTAACTCTACAGTTCACCAGTTAATGGGAAAAACAGACCAATGCATGACTTGGCTCGAACCTCACCCAAAGCTGAGAGATCATCCTGCTACTACTGTCAAGAGCAAAAATGGTTCCACATAACATAGCAAAGTGGCCAAATCCATCTCTCTCATGAGAAAAGGGATATTACGGGGGATTAAAATGCACCTTGTGAGACTGGAGTTCGAAGGATTTACTGATACTGAGAGGTGTTCAAGACTAGAACCAGTCAACTCGAAGCTGATTTCAGCTCCTTTGATTACTCTTTTTGGGGAGTTTTTAAAAATCATACTGGTTTGGAGCACAGCTCTCCACCTACGGCTCCCGACCAGCAGTACACTCAAGTCATTCTGTCAAGTGCAAAGTGGGACTCATAGATTTAATGAAGAGTCAGTCTCCTGCAGGTTGCTGTGGCTCATGCCTGTGATCCCAGCATTTTGGGATGCTGAGGTGGTGCAGGATCACTTGAGGACAGGAGTTTGAGACCAGCCTGGGCAACATAATGAGACCTGATCTCTATAAAAAATGAAAACTTTAGCAGGGCATGGTGGCTTACAACTGTAGTCCCAGCTACTCAGGAGGCTGAGATATAAGGACCACTTGAGCCCAGGAGTTTAAGGCTGCAGTGACCTGTGATAGCATCACAGCACTCCAGCCTTGAGTGACAGAATGAGACTCTGTCTCCATAAAAAAAAAAAAAAAAAATTTAATATTTTAAAAAGAGTGAAACTCTTTCAGGCCAAGCGCAAAGACTACCTCACATGTCTGTTTATACTTATAGCCAAATGTTTAAACCAGCATCTGTGGAATAAATCCACAGGACCAGATATTTGAAAATATAATTCAACCAGTATTTATTAAGCAGCTATTACTGCAGAGTATTCCTGCAAAGTATCCTGCTAAGTGCTATAGCGTTCACTGATGAGTACGTTTCTAGTTTATGCCTTTGCACACCTTTAAAATCTTATTGGGGAGGCAAATATGCAAACAACTACACTGAAAAGCAAAATTGCTGGTTGCAGTGGCTCACACCTGTAATCCCAGCACTTTGGGAGGCCGAAGTGGGAAGATGGCTTGAGCCCAGGAGTTCAAGACTAACCTGGGAAACATAATGAGACCTGTCTCTGCAAAAAATAAGAAAATTAGCTGGATATGGTGGTATGTGCCTATAGTCCTAGCTACTTAGAAGACTGAGGCGGGAGGATTTGCTTGAGCCCAGGAGGTCAAGACTGCAGTACTGCAGTGAGCTGTCATTGTGCCACTGCACTGTATCTAGCCTGGGTGACACAGAGAGACCCTGAAAAAAAAAAAGCAAAATTGAGAAAGTCATGGAATTGGAGGAACAAGTAAAAGCTATGGGACATAATTGGAATGGCTCTCCTCTTCCCTTCACCACAGCCCTGTCACCTGCTAATGATAGTTGCCAAAGTAAATGACCCAAAGGTTGAATCACTGCCACCTTCTTATTATAATTCTGCACATGTCACCTTCCTGCAGAGCCCTTAATCAGCACTTTCACTTCAATCACTGTGATTGCAAAGTCCTGACTGTAGAACAATTGCAGAAAGTCATGTTTTCATCCTGACCAGTGTGGTTTGGAAAGTTGCTATCTTCAGAGAGACTGGAGGCTCACAAAACAGTGCAATTTTCCTCTTCAAGGTCTTGGCAAAAATACCTAATGCCTATTCAGTAGTATTTTGCAAACCAACATATATGAAAATTTCTAATTAGCGTATCATGGGATCATATACCTCATCTTTTTTTCTTCTCTCTGATCTCTTCCTGGTTGTAATTAAACCAGCTGTGGCTATTTATGCCTTTTTTCATGTTCCAAGAATAGCCTTTCCCTCTTTCTGTCGGAACCATTAGAAAAAGAAAAGTCTTAACGTTAACATGGATGAATCACACCAGGATCTTATTTGAGCTCATAATTAAAATCCAGTCTAATCCACAGCAAATAATTAATCTAATCTAGCAGGCCTCAGTGAGAAGCTACTATAGTAAATGCTCTTCATTTACCTGACAAAAATAGCTAATAGGGCTCTTCCCCCAACCACCTTTCCGGATTCAAAAGACCCATAAAATATTAGAACCATAAACAGCCTTAGAAATCTTCATTTTATAATCCAAAATAAAAGAAAGTAATCAGGCACTGTGCTAGAAAATGCATCACATTTAACCTACCTGCACCTTAAGAATTGCATCATAGTCTGTTTCCTGCAAACAAATTCAGAAGGGTGGAGTCTGGATTTGAACCCAGGTCTCTCTGATCTATAAAGCTGTCGAGCTGGTTCCTGCCCTAGGCTGACTCTCCCAGGGTCCAGTGAGGTTCATGAACCTTAAGTGATGGTTGCAGTGGCTCACAAATGTAATCCCAGCCCTCTGGGAGGCTGAGGCAGGGGGATGGCTTGAGCCCGGGAGCAGGGATACCCCAGCCCTCCTGGTTATTTTATTGGCCCAGGGCTCTTACAATTGCCCAGGTTAAGTCCTAGAGAGGCAGTAGCCTAGAAGACAGGAGCCTCGCCTGAGTCAGATGCTGTAAAAAGCTTGATCCACAGCTGCCCCTGTTTCCTTATATTTCCCTTCTTTTAAATTATTTATTCTGAGATTATCTTCTTGATTTCAAATAACATAGAATTCAGAGTATGAACGAATTGAATTCCCCTTCCCCTGTTTGAATTGCACTGGTATATACCACTGTAGACGTTCTCTGTGCATTTGTATTCCATAAATACTTTTTTACCTTAATGTAGTCATTATATTTTATTCTGTGATTTGTTTTTTCCACTTATCATGTTTTGGAACTCTTTCCATATTATTTCATATAACTCTGCTTATTCATTTGAACTCATGATAAGTATCCCATCATATGAATGAACCATGATTTCACCAACAACATTCAGTTGGTTCCCAGTTTATTGCTCTTACAAACAGCAACGTAGCAAACAATTATAAAAGTAGTAGAAGAAAATATAAGAGAATTGCTTAAAAACCTAGGATAAAGGAAGCCCATCTTCAACAAGATTTAATAATCCAGAAGATAAAATAACAGTATTAACAATATTTACCGTATTGAAATAATAACATTGTAAATTATTCAAAATAGAGGATATTACTTTTAAAAGAGGAATTGCAATATAAACATCAGAGGGACTATTAATAATATCCAGAATACATAAAGAGGTTTTATAAACCAATGAGAAAAGAAAATGCTACATTTAAAATAATATAACTAATATATTTCTATGAGTGAATGTGATATTTTCTTTAATCTATTTGTTATACTGAGTTAAAGTAATATATTTCTGAATGTTGAGCCATCCTTGTATTCCTGAGTAAAACACATCATGATCAAGTAAGATTTTTCTTTTAATAAATTAGGAATCATTTTTTAATATCTATTTAAAAGTACAGCATTAAGATTTGTGCATGACATTGGAGTATCATTTATTTGAGTAAAAAACTTATTTTTATTTTTTGAACTCTGTTACAGTGGTTTGTAGGTTTTGACTTGCTTGTCTATTCTCAGAGTACCCATTTTTGAAGAGCAGAATTTAACTTGTTTACATTAATTGGGATTAATGTTATATTCAAACTTAATTCTGCCATATTATTTGTTTCTAATTTACATTCATTGTTGATTCTGTTTGTTTCCTCTTTTTAATTTTAATTTTTATTTATTTTACTTCCTTGTTTTTGGTTTTATTGGTTATTTTTTCTTTATTCCATTTTCCCCTCTAGTGGTCTAGTAGTGATAAATCCTAATACTGTGTTTGTAATACTTGCTCTTCACATTTTTATATGCAGCAAGTCACAGTGAAATGTGCCTAGAGTCCCAGTTACTCAGGAGGCTGAGGTTGAAGGATTGCTTGAGCCCAAGAATTTGAGTCCAACCTGAGCAATATAGTGAAACCCCATCTCTAAAATAAAATACACACAAAACTAAGCTTCTTTACTTTTATATTTTCTCCAGAAATAAAAAGGAACTTCAGTATGCTGTCATACTCACCCTCCCCACACTGTTCCTCTGGCAATATATACCATTGATTTTAATTCCAAATGGTTACTACTTTCCTTATGTGTCAGTAGTTACTTAACTCTTATTCTCTTTACTACCTTATTCTTTGATTTATTTTTCATTTTGATGCTATTATTGAATACTTCTTTCTGAGATGGTTGTTGTACAGTAAACCATGAATCTGGCATGTCTAAAATTATCTTTATTTCTCTCCATAAATTTGAATGCTGTTTTGCTGTGTAAGTCATTCAAAGTTAAAGACAATGTCATATCTTTTGACAGGAAGGGAAGGAAGGATATGTGCTCAGCCAGCCAGTTTGACCCACTTTTGAAAAGGGCTTTGTTGTCTCCACCTATGAGAAGTCTGATGTCAATGTGATTTTCATAATTTTGTAGGGAATTGTTTGTTTCCCTCTTTCTGAAAACTTGTGCTTTTACCGGGTTCAACCAGCCTTGATACTCTGTCACTCACCGGGCATGGTACTTGCAGCATCCTTTCATCCTTAAGGCTGCTAACTGTCTTCGCTTTGTAGAAATTATCTTTACTATTTCTCCAAATGGTTAAGAACCTAGGCTTGGGAGGCAAACAGCCTAAGCAAATTGCTTAACCTCTCTGTCCCTCAGTTCCCTCCTCTTAAGGATAATAATAGTACCTCTCTCTTAGAGTTGTTGAGGATTGAATTAGTTAATTTAAGAAAAGTTTTTAGAAGAGTCCCTGGCAATAATTAAGTGCTAAATAATTATTTTCCTGGGATTGGTCAGTTGTTTTTTCTCCCATGATCTTGGTTTTCCTTGAAGATCTAATAATCTTCATTTATCTGCTTACTTTGATGACTGGAAAATGAGGTTAACTAAGTTAATGAGTGCAAATGACTGTCATATGTTTTGTCTACAGTTACGTAGCATTGTTTTCCGAAAATGTGTTCCTCTGAATGGGAGCTGGGTGTTCTCACCTTCCTCCCTGTTTTATCCTATGTATGTCTTGGGATTTGGCTCTTCTGTCTACCTTCCAAGAATTCCTCCCAAGTTTTAGTTCAATGACAATTTCTTCTCTAACCATCCAGTTCTCTTACAGACATATTCTTTTTAATGATGCATTGTATGTCATGAAAGGGGAGTGGAACCAAGAGGGAAATAGACGTGTGCTCAGTTAGCTCTCTGGACACAGACCCCTTTTTGAGCACCTCTGACCTCTCCTGCCCTCCCCTGCTCTCTTGGGCACTTTTAGAAATACCAACATTGTTACCATGGCTTCCAGGACCTTCCCGTAGATGGAGATTTGGTTCCTACATCTCTTCAGACTCACCTCCCACCACTGTCTTTCTCTCAAACTCCATGCTTTAAATATATTGAATTTCCACTTATATCTTAAATATAATATACCACCTTTCCCCTCTTGGTCTTCACACTTTATCTCCTCCTTTTTCTAATAATTAATTCGATCTTTGGGCTCTGCGGTTATCTCATCAGTAAAATGAAGCCTGAAAATACATTGCATTTAGAAGTGCTTCAGGCTTTAAACGTTTATAACTATATTTAAATAAATAAATTCACTGATATCTGAACTGTGCTCTGATTTCCTCAGTATAGTAAGAGTCTCATATTGCCAAAAAAAAAAAAATGTGGGAGGCAAATACTTAATTTTTACCCTAGCCCTCTATATACTCCCTCAGACTTAGAAAACTTTTGATTGTAGTCAAAGTATTTTTCAAATGCTGAGTAAAATATTAGTATGTCAGCACAGCAGGAGAAGAGGGGGTTTACTAAGAATAGCAGCCCAGCTACCCAGCTAACACCTCTTTTACTTTGGAGCCCTCATAAAGAAAATGGTTTCTGACAGAGCCTCGCAAATTTTCATCAATTAATAGAAGAAACTCAAATCCTGACCCTGAATCGGAACACTTTTAATAGGCATTTTAAAAATTTCCTCTAGAAACCAGTGGCAACGTATTTGAGCATGTGCAGTCTTGCTGATAATAATTTGCCCTCTTATAGCTTAACACAAGAGAGCAGGCAAATAGTTTGCCTTGGATTCTGGTCACACGGCCATTTCTTCCCATGCTACTGGGCTGGAATAATTTTCTATATCCTGCTATAAATATCACTTCTCCAGGATGTGTCCTGAAGTCTTCTTAGGTTCTACTCCTAACCCCCATTTCTTAGTTTGTTTCTTATATTTCCCATCCCCAAGGAAAGCCTCACTTTCTGGAGACTTAATACCATCATAATCCCTGTGTCATAAAAGACAAAACCTTCAATAAATGCTGCAGCTGTGGTCATGGAAAGGGAGGAAATTCACTTTAAATCACCATCTCTAAAATAAAAAAAAAAAAACGTCTGGTCCAGAAGGACATTATATGCAATCTGGAAAGGTCTTCAACAAAGTCGCACGGGAAGTGGTGGTTTCTCATTGCTGCAAACACTGTTGTTATTGTTCACACTGATGAATAGTTTCAGTTCTCACTAATATGAAATTCCACCAAATGAATATCCTGAAAAACATTCTCAAACTCCAAGAATAACATGAGTATGAGTTTACCGTCAGGCTATCTAAGGAGATTCAGTCTATTGACCTCTTTATCCCCAGACACTACGAGGACCATATAATTAATTATCCACACTAGGCTGGGCGTACTAGAACAGGTTTGAGAGTGAAAGGAGCTTTATTAAACACACCAGGCCAACAGACAAAACAGGATTGCCTTAAAAACAAGGAATGCCTCCCATCAGAGATAAGTACACTAACTGCAGAACTCAGTCCCTACATAAATTGCTTGTCTCACTGCATATTGTGGTTCGAGGGATTAATCAATCCTATTTGCTCTTAGGGAGGAACAGTTATTCCCCACACTTCATGTTTCCATGGGGAGGCACCTGAGTGTAACATGCCCTTCTGGCCCCTCTATCATCAGGTGATGAGTGACTTGTCTAACAAAAAGAGTTAGTAGAGGAAACTGATTACAGTATATTCTGCAAACCACAATGGTTCTCTCTCTGCCTAGCAGGCTGGGCCTGCCCCATTGTGGCACCTGGAGATGCCCAGAGCTGTCCATGACTGGGGGTATGAATCCATCTAATCCAGTCAGGGCGTTTGAGCAAGCCATTTGCACGCAAATTAAAAAAAACACATTCTCAAGTTGGTTTTATCAGAAATAAAGCTGAATTTAGATCTCTATTTGTGTGTCTCTTGGCTCTTGACCCTGAATTGGTTCTGAACTTGAAAGGGAAATAGTAAGTGTTACATGTTTACTCCTAAGACCCTCACCCTTGCTGTTCCAACTGGCTGGAAACAGAGGCTAAAGTAATCTAGGGACACACAAGAAAGAAAGCAAGAAATTCGGTGGACAAACATCTCTCACTTTTTATGACAAAATACTTTTTAAAGTATGATAAAATACTTTTTACTTTTAAAGTTGTTTGAATAAAAGATTTTTTAAAGGATTGAGCATCATATAAATTTTCACACATACATACAGAAATCCTGAATAGATTCAGCTGTAGGAATTTATTCCTGTTTAAGGATAAAAAGATTGGCAGGATGGTTGGAGAGAATAAATAAATATCTTAAAGTGGCTCTAAGAAGTGGGAGATTCCAGAAGCACCAATCCCAGAGACACACCACCACAGGGAATGTGGTGATACCTACCCTGCACACACACGCACACACACACACACACCACATATATATATATATATATATATATATATACACACACACCACATACACATATACAGACACACACACCACATACACATCCATGCTTACACATACAAACACTATTCTGAACATCATTGATCTTCTAAGTAAAAAAAGCAGTGATCAAGCTGCTATCATCTGCCTCTAGTTCTCATGTGAACAACAGCTAAATTAGTGATAGACTTGGAAAGAAATCCTTCCTAATGGGCAGTTACCAAGAAATGAGTATAGTTGGCAAATTTGTGTTGGTCACTTCTCCATGTCACATCACAGGGTGTAAGAATTTTCAAATATCCAGTACTCTTATCTAAATGTTGTCTCTCTCATTGATGGGCCTGAAAAAAACAAACATTTTTAAATGGTATAGCCACATTGGCAACTTTCTAAAAGTCCTAGTTTTTGCTTGACAAATGATTCAATAATTTATGCTATTTATTTTTAATGTAACATTTCCTCAAACGATTCAAATGAAATCTAAACTATTTTCATCAGATTCGCCTCCGATTATTCTAACTCTTTCTTTTGCTCTATTATTTCTTAGAGTTGGCAAGAGCAAATTAATTAGCAGCTGTTTGAATTAAGAAGACTTCTGATTTCTCCTGATAAGTTATGGCAGCTTTATAATTAATATTTTAACCTGCCTGCTGTCCTACCAATTAGAATAGCAAATGGCTTTTAGACAGGATCAGTTGGCACTAGACATCACCACACACTTACATGCATGTGCTCAAATCAACCTTGGGTTGAAAGAACTTTAGGTGTTAGTTTATATAAAGCTCCCAATAAGTTCATACTTTTTAAATGTAATGAGGATGGGGGAAAAAATAGTCCACTACAAACTGACTCCAGATTTAGATTCATGCAATCCTGAAGTACTTATCTTCCTGAGTCTTTATGTTTTTGCTAAAACAGTCACCCCATTGGTCTAATTATAGACCTGGATGAAAATAGAGCACATGAAGTAAGTGGGAGTGCAATGCTCAAAAAATTACCCATGTGGAGAGAAATGGGTAAATTTGACTTTTCACAGACTTCATCACTAAGAAAAACATGTACTTTTCACTGAGCGAAGGTTTGCAAATTTTGCCACAAGCAAAACACACTTTATTGCAACCTGAGTAATGCCCCATGATAGAAAAATATTTCCACCTCAACTCAGAGTTTTTGTCTCACAAAATACTAAAACTTTGTCAAGAGGAAAACTATCTAACCCCAAATTAATTTGTGTAGCAAGGAAGCTACAGGATAGAGAGCAGAGTTTCTACAGTCTTCCATTAACTCCTCTGGAAATATGAAAGACAGGACATCTGGAAACTCCCAGAATGAACCAGGTACTGTCTTAGGGAGTTTGGGGGCTTTCCATGCCCATGACAAATGTAACATCTGGATCAGGAGACAGGAAACCAAATAACAAGTTCTCCTCTCAGCCCCAAATGAGTTATACCTGTGAGCCCGTGCATACAACCTTAGAGTTTGCTGAGCAGAACTGTCCCGAGCAGTTAGCACTCATACATAGAAATTACTTTATAGAGATTCAGGCTAAGGCCTGACGGTGCTCAGAGCTCCCCATTGAGGTTTCATAAACCCACCAAGTATCCAAGAAGCACGACCTAACAGCCCTCACACGTTCCACCACTATACTGCAAAGTTCATGAAGACATAGGCAGGTCTTTTTGTTTTGTTTTGTTTTGTTTTTGTAGAGACAGGGTTTTGCCTGGTTACCCAGGCTGGAATGTAACAGCACAATCACAGTTCACTGCAGCCTTGATCTCCTGGGCTCAAGCGATCCTCCTGCCTCAGCCCCTCAAGTAGTGGGGACTACAGGCATGCACCACCACACCCTAGCTTCCTAGCTTTTCTTTCTTTCTGTTCTTTTCTTCTTCTCTTTTTTTGCAGAGACAAGGTCTCACTATGTTGCCCAGGCTAGTCTTGAACTCCCGGTTTCAAGCAATCCTTGCATCTTGTACCTTGAACCTTGGCCTCCCAAAGCACTGGGATTACAGGTGTGAGCCACACAGTCCCTGGCCACATAGCCTGGTCTTGTTTATACTCACATGTCCCAAAATGATGAGGAAGGCCTGAAACATAACCCATAGTAGGCATCCAGTAAAGGGTTTTCATTTTGTTCTATTTTTCTATGCCTGTGTCTTTTTTTTTAAATTAATGAATCTTACAGAGATTACATGCTTCCTGAACCTGAGAGAACTGACCCCACATTCTCTAGAGATTTGCCCATCAAAGGCTGGTCCCACCGAACAACCCAAGATTATCTTTCCAAACACGTTTTCAAATGATAAGTAACATCCTTGGTTTGATGGTTTGAACTGACCTCAGGACTCTATGTCGATCCTATGGACAATAAGCCAGATAACAACAGTACCCGAGTGTAACCTGATGAGCCTCTTCTTAGGGAAGGGGTGTACCTGGGTGATGGCCATACTGCGTGCCACCATAGCTCAAGCCATGTGCCTGAGGCTGTGCATGAGGGAGAGGAAGAATGTCCACTCCCAAAAGAACTGATCCAGGCATGAACAGAACCATTGCACATCCTCAGGAGGTTCCAGCAAACCTGCACATCCATGTCTACACTTAGACAACATAAACAGAGTGAGAATGCTTTCCCAGAGTGCAGCAGAAGTTCAACTGGCAACAACCAGGAGAATTTTCAGCTCATCCTTTAGAGAAAATGTAACTTCCACGGAGAGGACAGGAGAATCAGATGAAGACAAGCAGAGACTCTCCCTTTTCTGCACGTGCTTGTACCATTGTTAATCTAGGAAAGAAGGAAAGGAAAAGATCCCCAAGGGCAGTTCCTCACAAACAAATGAAGCACCTACTCTAATTCAAAGTAGAAGACAAGGATTCCCCTCCTGCTATTTTCTAAAGAAGAAAGAGATAATATTCTCTGTCACCAAAAATTAGCAATGAGGAGTATTTGCCATAATCAAAAACTATTTGCAAACTCCCAAAAAGGAGAAAAAAATCATGGAAGTGAAAGATTATATATATATTATATATATAGATATATATATATAGATAGATATATATATATAAAATTTGTCCTGCCTACCACTCCCTTCAATATGGAAGATATTGATGTCCTTTTTCTTAATTAAAAACAAAAGAAATCAGTAAATTCAGTTTCTAAATATATCCAAAGCCAAAAAATAAGCCAGTGGTTCTGTCAGGTATTTTTCAAAAACTACCTCATTTGTCAGTTTGGATAAGGTTTAGTGACAAAGACACCTAGCTCTCTAAGCCAGTCCAATTCAAGAACACCATGGAAAGCATCTTTGGATCCCAACCAGGTTAAATGTACAATTGAACTAGTTAAATATTTGCCTAGACAAAAATCACATAATGAGTGGCTTTTTTGCCTTACTTTAATAACAGAGAAGAAGGTACTGTGAAAGCCCAGCAATGCTCAAAACCCTCAGAACTATGCTGATTTGTCATCATTTCTTCCCTATATCTAAGCCCATACACTAAACATTAATTTCCACCAGGAAGTGTGACAGTTGTATTTCTAGTGATATACAAAAAGTTTCCCTGCCATCATGAGAGAGAAGAAAATGAACTTGGTGTCAAAGACATCCGAAGGAATATTTGATGCCCCAAGGACAACAAAAATATAAATTATTTCAGAAATGTATGATAGAGTGGTATGTAAGGAATCTGTCATCATTGGACAGCTCAGAATCACACAACTGAAGCTCAAACTGAATTTATGAGCTTAGCAGCCAAGAAAGAAAGAAAAAAGAATTCATCAAGGTTTTTAATGATCATAATTTAAATAGTCACATCACCTTTATGTAAAGGAAAAAGTATATATTCAAGTTAGGAGAGCTGAGGTTGAATTTAGACTCTGATGTTTACTACATGCTTGACCCTGGAAGAGTCATTTAATAACAGCAAATGTTTAGTGAGAACTTTATATGTTTTAGACACTGCTCTAATAATTGCATGTATTAATATATGAAGTTATCAACCCTCAGGATAGCCCTACAAGTAAATATTTAAAACCAATCATCCAATCATCAAATGAAAAGTGAATGACTTAAATAATCCCATTAAAAGTCAGAGAGTGTTAGATGGGATATTTTTAAAATCTAACCTAATTGGATAAGGAAAATGTGGCACATATACACCATGGAATACTATGCAGCCATAAAAAATAATGAGATCATGTCCTTTGCAGGGACATGGATGAAGCTGGAAGCCATCATTTTTAGCAAACTAACACAGCAACAGAAAACCAAACATTGCATGTTCTCACTGATAAGTGGGAGTTGAAGAATGAGAACACATGGACACAGGGAGGGGAACAACACACACCGGGGCCTTTCAGGGGGTGGGGGACAAGGGGAGGGAGAACATTAGGACAAATACGTAATGCATGCAGGGCTTAAAGCCTAGATGATGGGTTGATAGGTGCAGCAAAACACCATGGCACATATATACCTATGTAACAAACCTGCACATTCCCCACATGTATCCTGGAACTTAAAATAAAATAAAATAAAAAATTTTTAAAAAGCAAAATCCAACTAAGTGCTGTCTAGAAGAAACTCACTTTAAACAAACAAAAACATACAGCTTAAAAGTAAAAGTATGAAAAACAATATACTGTGCTAACACCGAAAAGACAGCTTATTTGGTTAGATTGACATCAGAAAATATAACTTTTAGAGCAATAACTATTGCCAAAAATACATAATAGTAAAGAGAAAAATTCATCAAGAGACATATTATTTCCAAATAATAGGATTGAAATAATATAGAGTATGTTCTCTAACTGCAGTGGAATCAGAAATCAAAACTAGAAAATATCAAGAAAATGCTAAAATATTTGGAAATTAGGCAAAACATCAGACAGCAATGATGGGATCAAAGAAATCACAATGGGAATATTTAAATACTTTAAACAGAATGAAAATCAGATTATGTCAAAGTTTGTGACATGAAACTAAAGCAGTGCATAGAGGACATTTTTTGCATTAATGCATATATCAGAAAATAATAAATATCTAAAATCAACGGCCTAACCTCCTACCTTAAGACATTTGAAAAAAAAAGAAAAAATTAAACATTAAATAATTAGAAGTAGAAAATAGTAAACATAAGAACAGAAACTAATAAGGTAAAACAAACAAACAGAAAAAATAGACAACTCCAGCAAGATAAATATCTGGTTTTTTGTAAAGGTCAATAAAATTAATAAAGCTCTAGTTAGAGGTTTATGACTAACCTAGTTAGAGGTTGGTCATGAACAAAAAGATAGAAGACATAAATTACCAATAGCAGAAATGAGAAACAAGGCATCAGTGCATAGCCTGCAGATATTAAAATGATAATAAGGAATATTATGAGCAGCTTTATGCTAATGAATTCAACACTTTTGATAAAATAGATAAAGGATTTGGTGTTTATAGACAAGTCACTCCAAAAATAGATAACAAGACATAACCTCTATAGTCTCAAAGAAAAACAAAAATAAAACAATTAATTTACTTTAAATTATAGTTAAAATTCTTCTCGTAAAGAAAATTCTAGGACCAGAAGATCTTACTAATGAATTCGAACAAACACTGAAGGAGAAATGATATAATTCTGCACAAACTGTTTCAGAAAAGAGGCAGAACCACATCCTAACTGATACAAGGCTAGCATTGCCCTGATACCAAAACCAGACACAAACATTGCATAAAAAGTACCACAAACTAATATCTCTTGTGAACATGGACACAAAATCCTTAACAAATTATTAGCAAATCAGGTCCTGCAATATATAAAAGGTAATATACATCATGACCAAATGGGGTGTATATTAGGAATTCAAGACTGGCTTGACATTCAAAAAGCAATCAATCTAATTCACCGTATTAACAAACTAAGAACTACATGATAATATCAATAGATACAATGAAGCACAATTTTATAAAAATTTGACACTCATCCATGATTTAAAAACTGCTAATTGCAAATAGAAGAGAATTTCCTCAACTTAATACATGACATTACAAAAAAGCTGTAGCTATTCTATTTAATAGTCCTAATAGAGTGACTGATTTTCCTTCCTCGAAAATAAAGAACAAGACAAAAATGTTCTCACCACTTTTACTCAACATTATAATGAATGGCCAGTGTAATAAGGCAAGTAAAAGAATTGAAATGCATATGTGCTGGAAAAGAAGTAAAACAATCTCTACTCAGAGACAACTTGATGATCTATCTAGTAAACCCAAAGAATCTATCAAAAATCTACTAGAACCAACAAATGACTTTAGAAAAGTCACGGGATACAAGGTTTAGATCTAAAAATCATTTTATTCTTAACTACTAGCAATGAAAAATCAGAAAATGAAACTTTAAAGCAATACCTTTCATAAAATTATGAAATATCTAGTTAGAAATTAAACAAAGATATGCAAGACTATACACTGAAAACTACAATACATTGCTGAGAGAAATTTTAAAAGATCTATATAAATGAAGAGATACACTCAATTTTGTTAAGAGGGCAATTCTTTCCAAATTCATCTCCATATTCAATGTAATTCCCATCAAAATTCCAGCAGATTTTTGGTAGAAATTGGCAAACTAATCCTAGTACATGAAAATGCAAGGTCCCCTAGAATAGCCAAACCAATTTTGTAAAGAAAGAACATAGTTGGAGGACCTACACTACCTGATACTCACCAGAAAGCCATGTTGTCGTAAGAAAATGTGATACTGGCATAATGATTATTATGCAAGAGAACAGAATGTACAGTTCAGAACTAGACCCATATAAATAAGGTTAACTGCTATTCGACAAAGGTGCCAAGACATTACAATGAGGAAATAAACTTTTAACAAATTATACTGGAAGAGTTAGATATCCACATGCAGAGAGAGACAGAGAGAAACATTAACTCTTACCTCACACATCATACATGAAAAAATTCAAAATGGATCATAGACTTAAACATAAGGGGTAAAACTATAAAATTTCTACTAAAAGCATAAGAAAAAATCTTAATAATCTCAGATTAAGCATGTATTTTTAAAATAGGATTCAATGTAGTATGAAAGAAAAAGCGATAAATTTGATTTCATCAAAAATTAAAATATTTTGCTCTGCAAGCAACACTGTTGGGAAAATAAAGAGATAACCTACAAAATATATAAATATATAAGAATATATAAACACAACTCAATACTAAGAAGACAACTCATTTTTAATGGGCAAAAGATGTGGATACTTTACCAAAAACAATATGCATATGCCAAATAACCATATGAAAACCATGCTCTAAATTATTATTCGTTGAGAATGGAAATTTAAAAACTAAAGTAAGACACCAATATACATACAGTAGAATGGCTGAAATTTAAAAATACAACTAACCCTTGAATAACACAGGTTTAAATTGCACAGGTCCATTTACATGTGGATTTTTTTCAACTAAACATGGCTTAAAAATACCGTATCGTGGGATGCAAAACTTGTGTATATGGGAGGCTGAATGTTTGTATCTGCTGGTTCCATGGGGCCCACTGCAGGATTTGAACAAGTATTTATTTTGGAATGCAGAGGGGTCTTGGAACCAATCCCTTGTGGATACCAAGGGACAACTGCAATACCAAGTGTTGGTGCTAGTGGAAATCCAAAATGGTGCAACTACATTGGAAAAAAGTTGGCAGTTTCATGTAAAGTTAAAAACAAACTTACCGTATGTCTGAGCAATTCCAATCCTAAGTATTTACCCAAGTGAAATAAAGGTTTGTGTCCAAAGAAGACTTGTAGAATACATGAATTTTCACACTAGTTTTTTTACTCACAATGGTCAAAAGCTGGAAACAATCCAATTTTCTACCAAATGGTAAATGGATAAACAATTTTTAAATATCCATACAATGCAATACTACTCAGAATTTAAAATGAAGATGAGACTCCAAATAAATGAAACAGCATTGACTCTCAAAAGCATTATGGTAAGTGAAGGAAGACAAACACAGAAGATCTCATACTATATGATTCTACATTTGTAAAATTCTAGAACAGACAAAACTATATCAATGGTGTATCAGTGGTTTTCAAGGGTCAGGAGTTGCAGGGAGAGAATTAACTGCAAAAGGGTATAAAAGAACTTCCTGACATGTCTGAAATGTTCTAGATCATGATTGTGGTGGTGATTACATTGCAATAAATATCTGTCAAAAGTCATGTATTTGTACAGTTAAAAGAGGTAAATTTTATATAAGTTGAGATATACAAATTATATCTCAATAAACCTGGCCACCAAAAATGCTATTTGATTCTAACTGATTATTACAAGTAATTTTTTCTCCACAATACTTTGCATTGGTTTTCAAACTTTCTACCATATATATGAATTACTTTATAATCAGTAAAACAAAAGAAAGTATTGCCTTGGTAATAGTAGTTTAAATAAAAGAAAGGATAAAGTAAAGGAATTAGGGTGAGTCACAGACACACACAATATATGTGTGAAGAATTGAGAATGGAACTTCCATTCCTGGAAAAACACCATGATACATGTTTGGATGGAGAAATCCTCCAATAAAGGACACATAGATGATGGATAAAATAGTCAAGGAATGATTTTTTAAACTTTTCAAATACACAGGAAGTAAGAGAATCATCTGAAGCCAGACAGAGGAGTTGGGGGGGAAACAGAAAAAGAAAAAGCAAACAAAGCAAGCATGAATTTAGAGAAATGGATAAGGTCTGAAGACTGAAGCTTTCATTAGGACATCTGTTAATCTCTGAAGCCCTGGGATCTATGTTTAAATACGCCACAACTTCTCTGAAAACATGAAACATGCTTGGATCTCTAAGAATAATATGAGGCTAGGTCAGGAATTTTTCAAATAGCCAGGAGTCCTTAAAGAGAATACCCTCAGGTGGGTCCAAGTCATTTGATAAAAGTCATTTTATGCTTACCAAAGTTTCAACTCACCAGAAATATATAAAAAGCCTAAACTTCTATACACATAATAACATTCACAATATATAAAGCAAAAATTATGAGAATGTAGAGAAATCCTCTATCACATGAGAAGTTTCAGGATATCCCTCTTAGGACTTGATAAATCAAGCAAGAAAAAATCAGAAAAGATAAAGAACAACAAAAAATAATTAACAAAATTAATAAGTTTGAGTTCATGTATATGTACATGACAAGTACACTCAATAAATAAAGAGTATATATTCTTTTCAAGCAGCTATGAAACATTTATGAAAGTTGAGTCTGTAATAAACCATAATAAAGTCTCAAATTTCAAAGAATTGGTATCATACAGATTGCATTTTCGATCTGCCTGGAACATGATTAGGATAAAACTCATTATCAAAAATATAACATAAAAATTTATACATACACACATATATATTTAGAAATTTTAAAACACAAGAGAATATTTCATGGGTCAAATAAGAAATAAAAATATAAATACTTAAAACTGAATGACGATTAAAAATACTATTTATCAAAGCTGTGAGATGCATTTAAAATTATATTTATACCCAAACAAAAATAAATCGTTCTACCAAAAAGATACCTGCACTCTTGTGTTTATCACAGCCCTATTCACAATAGCAGAGACATGGAATCTACCCAGGTGCCCATCCATGGTGGACTGGATAAAGAAAATGTGGTACATATATACCATGGAATACTATGCAGCCATAAAATAGAATGAAATCCTTTCCTTTGCAGCAACATAGATGCAGCTGGAGACCGTTATCCTAAGCAAATTAACACAGTAACAGAAAACCAAATAACACATATTTTCACCTATAAGTAGGAGCTAAATCTTGAGTACACACAGACATAAAGATGAAGGCAATAAACACTGGGGACTGCAAGAATGGTGAGTGGGAGAGAACGGCAAGGACTGAAGAACTTTCTATTGGGTACTAGGCTCACTACTTGGGCGATGGATTCAATAGAAGCCCAAACCTCAGCATCATGCAATATGCCTTTGCAGCAAACCTGCACATATACCCCCTGAGTCTAAAGTTTAAATGAAAATTTTAAAAGAATAAAATTATACCTGGAGGGTTACAGCCTTACACACATACATTTGAAAAGGACTAAAAATAAGCTAAGCATAGTACTTAAAAATTTAGGGGGAGAAAAGGACTGTTGGAATACATCCAAAGAACATAGAAGAAAGAGAAGCATAAGGGGGAGAAATTAATGTCATAGCAAATAATATTTTTAATGGCCAAAAACTGATTTGTTGAAAAGACAAGCACAGTTGTCAACTTTGGCAAGATATATCAAGAAAACATACGGGAAGGGGCAAATGAACAATACTGAGAGTGAAAGGGGGATACTGGTTACTTTCGGAGAAAGAAAAAATACAGAGATACAGACATTCAGTGAGAGAGCTGAAGAAGCCGAGAGGAGAAAAAAAGAGGAGAGGGTAAGAGGAGAGAGAGTCAAAGAGGGAGAGGAAGTGAAAAAAAGGGAAAAGCAACGCAGAGGAAGAGAAAGACAGAGACAGACACAGACAGAACCCCAGACACCTAGAGCAAGGGAGATGGTGAGTGACAGGGGCTAAGAAACAGGCTAGTGGTGGTTTCTGTTTTCAAGGCTCATCTGGTGCAAGAATGAAATTATAATTGAGCTTCTACACAATAGACAATGGTTCTTATTTTCTTCATCTCTCATCTTATATGGAAATCTACACTCATCCTCTCTTTCCTGAGAATAATTCTCAAAGCATAGTATGGGGACCTACAGGGATAGCTAGATTTTTCTAAGGAGTGTACAAAGTCAAAACAATTTTTGTAATCATCCTAAGACATTATTTGCCTTGTCTCACACACCTTCATCCTCTCACCGGGGTACAGAGGAGTTTTTCAGAAGCTCCACGGTGTATGATGATATCGTTTCTCCTTTGACTAATGGAACACGTGCTTATAAATTCTGATCCTTCACATTTTTCTCTGTGTTAATTTACACTATGTTAAATACAGATGACTGTGACCCACATACACACAAGCTCAGGTAACCCACATGACCAGACGTGTCCCCTGCTGTCTGGGCAGCACTCCTGTGTCCTTTTGGTTCATGTTTGTAGAAGTGCCCTAAGGCACTGCAGTGGCTCTTTTCGCAGACTGGACTCTGCTCTATTCTTTCCCAAACCCACACTTAATCACAGGAGCTTCCTTCCAAACTCCCCTGTGAAGTTCTTGAAATTGAAATCATTTCATTTTGCCAAAGTTCCATTTCATCGCTTCCAAAGAACAGCCTCCATTCACCTGGGTCCAGTTGCTTCTGCTGGGGGGGTGTCTATCACAGACCTGTCCTGTCACCTCGCCATATTTGACTCCCAACTCCACTGCCTTTGCCAGCCAGACCAGCAGTCCTCTCAGCGGTTTTGTCCCCCAGTCCCTTGGCAGTTGCCAAGTCACACTGCTTTCTAACCCACCAACCCCCTAAAACTCTCCATCCATGCAAGAAGCCTAATTGGTTAGATTCATGGAGAATAACCACCCTTTCCCTAAAACCCCTGCCAATGTATTGACCTGACCTAACTCGTCCTCTCACAGGGAGGAAGAGGAAGGGCAGGAGGGAGTGAGGTGGGAGGGAAGGAGAAAGAAAGAAGTAAAGGAGAGTGGAAGGGGTGTTAAGGGAGGGGAGGATAGTACAGAGATCCAGAAAAAGCAACTGTGGCAGCGCCCTGTGTCTGCTCACACCTCAAGCATCTTTGGGGTAGATTCTCACAGTTAACAACCAAGGAACAGAAATCATCAGTCAGTGCATCATTAAATGTATCCGTATTTACACACCCTATTCTCTACCCATTGCTTTGTTTGCTTAATTATCCTCATTAGGAATTATTAGCAAATCCAAACAACTTACAAAGCAGCCATTAGGCTGGTAACTACAGCAAACATCAGCACAACCAGGGAGTCCCCAGTGGAGACAGACCTTCTGTTAAATCAGCCATTCTACCCTAATAGAAATGACAATGAGGAGGTAATCTACCTGAGAGGTCATGCCCTCTTCCCCGATTGTTTGTTATTTGTTCTGGGCCTCTAGGTAAGTTGTGTGTTTGTTTACTTAAGTATAACCGCATCAGACTGAGTTTGGGTTTCCTACCCTTCTGGAAAAGGAGGTACAGTGGCTTGATCTATAGTGAATAGGGCTTGGATTAGAACTCCAGGAAACCCTGGCCCATCAAATGCAGAATCTTCTACTTGTAAATCACCATGACTTCTAAAAAACTGCATGTGTCATGGAGAGATCTAGTGAAACTGTAGATTAATGCAATCGAGTTCAATTTTAAATAGGACAATTATTTGTATGGGAAATTGTCCCCATTGATGTATTAGATTAACTTATAAATGATAAAGATAGACTAACAATAGGAACCATCAACACTAGAGCATGTGGTCTGTGAATTCTTTAGTCCTGGAACCTCTGAGGGATAGTGTTTAAGGCATCAGATGCTGAGTCAAGGGGGCTTCTGGAACCAGGAGCATGTCTCTCCCAAAGAAAGGAAAATAAGCTTGTATCTAGCTTATCAAGAGCCCCACCCCTTACTATTCTAGTGTCTTAGGGAAATATAATATAGCCAGAGTCCCTGCCACCAGAAAGGGTGTACACACATCATCATTAAACTAGGAAACAATGTTAAGGTTAAATGCTATACGTGTAGTCAAGACAGCAGCTACTATAATTGAGAAAGGAGACATTTTGGGGCTAGAGTTAAAGGGAAAGATGACTTCAAAACCTGGTGCTTGATCAAGATCTGAACAGGTGAGAACAGGATGGGTAGGACCAATAAACCAGAAAACCCCAGTGATAGGATTTTTGAAGAACATAGGCCACCATCTAACTTGCTGGTGGGTTGCAGGGTAAGGGGTCAGGAAAGACCAAACAAACAAGATTGTCAACTGCATCACATGAGATGCAAAGGAGATGTAAGAAAGCATGAAGTGCTCAAGAAATGACAAGTACTTCAGTACAGCTGAACCTCAAAACTTGGGAAGAAAACACTGCCGCAGTGTGCAGCTGAATCTCAAAACTTGGGAAGAAAACGCTGGCACAGTGTGCAATGAAGCTGGAAAAGTAGCCTTGGCAAGTAGCCTCAAAGCATCAAATCCTGACGGTCCTGAGTGTTGTGCTCAGATATCCCATTATGCTGAAGCTTCCACAAAGACAGAGCTTGCTTCAGGGAAAACTCACAGGCGGCGATAAAAACAGAACATCAGGTTAGACCTCACCACTTCTGGAAAGCCTCCTTGCCCCCTGATCCCCCATTACACCTCTATTGCACCATGAAGACAAATGAAGTAAAGAAAAATATGGTATCAGAGCACAGCATACAGACAGCCTGTAGATTCGATGGGTGGGAAGTCAGCCATGGGTGGACCTAGCATCACATAGAGGGAATCAGGTACATGGACACAATGCTCATTTCAGAAAGGCAAAACCGGTCCCTGAGGAAGGAGAGGTATTGAGTACAAATCAAGAGAATAAAGTGGAGTTTTGGTTTCTGCATTAGGATACAAGAGGGTTTGCAGGGCAAAAGCCCAGCTCTTAGGCAAGAACAAGGGCTAGAGTGCAGTGTCTGAGCAGGCACAGAAGCCAAGAGGAGTGCTGATAAGTCAATGAGTTAATGAATTACCAAGAGATGGCCAGATATGGTTTGGATGCTTGTGTCCTCCAGATTTTATGTTGAAATGTAATCCCCATTGTTGGAGGCAGGGCATGGTGGGAGGTGTTTGAGTCACGGGGGTGGATCCCTCAGGTACGGTTTGGTTCCCTCCTCACTGTAATGAGTGAGTTCTTACTCTGAGTTCATAAGAGATCTGGTTGTTTAAAAGAGTGTGGCACCTCCTACCTCTCTCTCTTGCTCCTGCTCTCACCATGTGATATACCAACTTCTCCTTTACCTTCCAAAATGATTGGAAGCTTCCTGAGACCTCCCCATAAGCAGATGCTGGAGCCATGCTTCCTGCACAGCCTGCAGAACCATGAGCCAAATAAACCTCTTTTCTTTGTAAATTACCCAGCCTCAGATACTCCTTCATAGCAATGCAAAAATGGGCTAGCATAGGCCCCAAGAGTCTATGATGAGGCTGAACCCACAGCACTTCCTGTCGTATGAGAGGGCTGGCATACCCTGCACCCTTCAGTATGCAGGGTGCTGTTTGTGGCATGAATGGAAAACAGGCTATGGGCAAGGGAAGGAAAACTAGAGCTGCATGTAGAAAGAAAGACTAGCAGATAACAAGAGGTAAAAAAGACAGACTCATTTTTGCAAAATCGATCACATGGCCTTTTTTAGGTACAGTGATTTTTTTTTTTTTTTTTTTTTTGGAGCTTGAGACCTGCTGTGGAAGATACATGTTGTGAAATTCCAGCACACTATGAGAACACAAACTTTTTCTCTTACCAGTGGGATTTATCAGGATAGAATCTTTTACTTGAAGCCAACAAAAATTTTCAGCCTAGGCAGGAGCAGTATAATGAAGCTCTGTTCATGAATAGAAGCATTTTTCACCTGCTGAGGCCATTAGTCATTATCCAGGGTCTCACTGTGATGAGCATGATAGAGAAGCCAGTCTACTGAAAATAAGATAAATTGGTAATTCCAAGTTTGCAGGACGAGTGAGTCTCCCATCAAATCTCTTTCCCTTTTTATATTTTTAGGTTAAATGAACAGGTGTTATCACTGCCATCTATATATTTATACATACACCTTTGTAAATTATATTCTTCCTTCCAGGAGCAAGCCAGCAAGGACTGTGAGGGAATTGGTGCTGTCTGAGGACTTTGGTGGCTTTTTGGGGATTGCAGGGCCACTCATGCCTTCTCCTCACGGAGCATAGTCACGAACAGGAAATAAATTCCAGTGCTTATCAGTCCTACAAGAATCCGCAACTCCAACTACAGGAATCTCTGCTAAACCCCAATTGGGAAAATATAGCTTAGGACTGGTCATTCGGTAGATCTTTTTCTTGTAATCAGCCAACTTGGTCAGTACAAAGATAGGACAAACACCTAGAAGACTCCAAAGAGGCTGCCCCAACCAACTTGCAGGGTGTGGAATCTAGGCCTGCCCCACACACTCAGACGTGTGGGGGTGGGGGGGAATGGATTCATCCATTTTCACATTGCTATAAAGGAATACCTGAGGCTGGGTAATTTATCAAGAAAAGAGGTTGAATTGGCTCATGGTTCTGCAGGCCTTACAAGGATGGCTTCAGCATCTGCTTCAGGTGAGGGCCTCAGGAAGTTCATGATCATGGTGGAAGATGAAGGGGGATCAGGCACATCACATGGGGAGAGCTGGAGCAAGAGAGAAAAGCAAGAGGTGCCACACTTTTTTAAACAGCAAGATCTTGTGTGAACTGTGCAAGAACTCACTCATCACCAAGAGGACAACCCTAAACCATTCATGGGGGATTTGCCTCCATGAGCCAATCACCTCTCCTACTAGGCTCCACCTCCCACATTGGGGATTACATTTTAACGTGATATTTGGAGGGGACAAACATCCAAACTGTATCAGGGGACCAACAAACAGATGGGCCAACTTTTCCCAAGGAGGAGACAGTGGGAGAGATGGAAAGACAGCCTGATTTCACCTATACAGGGGCAATGACCATTAGAAAGACAGGAGCCAGTGAATATCAGGCCCTGAGTTCTGATGGAACAGATGTCCGACGATTGAGGAGGAGTGAATAGGAGGCTGAGAAGGAGCACTCTACTGCTCCTTGGGTGGGGAGCGGAACAGACATCTCTCCTTCTCCTCAGTGGACCAAGGCAGGAATGTGAGGAGCAGAGGAGGAAAGGATATTCTCTCTCTCGGCATTGTACATGTGCTGCCTAATTTAATCTTCACACCCACCATGCAGTGTATCTGTATGATTATCCCTATTTAAACAGATAAGGAGACTGAGGTTGAGAGGTTAGGTTACCAGCACAAGGTTAAAGGGTAAATAAGAATGTCCAAATTTGAAACCAGAGCTTCTCCAGTGTCCATGTTTATGTTCATTGCATTGCACCTGACCACTGGAGCTGCCGTAAGAAATCACAGCACACTTGCCGGCTTAAAACAAGAGAGATTTATTATCTCACAGTTCTGGAGGCCAGATGTCCAAAATCAAGGTGTCTGCAGGACCACACCATTGTAAACAACTCTTAGCAAGGACCCTTCTTTGCCCAGTGCAGATTCTGGTGACTCCTGCATCCCTTGGCTCATGACTGTTTCACTCCAAGCTCTATCTCCGTCTACATGTGACCTTCTCTGTGCATCTGTGTGTCCTCTCCTCTCCTTACAAGGATAGCAGTGTTGGCTATGGAGCCCTCCCTTATTCAGTATGACCTCATCTTAACTATTGACACTTGCACAACTCATTTGAGTACACGCTAAAGAGATTACTGCATCATACGGCAAGAGTGTGTAGTTTTGTAAGAAACTGCCAAACTGCCTTCCAAAATAGCTGTACCATTTCTATTCCCACCAGCAGTGAATGAGAGTTCCTGTTATTCTACATCCTCCCCAGTACCTGGTGTTGCCAGTGTTCAGAATTTTGGTGATTCTAATAGGCGTGTTGTAGCATCTCGCTGTTGTCTTAATTTACAATTTCCTAATGGGATATGATGTGGAGCATCTTCTTGATTGCTCGCTTGCCATCTGTGTATCTCCTTTGGTGTGGTATCTGTTCAAGTGTTTTGACCATTTTTAAATCAGTGTTTACTTTCTTATTGTTGAGGTTCTAAGAATTCTTTGTCTATTTTGGATAAAGTCTTTATCAGATAGATCTTTTGCAAATATTTTCTCCAAATCTTTGGCTTTTCTTATTTTTTTGACAGGATCTTCATCAGAGCAGAAGTTTTAAAATGAAGTTCAGCTTATCAATTATTTCTTTCATGGACCATGTTTTTGGTGTTGAATCTAAAAATTCATAGCCATACTGTAGGTCACCTAGATTTTCTCGTATTATCTTCTAGGAGTTTTTATTAAGTCTGCTCTTTACATTTAGGTCTATAATCCATTTTGAGTGCATTTTTGTGAAGAGCATAAAGCCTAAATCTAGATTTATTCTTATGCATATGGATGTCCAAGTGTTCCAGGTCCATTTGTTGAAAAGATGTCTTTGCTCCATTGTATTGCTTTTGTTTCTTTGCCCAAGATCAGTTGATGATATTTATGGTCTATCTCTGAGATCTTTATTTTGTTTCATTGATTTATTGGTCATTCATTTACCAATACCACATTGTGATTAGCGTAGCCTTATAGGAAGTCTTGAAGTCAAATACTGACAGTCCTCCACTGTTGTTCTCCCTCAGTAACAGGTTGCTAATTCTAGACCTTTGACTCTCCACATAAACCTTAATATTAGTTTGTTCATCCCAAAAAATATATATTTTACTGGGATTTTGATTGGGACTGTGTTGACTCTATATGTCCAGTTGGGAAAAAGTGACATCTTGACAATATTGAGCCGTTAAACCCATGAAAATGGAATATCTCTCTATTTATTTCTTCCAGAGTTTTGTCATTTACCTCATATAGACTTTGTACACATTTTGTTAGATTTATACCTAGGTATTTTATATTTGGAAGTGCTAATGAAAATGATTTTGTGTTTTCAATGTGAACTTTTACTTGTTCATTGATGGCATATAGGAAAATATTTAACTTTCATATACTAACCTTGCATCCTACAACC
Source organism: Homo sapiens (assembly GCF_000001405.40). NCBI lineage: Eukaryota > Metazoa > Chordata > Mammalia > Primates > Hominidae > Homo > Homo sapiens. The sequence continues at coordinate 35,968,356 of NC_000010.11, read as the reverse complement.
TTGCTATAATCAAGGAGTATTTTGTTGATTCTTTCAGATTTTCTATTTAGATTATCATGTGTTCTTCAAACAAAAGCAGTTTTATTTTTTCCCAATTAGTATACCTTTTATTTTATTTTCTTATTGTATTAGCTCAACTTCCCAAAACTATTGAAAAGGAGTGATGAGAAAAGAACATCTCTGCCTCTTACTTGATCTTAGCAGGAAAACTTCTAGTTTCTCATCAAGTGTGTTGTTAGCTATAGGTTTTTGTAGCTGTCTTTGTCAAGTTGAAGATTTACCATGAATGAGTGTAGAATTTTGCAAATGCTTTTTCTGGTTCTATTTATATGATCAGGCAGTTTTTCTTTTTTAGCCTATTGAGATGGATTACTTAAATTGATTTTGGATTGTTAAACCAGCCTTGCATATGTGGGATAAATCCTACTTGGTCATGGCATATAATTATCTTTATAATTGTTAGATAAAATTTGCTAATATTTTGTTGAGAATTTTCTCATCTATGTTCATGAGAGATATTAGCTTGTAGTTTCCTTTCTTATAATGCCTTTTGTTTAATTTTAGGTCAATCCTGATCTCATAGAAAGAGGTCTTTAAAAAAAACAGCTTTTCATTTCATTGATTTTTCTCTATTGATTTTCTGTTTTCAATTTCATTGACTTCTGCTCTAATTTTTATTATTTATTTTCTTCAGCTTATTTTGGATTTAATTTGCTCTTGTTTTTCTAGTTTCTAAAGTGGAAGCTTAGATTATTGATTTTAGATCTTTCTTCTCTTATAAATATAAGCATTCAATGCTATAAATTTTCCTCTAAACACTGTTTTTGCTATATTCCACAAATTTCAATCAGGTGTATGTTCATGGAGTTCAATTTTTTTTAATTTCTTTTGAAATGTCTTCTTTGAACCATGTATTATTTAGAATTATGTTGTTTAATCTCCAAATATTTGGGGATTATTGATATAGTTGAATTTATATCTACTATATTTGTTATTGTTTTCTATTCATTGCCTTTGTACTTTGTTTCTATCTTTGCTTTCCACTCTTTCTTCCTTTTGTGGCTTGAACTGAGCATTTTCTATGATTCCATTTTCTCTCTGTTTTTTTTAGCATATCAGTTATACTTCTTCTTTTTTACATTTTTTGTGGCTACCTTGCAGTTTCCAATATACACTTATAACTAACCCAAATCCACTTTCAATAGTACTATATCACTTCACAACTAGGGCAGATATCTTTTTTTAAAAACTTTGATTTTAGGTTCAGGGGTATAACAACATATTATTAATTCCTCTCTCCTGTCCCTTGTACCATTGTTGTAATTCACTGCACTTATACATAAGCTATAATCATCAAATACAATGTTGCTATCACTATTTTGAACAAACCATTATCTGTTAGATCAACTGAGAATTTTAAAAAGTAAAAATTTTTATTTTATCCTCACTTATTGCTTCTCCAATGTCGTGCCTTCCTTTATGTAGATCTGAGTTTCCTTGACCTACATCATGTTTCCTCTTTCTATTTTTTTTATTATACTTTAAGTTTTAGGGTACACGTGCACAATGTGCAGGTTAGTTACATATGTATACATGTGCCATGTTGGTGTACTGCACCCATTAACTCGTCATTTAACATTAGGTATATCTCCTAATGCTATTCCTCCCCCCTCCCCCCACCCCACAACAGGCCCTGGTGTGTGATGTTCCCCTTCTTGTGTCCAAGTGTTCTCATTGTTCAATGCCTACCTATGAGTGAGAACATGCGGTGTTTGGTTTTTTGTCCTTGCGATAGTTTGCTGAGAATGATGATTTCCAGCTTCATCCATGTCCCTACAAAGGACATGAACTCAACATTTTTTATGGCTGCATAGTATTCCATGGTGTATATGTGCCACATTTTCTTAATCCAGTCTATCATTGTTGGACATTTGGGTTGGTTCCAAGTCTTTGCTATTGTGAATAGTGCCATGATAAACATACATGTGCTTGTGTCTTTTTAGCAGCATGATTTATAATCCTTTGGGTATATACCCAGTAATGGGATTGCTGGGTCAAATGGTATTTCTAGCTCTAGATCCCTGAGAAATCGCCACACTGACTTCCATAATGGTTGAACTAGTTTACAGTCCCACCAACAGTGTAAAAGTGTTCCTATTTCTGCACATCCTCTCCAGAACCTGTTGTTTCCTGACTTTTTAACATTTCTTGTAAGGCAGATCTACTGGTAACAAATTCTCTTTATTTTTGTTGGTCTGAGAAAGTCCTTCTCCTTCACTTTTGAAGGATAATTTCACAGGATACCGAATTCTAGGTTTATAGGTTTTTCCTCTCAATATTTTTTACTCCACTCTCTTCTTGTTTGTGTGGCTTCTGAAAAGACAGCTGTAATCTGCATCTTTACTCCTCTATAAGTAAGGTTTTCCTTTACCTCCTCGGGCTTCTTTCAAAGATTTATTTTTTTATCCTTGGTTTCCTGCAGTTTAGTTATGATATGCTTAGATGTAGTTTTTTGGCGTTTATCCTGCTTGGTATTCTCTGAGCTTCCTGAATCTGTGGTTTGGTGTCACATATTAATTTACAAAAATTCTCATTAATTATTGCTTTGAATATTTGTTCTATTCCTTTCTCTCTTTCTTCTTCTTCTGGGGTTCCACTCTGCTTATTTACATCTTTTGTAGTTGTCCCCACTGTTCTTGGATATTCTGGTTTTTTTATTCAGTCTTTTTCCCTTTCCTTTCATTTTTGGAAGCTTCTCTTGACATATCCTCAAGCTCAAGATTCTTTCCTCAGCCACACCCAGTCTGCTAATGAGCCTTCAAAGCCATGCTTCATTTTTGTTAGTTTCTTGATCTCTAGAATTTTTATTGTTTCTTTCTTAGACTTTCCATCTCTCTGCTTATTTTACCCATCTGTTCTTACAAATTGTCTATTTTTTCCATTATAGCTCTTACCATATTAATCATAGTTGTTTTAAATTCCTGATCTGATAATTCTACTATCCCTGCCATATCTGAATACAGTTCTGTGAGCTAGCTCTATTTCTTGAAACTTTTTGTTGTTTTAGGTTTTTTTGTTTGTTTGTTTTTGGGTTTGGGGTGGGTTTTTTTTTTCTTTGCCTTTTAGTGTGGTTGTAATTTTTTGTTAGAAATTAGACATGATACCAGGTGAAAGGGAGTCTGGGCTGTGCACAGTGGTTCCCACTTGTAATTCCAGCATGTTGAGTGGCTGAGGTGGGAGGATGGCTTGAGGCTAGGAGTTTGAGAACAGCCTGGGCAACATAGCAAGACCCTGTCTTTACAAAAAATAAAAATAAAAAAATTAGCCAGGCATAGTGGCACACACCTGTGGTCCCAGCTACAAAGAGTACTGAGGCAGGAGGATCACTTGAGTCCAGAAGTTCAAGGCTGTAGTAAGCTATGATTGTGCCATTGCACTCCAGCCTGGAGGACAAAGCAAGACCCTATGTGGTTTTTTTTTTTCTTTTTTTAAGGAAGTCTGGTAATGAGACATGTAGTGATGTAGTAGTAAGGGGCAGAGGGAAGGCAAGTGCTCTATAGTTTTATGATTAGGTCTTGGTGAGCCTGTGCCTTTGGACCGTGGACTTTACCAGTGCTTCTCAGTTTTCTCCCCACTTACATGAGACAGGATTGCTAGAAGGGGCTGGAAATAGGAATTTGCCTTCCCTCAGGTTGGTTAGGCACTGGGAAGATAGTTTCTCCTGTGGGCAGGCCTTTTCAAGAACAGACATTTCTGACATATTTCAAAATGGTTACTTTTTATTCTGTGCTGGAAGCATGAGAGGATTTTTCTCAGATAGTCACTGTGAGAACTTAGAAGAGCTGAGATCCTAGAGGTGAAACTCACAAAATTGCAAGGATAGGAGGGTGCCCCTATGACTGGCCCCCCTGGAGTTCTTAACCCTCAGACTTGTCCACACTGAGCCTTCAGCAATTCACTAATTACAGTTCAGGTTTCCATGCCCTCGTGCTTGTTTCCCCGGATGTTTCTGCTTGTGGCTCTCCACTTTGGCATGTTGTAATTCTCTGTATTTGCCTGTCTGTCCCTCCAATCTAGGATGCAGAGGCTTGCCCTATGTCCTCCCTTGTCTGAAGGTTCTGTGAAGAGCTGTTGATTCTCAGTTTGTTCAGCTTTTTACTTGGTATAGAATGGGGTTACGGTATGACTTCTGAGGTTCTTATATACCAGACTGGAAATCAGGGGTCTGATTTATTTTCAGAATGAGTTTTCTTAAGGTCCTTCATAGTTTTCCTGCTATAGCCTTATTAAAGATCAAGATTGAAATTTGACATTAAAGAATTTTCTTTTCAGTACCTGTCCAATTATTTTTATGAGATCCATTGGACAAAAGATAGTAGTCTATTTTAACTCTTATTTAAGCCTATAAGATTTTGCTTCACAATTTTTAAGTCTAAACAGAAACAACTGTCACTTCACTTTAGGCCAAAATTGCCTATTTTGCAATTTCTGCAGAAGTAGAGCCAAGCCTTCATTTATCAAAGTTTAAGTTCCTATGGTGAAATCAGGGTTTATAAGCTTTCTATCTTTAATACTATTCTCCTACAACATTATCGATGATTTTTCTAGAAATGACTACTAGGTTTTAATAAGAACCAAGCAATTAACACCTTCTTATAAAAATATAACCATTGCTAAACAATGATTTTGAATATACTTAAACATAACACAATTTCACTATTCTGTGCAAGCAAAATAATAGATGGTGAGTAAAATCTAGAGAGTTCAGATATTGTATATCAAGTTTATCAAATAAAAAAGATAATATTTAACTAAATTAATTAAAATCATTAGAAATGCAATGGCAATATTTTTAAGGAGTTTGATTTGGTTACTTCTGAAAAGAAATTCTATAAATACAGACAAATGTCTTGGATTATACTACATCATAACACAGAAGCAGTGTTCTCAATTGTCAACATTTACCAATATGTAGTTTAAAAGTCTAGATCCAAGGTAAAATGTGTCCACTTTCTGAAAGCCACACAAAACTATGTACCAGATAATTGATCTTCTTCCTATAGATACCAAGACAGTCAGCTCACCTTCATCCTCAGGGTTAACATATCAGAAAGAATTACAGGCACTTGTTTCTGTCCAGCCTCTTGGATCTGAACATTGTCCTCTTTTTAAATGAGCTCGAGGGAATACATCAGAGACAGGAAGACTCCTGTGCTCCAAGGATGATATTATTTTTTAAAGGTTTTCTTACTGTTTGTTTTAGATACTGAACTCTTTCTATATCAAAAATTCCTGGATTCTATTTTCTTTTGAAAAAGTTATGAATTATGTTAATGCTCCATGGAGAAGTGTCCCCAAGAAGATATCAATACTGTAGCTCCTAAAATCAAATAATACCTTACCCTGGACCAGTGCTTTTTTTTTTTTTTTTTTTGAGACTGAGTCTCACTCTGTCACCCAGGCTGGAGTGCAGTGGCGCGATCTCGGCTCACTGCAACCTCCACTCCGCGGTTTCAAGTAGCTGGAACTACAAGTGCATGCCGCCACGCTTGGCTAATTTTTTGTATTTTAGTAGAGATGGGGGTTTCACCGTGTTGCCCAGGCTGGTCATGAACTCCTGAGCTCAGGCAATCCACCCACCTCAGCCTCCCAAAGTGCTGGGATTACAGGCATGAGCCACCACGCTTTGCTGACCAGTGCTTTTTAACCATACTTTTATTATGGTATCCTTAAGGAGCCTTGTTAGAGATTTCTTTTTTCCCAATTGCAACTTCACTCAATCCATAACACTTGAATGCTGGTGATGTGCTCTGTAGCAGCGCTGTGTGTCATGGAACCCTGGAAGCCTATGCACCATTGAGTATCTGAGATTTTTTTAGCCCCGTCCTCAAGGAGCAGTTGTTGCTGCTTGAGGTTAAGTCGCCCCTGCTGAGAATGCATGCTCTCGATAACGCTGCTTCACATTGGTCACTGTGGGATATTTTTATAAAAGAGAGGATCCATTTCCAGATTCTTTTATGCAGGAAGAGAACCTGTGGTTATGTCTTACTCTCCCATTTTGTACAGTCAACTGCCCAGAGAAGTTCAGAGATAACGGTCCACCATGTTAATTTCCCCAGGACTAGGGCAACAGTGAGGGGGAAAATGAAGCCTTTTCTCTGATGACGCTCCTGAATTTTGTTTCACTTCTGAGAACTTCATATAATTGGGTCCTCAGAGGTTGTGGCTCCACCCAAAGCTGGATATAAAACTAACTCATGGAAGAGGTTGGCCTAAGGCTAGGCCACTAGTTCTGGGCCTAATCCAGACCCCAAATTACAAATATAAACCTAAGAGGGCAAAGCATATTCCGAGGCTGACAGAAACATGCATTAAATATTTTATCTCAGGTAAAGAGGTTGGTGCTGACCCAACACATTGATTACAATGGAAACTGCTCAGGGAAATCAAGTTGTTTCTGCCTTTCCGAACCCATACCAACTCACCCCTCCCATGCCACCTACACATTTAATCTCCTCTTTCTTTTCCTGAAAACCTGACAACCACGTAGTTTCTACTGTTAAAGTTAAGACTTTTCACCTTCAGTGATGATGGCTTCAGTTGAGGGCTAGCCATTTCCTGTCCTGAGATCACTATGTATTCTCCCATGCCCAGAGCTCCAGAAACAACTATGACTAGAGACACAGAGAATGACTCACCCACTTAGTTGGAGAAGATTAAGGCTTCTACCTCCTTCCCAGGAGATCTGGGAACTACACCGCCACTGAGTTTGTACTATTAAATAAAAAATATCACACTCATCCCACAGCTATGAAAAGTGTAAGAAAAAGATGTGTAAGGAAAACCAACCTCTACATAAATAGTATCACCGACAAAAAGAGGATTAGATTTTAGCTGCAACAATAATCAATGGTGGCAAAAAGAGTCACATTTTACATTTCACTTCCACGTATTTTGCCTCATAACTAGATTTCAAAGTTCTACAATGTAATTCTATCACTTGTAATTGCCTATCAAAAGCCAACCCAAAAGAGGTCATACCTTTCCAGCAGGTATATACCTATCCCATGTCCCCTTTTTTCTGCTCCACGATGTTGTCTTCGAAGTTCTAGAATAAAAACAAACCAACCCACACACCCACAACCATCCTGTCTTGTGCTTTGCTACGATTCTTTCAGCCTTTTCCACTCCTACAGAAGCCTTGCCCAATCATCTTAAATATGACCTTGTACAAACTAATTGAGTATCCAGAAGAACCGGAGAATCTGACTCCTTGAGACTCTATATATTTCGTTCATCAAGGGTTAATGGAAATATCTTGGAAGAAGAACTGAGTAGAATTCCCACCATGGTAGAACTTCATTATTAGATATTAATGCTCTACAGACCCAGTGTGAATTGACTGATTTTATGATTTAGCAATTATAATGAGAACACTCAAAATTATATCCCAAGAGTTACTCTACTTCGCTGAGTACAGTTAGATGATGTAGTTGAGTTTTAATTGCAGTGAATTTGGAATAGGGCAGTATATTTGTTAGACATGAAATTTCACTTGTGGGCAAATTGCCTCTGTAATAGGATCCTGCCTTCCTCATTCGGAATATCCCTCCTTTCTCTTCCAGCCTTCGCTGACCCTCTGTTGCAGGGGATCCCAATTAGACTGGGAAAGCTACTAAAATGAGCAAAAGGGTCAGAGAAAATGAGGGAGAGGTGAGACAAAAAGGGAATGAGAATAAAAGAGAGGGGAGACGAGAGAGCACTTCCCATACTTCACCCAGAGGGGATCTTTTGCCAGACATTGAATTTCACTCCAAGTCGCTTTAGCAAATATGGGTCCTTTTCACATGCTACCTCAAGGGATTTCATCTGGAACTTTGAAATACCTTGCTAGTGCAGAATTTCACAGCTTTGCTACAAACAGAAATCTGATATTTATGATTAACATTCCTACAGAAGCTCCAGGCCACAGACTGTCAGTGATCACAAGCACAGAAAAAATAGTCAGCAGAGCTGTGAGGGGCCATGTTATGCCAGCACTGCCCTTAAACGCCTCCCTGTCTGGGCCACACATGGTACTAATTGTCTTGGTACAGTTATCTTTTTAGATGTGTATTGCTTGTCTTCCCTAAATCAGAAGTTTCTTGAAGGCAGGGATTGTATTTTATTCACTTACATATTTCCTACAGGGCTCAACAAACGTTATAGTAAGTATATAATAAATAAGTTATTGGCTGATAATTAACAGTACATTCTCCTATAATAATACACAGGGGTTCAGGATATTAAAGTCATCTCAACCAAAGAACCTAGTAGGCAACCCTTTTGACATGCTGCTGTTGATCTTACCATAAAAGACAGATTTCATTAAATAATAATGACCACCTCCAAAAATAAAAGAACAAGATGATTTGGGGGGAAACAAAGAGTGGCTAGAAAGGAAGGAAGGAAGGAGGAAGGGAAAAAGGAAAGAGGGAGGGAAGGAAGGAAGAAGGAAGGAAGGAAGGAAGGGGAAAACAGTTTAAGGCTGTTTCTCTTTAACCTCACCACCTACTTCTAGACCACAGGCCCCAACCCAGCACCAAGAAGATGAAATTTCCCTTTGGGCCTTTATCCCGGGGGGCAGAGATATCTGACTAAGAACAAGTTGAAGACTAAGGAATAAAAACCTTCCATCCCATCCCTTTTGCTTAATTACAGCTGACAGGAAATCTCCTTAACATCCTGTTTGGATATTCCCTATTTATAAAGGTCAGAGAAGGAAACACGCAGGTCTGAAAGTATTCGGCCTTCCCCAGATCGCTAACAAAACTCCTGGAAAAGTACTCACCCAAACGGACTCCAGCGTAGCTTAAAGACAGTGCGTTTGCCTCAAATGCTACTATCTTTGTTTATCTCTACTTGTTTCCAGGCTTGAATACCTGGGAGAGTTCCATCTTGGCTTTATGTTGCAAACCTGTCAATGGCTGATTTAAGACTTAAAAGGAGGCAGAATCCCGACAGTTGTACAAATGCAGATCTAGCTGGAGACTCTCTCCTGAGGCTTCCAGTAATGTTCACTCAGGGTTCTGGGAAGGTTTAGGCCAGTGCTGGAGGCAGATTAGAAAAAAAAAAAAAAATCTGAGAATTGAAAAACCTGTTGTTGTAGCTGTGTGTTTCCACATATCTTTAAAAGCATGGATATTAAAAAAAAAAAAAAAAGCCCTCTCTGCAAGCTAAGAGGCTTTGGAAAGAAGTGATCCTATTCTCTTCCTTTAAATATGTCAACTAAAACATATATATGTATATCTTTTGATAAAGCACAAGGGGAAAATAGTTTTTCTTCTGTTTGCAAAGGAAGGGTAAAAAATAAACCAAAGTGAAAAACCTGGCACTTTGTGTTTTCTCACTGAAGCCAAGCTATATCAATCACAGGGATGTCCCTAGGGCCAAGAAGGCAGAGCTGTCCAGCCTGAAGCCCAGCAGGGACTCAGAGGGGCAGCCTGCAGGGGAGCTGTGCACCCTTGAGGCCAGAGTCTCAGAAAATGCCATGCATCCAGGTCACAGAAGCTTGGAGATGCAAATTATTGCTATTCTGTTGTGATTGGCTCTGCAGAAACAGAAACTAAGTGTGGGTGGTGATGGAGTTCTACCCTCACAGATAAGAGCTGGGAGAAATAATTCCATGGGGTTTCCAGTTTCCATGTTGGCAAGGCAAAAAGAGATGGAGGGGAAAAAAGTAAGCTGAGTATCTGAGGCCAGAGAAAAGGTTTTGCATTTCTTTCAGGAATCTGTGAGCAGCTAGTCTGCTCTCAAATGGTCCCAGAGCTTAATGTTACAGATATCTTTGTGGGGATCTAACCAGAGAAATATCTAGAGGCAGCAAAGCATATCTTAAAATGCTTTAAATCACTCAAGGCAGGCAGGTACCTACTTTGTCCTTGTGAAGAAGGATCTCATGCACTTGTTCATGCAACATTGTTTACTGGGGCCCTGCTCTGTGTCAGTGGCTGAGACTCCAGCAACACGAGCAAAGCTCACAGAGCTCAGCCCTCATGAATCTCACCATCCAGTAGGGAAGGAAACCCATCAAATCATGCGAAGAATTGCAAGCAACTTCTATAACCGAAGAAGGGTAAGAGCTTATGAAAGTATATAATAGGGCTCCTAAACAGTGTCAGTTGTAGAGAAATCAAATGTGCATTTCAGGATGAAAAAGAATATGTCTCAAGATGAGGCCGTACCTTTCTAGAAATTCTGAATTAAAGAGGTATTAGTGGGTTTTGTTAGGTAGCCAACCATTGTCAAATTCTTCAACACTAGTCTTTTTTTGTTTTGTTTTTGAGATGTAGTCTCACTCTGTTGCCCAGGCTGGAGTGCGGTGGTACGATCTCGGCTCACTGCAACCTCCACCTCCCAGGTTCAAGTGATTCTCCTGCCTCAGCCTCCCGAGTAGCTGGGATTACAGGCACCTGTCACCAGGACCAGCTGATTTGTGTGTGTGTGTGTGTGTGTGTGTGTGTGTGTGTGTGTGTGTTTTAGTAGAGATGGGGTTTCACCATGTTGGCCAGGCTGGCCTCAAACTCCTGACCTCAGGTGATCTTCCTGCCTCGGCCTCCCAAAATGCTGGGATTATAGGCATGAGCCACTGCACCTGAACAACACTAGTCTTTATAACACATTAAAATTACTCTAAGCTGCCAGTCGCGCCCTGCCCCCCCACACTCACCGCCCTGCATGCACACATAAATCTAATCAAAACCAATGACTACTGTTTTAATAAATGTTGGCTATCGGAAGGTTCCAAGATCACATCTCTGGTGTACCTTGAGCTAATTAACAATTTAGCTTGAGTAGAGAAGAAGTTCACTCCAGGCACTTCTATAGTGAAGACAAACTACAAAGTTCTTAACTCATATCTTAACTCATTTTTCAAAAAAGAATGTCCTGAAGGAAACTTAATACCAGGAATGATTTTAGAGAGGCAGAATTTAATTTTAACTCTCACATTTTATATCTTGAAAATGCTGAATGAATCCTGATTGGAATCCATAAAAGAGATATGTACACACATGGCCCATAATAAAAAGGAACAATGGAAAAATAGTATTTCTTGGTTTAGTTGCTTAAGATGGTTGAGGTTTTATTTAAGATGGTTGAGGTTTTATTAGGTAGTAATATCAAGCATTTTAAATAAAAAAGATCTGAATTACTTTTCTCCGTATTTTGTTTTATCTGTACAAAGTAGTCCCTTATAAAAGTATGCTTTCAAAGGATGCTAAAAGTATTATTCACAATAGCAAAGACATGGGATCAACACAGATGCCCATAAATGGTGGACTGGATAAAGAAAATGTAATACATATACACCATGGAATACTACACAGCCTTAAAAAAGAACAAAATCATGTTCTTTGCAGCAACATGAATGTGGCTGGAGGCCATGATCCTAAGTGAATTAACGTAGGAATAGTAAACCAAACACTGTGCGTTCTCACTTATAAGTGGGAGCTAAACATTGGGTACATGTGGACATAAAGATGGCAACAATAGACAGTGGGGACTACCAGAAGAGGGAGAAAGGGAGGGGGTGTGGGCTAGAAAACTACCTATTGGGTACTATGCACACGCCCAGGTGCTGGAATCATCCATACCCCAAACTTCAGCATCATGTAATATACCCATGTTACAAACTTGCCCATGTATCCCCAGAATCTAAAACATAAGTTGAAATGTTTTCAAAAAGATGCTAAAATATATTGGTAGCTACTGTGATAGACAGCAAAAATAACACCAATGTTCCACTTGTCATTCATGCATATTCTGCCATGTACCTTTGTCTCAACGTCATAGTTTGATTCTATCACCCTAGCTGAGGACTTCCAGGGCCGGCAGGCAGCCAGCAAATCCATGACATATGAACAAACCCAGCCAAGACCAGCAGGGTCACCTACCTGCATCACAGACACATGAGCAATGACAGCTTTTCCTACATCCCAGACCCATGAGCAAAAGAGCTTACCAATGCATGCAGTTGAGGATTGTGGTGGTTTGCTATGCAGCAACACTGTGGCAATAGAGAGCTAAAGCAACTACCATCCCCAAATAATCATCCTCTTTCCAGCACACTCGGTTCTCTCACCTTCATGCCCTACGTTACTCTCCTGAAAAATTCCATCCATGGATTCATCTAGCTTTCTGCTTCCTCCACTGCTACACCTGTGTGGCTAAGCAATCTGGTGAAAAAATCACAGAACCATTCAGACAGGGGCTACTAGGCACTGAGGATATTCTAGCTTAGTCATTATCTCACATGGCTGAGCACCTCTGTACCATATCTGTGATGAGGTCCCTCCCTGATTCTCCTGGGGAGCTGCTTCAAACTTTCCTGGTGTACCCAAAACTCCCAACCCTCTCTCTATAGCCTTCTTCATCCAAACATGTCTCTGCCTCTTTTTTCCTTAGAACTGCATTAGACTCATATAGTCCAGTTGGGAGAGATGTCTTATTCAGTAAAGCACAGTAGACCTCCACAAGAAATTGTAAAATAATTTCAGTCCTTCACTTGCGTTTCTCTCAGAAGGTAAAAAGGAAATCCACACACATAAATTACTGCTGCACTTAATCCATTTCTCTTTTCTCACTTTCTTATTTTGTCTCCCTTAAAAAACAACTTCAGAAATTCTCACCAATCCCCCAAAAACTCATCTGCACTAGACAAAAACTGCTTCCTCCAGTTCTTTTTGCCTGTTAGTTAAAAATAAACAGTCTTAGCCCCAAACCTAGACCTGCTGAATCCAAATTTCTACGGAAGAGGCCAGGTAATTTTAAAAAGACCATGGGTAATTCTTATAATCAAGCAGGTTTGGAAAGCACTGCTGTCTTGAACTCTTGTTGTCAGCTTGGTTGCACACGGGGATCTCTCGGGAAGTTTAAAAAACCCCTAATGCCGGTGCCTGCTCCCCACCCCATGTTCTGGCTTAATTGGAAAGGAACAAGGCCTGGACATCTGTACTTTTAAGGCTCCCCAGGTGACCCTAATGTGCAGCAGAGTTTGAGAACCACTGGTTTTCTGTAGCCTCATACAAATATTGCCCCAGGTGTAGAGGGGGGAAACATTGCAGGTATAGCTGAGGATGTAATTGGAAGAAATCAAAACCCCTCATTATGCAAATATTTGCCCTACTAAAGTCAGCCTGCAAACAAATATAACAAAGCCAATGTTTCTTCACAAATAAGGAGTAGGCTGGGTGCGGTGGCTCACGCCTGTAATTCCAACACTTTGGGAAGCCAAGGCAGGTGGATCACTTGAGGTCAGGAGTTCAAGACCAGCCTGGCCAACCTGGTGAAACCCTGTCTCTACTAAAAACACAAAAACATTAGCCAGGCGTGGTGGTGGGCGCCTGTAATCCCAGCTACTCAGGAGGCTGAGGCAGGAAAGTCCCTTGAACTCGAGAGGCAGAGATTGCCGTGAGCTGAGATCACACCACTGCACTCCAGCCTGGACAACTGAGCCAGACTCCATATGAAAAAATAATAATAATATAAGGAGTAAATGAAGATCACAAATTTCCTACTTATTTTCAGAGTAATTCCCGAATTAGGGCATTGGAGGAGGAAGGAAAAGGAAGACAGAGGAAGAGAGAAAAGAGGGAGATGGGATCATGGGGAACATTCTGAGAGGTCTACCAGACATACCTAGTAGATGCTAGAATTCATTATTTCATCTTTAAAACAAATACTTCTGAGGTACACATTTTGTCACAAAATATACAAAAAGAATGTGGCTTTTATTTAAAATTTATTTTTGATAACAGATCTAATCTTCCACATAAGCCTCTTTACTGGAAAAGAGTGGACCAGGGAGCAGGTGGGATCTATTTAGACAAATCTGACATATTCAGAATGATTCAGTAGGCAAAAAATTCCTCCTGGTAACAAATCTGTCTGTCAAGGTCCTTACCTTGGCTCTCATGGTCCTCAGGATCATGGAGGCGAAGATGATGCAGAATTCTCGCTTGTCTTCTGGTTCGTTGGGGCCTTTGCTGAGCGTGCCTGCATGGTCCCATCCCTGATCGATGGGAGTGACTGCTAAGATCCTGGATCTGACCACTGAAATATGTGGCCCAGCGCCATCCACCCTCGCAGGGTAACTTTCTGGCTCCATGGGCAAAGCCCATTGTCCTAACCCTCTGCCTCCCATCTCAGAGTCCCTCACTCTTGGTGGTCTCTCCATTCTGACCCTAACCTCCACCCTCAGAAGCTTGGCCTCCCCTCCGTGAGCACACACAAATGTCTGAATTCTCTGCAACCCTGCCCATGCCAGTGGGAGCCTAGAGTTCCCTCCTATTCCACCTATCAGTTCCCCATGAGGTTAGGCAGGCTCTGACCCAAAGGCTGACGTGTCTCTAGGTATCATCAACCTTCCCCAAGCCATGTCCACTCACCTGGCATGCTAGAGCTCCTTCATACCGGCATGAATGTTTCTAAAAGCACTTCTCACTTGATTCTCCTCACACACCAACACTCACTGAAGTGATCGAATTTTCTTGAGTTCTCCTTGCCTTGTCTGATCTGTCTATCTAATCCCTAACTTTAATGGCAGAAAAAGTATAAGGAGAGAAATCAGCCGAAATGTAAGACAGCTTAACTCATCAGATATTTCAACAACATTTCTGACATGCAAGCATTTTTCCTAGTTATCTTAGAAAAATAGTGTGCAATAAATAGAGTTAATATTGTCCAAATGTTGACTGCAACCTAATCTGGCTGCATAATTTGTGGGGCACAGTGCAAATGAAAATGAATGTGGGATACCTTATTCAAACACTATTAAGAATTTTAAGAGAGTGAAGGAAAGCATTCAACCATGTGTGGGACCCCTCTGCACACTCATGAAGCCAGCTCTGATTGCAACCCTTCTAGAAGATCCATCACCTCTAGACCACTACCCACTAGACTTGTCCAATCTCATGGTGGGTGGTTGTGGGAGGGACAAAAGGAAATCAACCTGTGGAATTAAACACACAGTTAATTTCCAGATGGTAGAAAAAAAGGATCCCCAAATCATTCAACACAACTGTCTTATTTTTGAAGATGTCTTTCAAAAATAGTCATTTACACTCTAAGTTCTTCAACCCTCCTGCTATATGCATCCTCCAATTAAAGGAAAGCTCCCTGAGCTGATCAAAATGCAAAACAGAAGTGTTTCCCCTTTTTTCCCTCCCTCCCTCCCTTTGATAGTTGGAATAAAGTATGTTAATCTCAGCACACCTTTACTTTATCATCCAGCTAATTACAAGGCTGTCAGAGATTCCCCTTTATGGAGAAGACTGTTGAATTCCCCAAATTCACTCTGGGCATAACAACCCCTTAAATTATAGAGCAAATGGCACTTAATGAAAAAGGAGAACAATTTTTTTAACAACAGCTTACACCAGTTTCACAAGATTCATCGGTTCCTCCTATTCACATCCAGGATACAGCGAAAGAGGGGAGTCAAATTGCAGCTCATTCAAATTGTGTTGTCTTGAAAAACTGCTTACTTCCTTCAAAGCAGACTTGAATGTGTTATGTATGTTATTATAACTCCTATTCTGCTAAGAGTGTTGTCCACTCCAGAACATATGACCAAAAGATAAATCCACTTTATAGGACTAGAGAAAATTAAGTCATAGAAACAGCACACTATTCTTGGTTTAATTATATCAATATACACTATATCTAGCATGATAAGAGGTGCATGAATGATATAAAATGAACTAAACGAGAATAGTCTGTGGTTCTTTTAGCCATCATAAAGAGCTTAGAGCGAAGTAATGGGTGAATCCATCAATAGGTGCTTTATCTTGATGCAAACCTTAATGCACTCCAGATCTATAAAAATCAATATTACTGACAATGAGATTGGATTCATTATTGTCAGGAAGACAGACTGTTGATGTAGCATTGGATCACCAATTCTAAATCCAGATTACTATATGGTGATAATCACATGAGAAGGTAGCCTAGATGTCTCCACCATGTAAACAACACTAAGGCTATTGTATATTACAGGAAGGAGCAACAACAGCAGCCGATGTGTATTGCATTAAAAGAGGCTTTTTATATATTCAGTAATTTAATCTTTCCAACAACCCTATGAGGTAGGCACTATTTCTGTACCTATTTCACAGATGAGGAAACTGAAATACAGAAAGGTTGATTCACCTGATCCAGATCACACAACCACTAAGTCAGAGCCAGAATTCAAAAAGTCCAGCTCAAAAGTCTGCATTCTCATCCACAGGCTATACTCTTCCTTACACATAAGAAGACAAATCTAAACAGTATACCAACACAGCAGAACATTCACAAATCTAAAATTCACCTGGCTGAACATCTTTATCATTTTACTTAGAACCAACAGCATGGCCTTAAAATATCAGTCAGGCTGGGCGCGGTGGCTCACGCCTTTAATCCTAGCACTTTGGGAGGCCGAGGCAGGAGGATCGCTTGAGGACAGGAGTTCAAGATCAGCCTGAACATAGTGAGATCTCATCTCCACATTTTTTTTAAAAATTACCCAGGTGTGGCGGCATGCACCTGTGGTCCCAGCTACTTGGGAGGCCGAGGTGAGGGGATTGCTTGAGCCTGGGAGGTCAAGGCTGCAGTGAGCTGTGATCACACCTCTGCATTCCAGCCTGAGTGACAGAGCAAAACCTCCCTCCCCACTCTCTGTCGATATATATCTATGTCTATATCTATATCTATGTCTATGTCTATATCTATATCTATCTATGCATTTGTCTATCTATATATCAGTCAGATGTACATGCAATCATTGCCAAAAGCACTTGGCATTTGAATTTGGATACAATAGCATTGTTAATTTGGCTTTGCACATTAGGTTCTAATCATAAACAATGAGTTGCTAAATGAGTATAACTCCCTTTTATAAACATGTGGAAGACATGAAGACAGTTTTAAAAACATGAAGGAGACATCTTCAAAATAATGTGAACAATTCTATGATCGTTTAAACAAATTAACAGAGATAAACAATTAATTAACTGTTTTCACACACAATTGCCAATGACTTGTTCCCTGCACAGCTCACCAGCTTGCACGCTTTTACCAGATGCTAAAATGTGCAAGCCAACTCTCAGCTGGCTCTGATTTTCCAAGTTAGGTGGGGATCCAAACACCCTGAGAATTGGGGTCAGCTGCTTTACTAGGGATTTAAATCACGACAGAGAACTGCCCGGTGTAAAACAATTAAGTCTCACCAGTCATGATGGCCACTTAATGAGCCTCTGTGTGGCAGAAAAGAGTTCACTCTACCTGTCTCAAATAGGTTGTGATATGCCATAAAGCTAATGTAATAAATAATTGAAATGCTGAAATATTCCAGCAGGAAGGCTTTCTTGCTGACTGTGTAGTACCTGACTGTACTGTCATAAACGGAGACAGTGGTTAGAAACCTGCCCGCTGATTGGTTAACTAAGGGATGGGAAATACGGCACTTCTTTTTATGGGAAGGAGTTAAGACGCTGGTTAAGAGTGGAGGATATTCATGCTGGTATTAACATCCCTTTATCAGGCACAACGGACAGGCCCTGTCTTCCATGTCAGGCACCTAGAAGGCATGGCCCTGAGATTGAATTAATGGTGAGAAGGAGGAGGTCCTATAATTACACAAGAAATCACAGACCCTGTTATTTAGCCAGCAAAGCTGAGTGGTTTCTGTAGATGGTAAATTAACCCAGTGGGGATTGGAAGAATATTTCTGTGTAAGAGATTTCTTTATTCATGAGAATAATTGGATATTGAAAAGCCATCATGTATGGTGTCTTGATTTGAAACTGTCAACTGCTATGTGAAGCCCCCTCCCTCCCTGCCCCCCTCCTCCGTCCTGTGTGTCTTTGCTCAGCCAATTATGGAGTTGCCAAGATGGAGCAATGCCCAGAGCCCGGGACCCACGGTAGCTCCCAAACCACAGAGGTTGGGGCACAAACCCTGCGGCTTGAGAAGCTTGTCCTGATCTGCATTGTCCATTCAGGTCATTAAAGTGACCCAGGGAAGAAAAGGAATAATAATATTTGGGGGAAAAAAGAGATAAAAGAACGGTCCACCTTGAAGGCGGAAACGTGAGCATGGGCTTTGAGGTAGCGTCCTCTAGGCATTAAGAGAATGCCCAGTTTTCCCAGTCCCTGCATTTTGCAAGCGTTCTTCCACATCCACATTCCGAACATATCATTTAGGGAAAAAACACCAGACAAATGCACTGGAAGTTCACAAGTTGTGAGGTAATTGCATTAGCACATAGAGAAAAGGGAAAGTATGCACAAAATCCTGATTGGCATTTCTCTGTTTAAAAGGCATTATTTTCCGATACCTGAGCATGCCCAGAGGAGCTGTCTCTGAGCAGCTGTGAAACAGAACCTTTTTACTTCAGGGTTAGTGCAGGGAGCTCATTAGCACCGCTCTACCCTCAGCTAAACAGCCTTGTTTGCATATTGAAGCAATAGAATGTGAAGGTGTTAAAAAGGAAGAATTGCTGCCGCTACTCCTGACTGACATGTCTATCTGGGCTCTTGTGTTTACAAGAGAATAACGAAGCTGCCCCAAAGCCCCTACTGGGCCTGATTATTATGCAGAGGCTTCTTAGATTATGTATAATTGATATCCTTTTTCCCTCCAGCTAACCAATGGCAGCTCTCAGGAGTAATGCAAATTCTCCTGCATCTTACCATCCGAGCAAACACTGGAAATTGCTATCTTTCTCTCTGCTTAATAATTTTTAAAGACCAAAAAAGTGACATTTACATTTTTCAGAAGCACAATGACTGCATGGTTGGTGTGGGTTTACTGCTTAATAACAATCATTGAATCAAACAGTTGAGAGACGATGGAATTCAGGACTTGGTTAGCCTCTATGAGAGTGTGTGTGTGTATGTGTGTGTGGGTGTGAATGTGTATTAAGTGCTTGATAGAAATACACTGAACAACAGTCACTCTTTAAGGCAAAGTACTGCCTCTAATAAGCCCCCTTCTTTTTGGGAAAGGGAGGGTGAGCAGTCACTCAAGTTAGTGAGCCCTGTACATTCTAATCCCAGTTTACATTTGAAATGCTTCACATGGAGCCACTACAACTCGCAGTTGCTAAACACACCCATGCCCTCTTATCGCCTTCCACTGGGGGTGGTTCTTGGTGTTTTAAGTCTTGGAAGTTAATTTTTGAGGAAAAAAAAAGTAATAGAAATGTGACAAAAACAGGCAGAGGGGACACAGTTCAGCTGGGTTGTAGCTCTGATCCCAGTTTATAGGCTGCTTGAAAGAGGGAAATGAAAGGCAGGTGGATGGGCGGTATGAAGTCTGCACACTCCAACCTCATGGAGACCAGCTCAGCCCCCAGTGCAGTCAAGCTACCCAACCGCCTGTAAACATAAAGATCGGCATGTTACTTGGAGATGGGAGTGTATCACCTTAAACACACCCACCAGAAGCTAGCATGACAACCAGTCCAGTGGAAAGGCAGCCCCAGCATGGCTCAGTACCTAGGGAAGTGTCCTGACAGTACGAGACCTTCACCCATCACCACATTCAGACACAGCTCCCATGGCAGTTTCCAAAATAACATGGAAAGCTTGGATTCAAATTGGAGAGACTCATTCATTTCATAAATTTTGTTGAGCAAAATTTATTATATGCCACAAGTTGTCCAGAAGCTAACTGCGAGTGAGCAAGATCAGGCTTACTGTCTAGTGGGGGGAAAAGATGAGTGAGCACACATTTGCAATCAACTGGAAAATATGCTAAAATAGAGGAGGTGTGGGGTGCGTTCGGAGCACAGGGAGATAAAACCTGGACCCCGGTCACCTGCATAATCAACTTGTACTCCAAGCCAGGAGACCCAGAAGACCCCTCATGTGGCAAGAACAGCTCGAGCTCAGAACCCAACCTGTGGAAATAACGTAAGACCGGGGGAAGAACAAGTGTTTTCCAAAGTGAGTGGGTTTAGCCTATAAGGCTGCCTCCAGCCTCCTTCCAGTCGAAGAAGGTTATGGCATGACATGATTCTTTAGTGGTAAACTACATGCTCCCAAAGAGTTTCTTACCCCCTTAATTGCTCTTTATAGACTTATCATAAGTTTTACTTGATTGTGGCTGGGTGCAGTGGCTCATGCCTATAATTCTTGCACTTTGGGACAGTGAGGTGGGAGGATTGCTTGAGCCCAGGAGTTTGAGACCAACCTGGGCAACCTAGTGAGACTCCATCTCTACCAAAAAAAAAAAAAAAAAAAAAGCCAGGCTTGGCACACTCCTGTCATCCCAGCTACTTGGGAGGCTGAGGTGGGAGGTTTGCTTGAGCCCAGGAGTTCTAGGCTGCAGTGAGCTGTGATCACACCACTGCACTCCAGCCTGGGCAACTGAGGAAGACCTGTCTCTAAAAAAGAATTACTTAATTGTGTTTCAGTTGGTAATATGTTGGAGAACTTTGGCTCCAAACATGACAGTGTTGTACGAAGTGGAGCTGTGCACGTGAAGAGAGTGGAAGTTGGAATGGGGGAGAGTGATTCCAGCATTATTTTTATCCCCACCACTAACGCTTGGCTCAATTCAGCTGCATGATGTGGTGAAGAAAGAGCTAAATTATAAGAAAAAATATAGGAAGGACAAAGGTATTTTCTTGCCCTACAATATTTGTGCTGGGCCATACAGTAGCCTAAAATTTCTGATTCTTAGTCAACCCGAAATTTACGAGTAAGTCGGATCATTAATCTTAACCATGACGCTCACCAATGTGGATGCACTTTGAGGAAATCCTAGCATTTTGTGCTTGGAGTTGGACTCTGGAGAAAATAGCCATTCCCTCGTGCTGCGACAGTTCCATTCCTAATGCAGACTTACAAAAACTAGGTGTAAGGCTGGCATTAGGGTGAGGCCAGGATGAGAGCAGGGCTTTTTGAAATTGCAAGGAGAAGCAGGTCAAACCTGGCCAAGGTTTCCCCAGTCAAAGCACTTTCCTTTTCCAGGAATCCCTTTAAGGAAGAAAATAAGAAGAAGCCTGAAGCTTGCAAGCTGCTTAGCTGCCAGTTTTCCCCCAACTCTCCAACCTCCCCAAAGTCCTTGTCCCCTGCAACCCAGAAGCCATATCTACAAAGCAAATGAAATCTCAGCCATGCTACAAAGTCAAAGCCTCTGAGAAAACTGCTCAGGCGTGTATTTCAGTATCTTTCACTCTGTCTCAAGACTATGTTGGTCAGTGGCTATAACTGTATTCCATGAACAGGGAAGTCTGAGTTTTTTCCCTGTGTTTTAAATATTCCCCCCTGGAATGAACTTATTTAGGACCAGGGTCAGTGGATATTCTATTGTGTAGCTTTCATTTTCAAGTTCATTTTTTTGGTTGGTTTGTTTCTTGTTTTTTTTTTTTTTGTCTAGACCTTCCTCCAGATCTGTTCTCTCCAGTTATCTTCAAAAATGAGACAGATTGTCCCTGATAAATTACAAAAAGAATTAAACAACCAGATGTGTGCGAGCTTCTGTCTGGTCCCTGTCCTCATTGTGTTGCGCCAGCAAGAATATCAAAGCCCTTCTCTTTCCATTACTATGACTAACAGAATATGATGGTCTGATTCAGACTAATCCCTGCTAGCAGTACTTGCAGTAACTCTGGAATTTCTCCATGGCATTTCTTCTACAGAAAGATAGTCTTTGGAAGGGAAAAGGCTGCCTCTATTTTAATCAAACAGAAACAGTAAGGACCATTAGCTATCATAACCACTGTGCAAATCGCCCAACAAAGAGAGTGTCCTTCATGAATCAATATGAGGACCCTGCCCTGCCCTGAATGGCAAAGACAAGGGTAACTGGCAAGAAGTTTAAGACAGTTGTGTATACAGAACCAGGACAGTCCCAGACAGAAAGGACCAGTGCCAGAGCCACCAATATTGAAAAAGATGAAGTTCCTTCCCCCGGGAGTGCCCAGCCTGCTGGAGGAGAGAATTTTGCAAATAAAATAAAGTGGAGTAAATGAAACATGGAGAAAAGTTCGAAGGCTGTTAGCAGTCCGAGGAAGAGGAGGCTGATGTTCTTTGGATACATGTATGATAGTTTCACAGGGAAGGTGAGTAGTGACTTAGGCTTTGAAGTGGGAGTAGGAGTTTGCTACACAAGAGGGAGAAGGCAGCTCTAGCAGAAAGAACAGTCTGTCGAAAGGTGAAGAGACATTTAAAAAGGCAAAATCTAATGGAAACAGAGGGACGAGGCCCTGACAGATGTAGCGAGACATGGGGCGTCACGTTGTAAGCTGGTGGTCATGGAAATACCTTCATAAAAATTAGTAGATATTCCAACAATAGAGGGTTATTGGAGATTCAGTTTAAAAAGAACCTCCTACAATTCAGAGCCCCAGTTAGCTCTGATCAGTAAACTTTACTTACTCAAAGATTCATTACTTGGTAACCTCAACTCTTTAGCACAGAGTCAAGATCTAGAAAACTTTCGAGCAATTATATGGGTTTTTCCAAAATTGCTGCCTAAAGATCTCACATGGTTTTCATAAAAGAGAGCTTCAAACTCTTCCTTAGAGTCTATATATGTTTGTGTTGAAAATAATTCCAAAAAACTAGACTATCTTCCAGAATTTAAAGTGGTAAAACTGAAGGGATGGGGAAGGCTGTTAAATTGACTTTGACAACATTTTAAAATAATATTTAAAAACTGAAGAAAGCAAAAAATAAAGAAGTAAAAAATCCCAGTGATCTGACACAATGAGGTTTAATTTTCTTGACCAATGAACATTCAATGTTTAAAGTTTTAGAGCAGTAGGGTGGTAAGTTTCAGTGACAAAATGTGGATAAATATTTAAAATACCTTGCTTTTATGTTAGTGCAGATGAAACAAATTGTACATGTTATTAAAATACTTCTCTAAGCTCTAAAAATCTATGCCGCTGTAATTTGAGAGCTGAATTTCTAAGAAACTGCATGTTATCAAATGATATCATAAAAAGCAACTGTTCAAATTAGCGATCCTCAATCAGAAATGATTTTGCCCTTCAGGGGCCATTTGGCAATTCCTATAAATATTTCTGGTTGTTAAGACTGGGGGAGGGAATGCTACTGACAGCAGGTGGGCAGAGACTGGGATGGTGCTCAGTGTCCTACAATGCACAGGACAGCCCCTCCCCACAATCATAATCCCGCCAGAAATGTCAATGGTGCCAGTGTCAAGAAATCTGGATTTACTTTTTTCAGCTTTTGTTTTAGGTTCAGAGGGTACATGTGCAGGTTTGTTACGAGGGTATATTTCATGATACTAAGGGTTGGGTTTCTATTAAACCCATTGCCCAAGTATTGACCATAGTACCCGATAGGTAGTTTTTTTTTTTTTTTTTGAGACAGAGTCTTGCTGTTGTCCCCCAGGCTGGAGTGCAGTGGCCGGATCTCAGCTCACTGCAACCTCCACCTTCCGGGTTCGAGCAATTCTCCTGCCTTAGCTTCCTGAGTAGCTGGGATTACAGGCGTGCACCACCACGCCTGGCTAATTTTTGTATTTTTGCTAGAGACAGAGTTTCACCATGTTGGCCAGGCTGGTCTTGAACTCCTGACCTCAGGTGATCTGCCCACCTCCACCTCCCAAAGTGCTAGGATTACAGGTGTGAGCCACTGCGCCCAGCCCCAGTAGGCGGTTTTTCAACCCTTACTTTCCTCCCTCCCTCTCCCCTGTAGTAGCCCCCCATGTCTATTATTCCCATCTTTATGTCCATGTGTCCCCAGTGTTTAGCTCCTACTCACAAATGAGAACATGTAACATCTGGTTCTCTGATTCTGTGTTAACTTGTTTAGGATAATGGCCTCCAGCTGCATGCATGTCCCTAAAAAGGGCATGATCTCATTCTTTTTTATGGCTGCATAGTATTCCATAGTGCATATGTACCACATTTTCTTTATCCAATCCACTGTTGATGGGCTCCTAGGTTGATTTCATTTCTTTGCTATTGCGACTAGTGCTTCAATAAACGTGTGAGTGCATGTGTCTTTTTAGTAGAATGTTTTGTTTTCCCCCTTTGGATATATACCCAGAAATGGGATTGCTGGGTGAAGTGGTAGCTCTATTTTTAGTTCTTTGAGAAATCTCCAAACTGCTTTCCGTAATGGTGGAACTAAATTACATTCCTACCAACAGTGTATAAGCATTCTCTTCACTGTAGCCTCACCAACATCTGCTGTTTTTTCACTTTTTAATAATAGCCATTCTGACTGGTGTGAGATGGTATTTCATTATGATTTCGATTTGCAGAAAAAAACTGATTTGCTTGAAGGAAAATGTGTGAGGGTCTTAACTATTCCATACTTATAATATCAAATTTGTTTCTTCCTAGGGGATTTCCAACAATAAAAAGGATCCATAGTTAAATACAGTTGTGTATACATTTTAACTACTAGCTAAAATAATAAATTATGTATCAAACATGAAAAAATTAATGTAAATATTACTAAGCAAACAGTGATGGGAAGCAGCACATAGACGGAATTGAGATCAAGGAGCCCATCAAAATAAGTTGCAGGCCGGGCCTGGTGGCTCACACCTGTAATCCCAAAACTCTGGGAGGCTGGGGCAGGTGGATCACCTGAGGTCAGGAGTTTGAGACCAGCCTGGCCAATATGGTAAAACCTTGTCTCAATTAAAAATACAAAATATTAGCCAGGCACGGTGGTGGGCACCTGTAATCCCTGCTACTTAGGAGGCTGAGGCAAGAGAATCACTTGAACTTGGAGGCAGAGGTTGCAGTGAGCCAAGATCGTGCTACTGCACTCCAGCCTGGGCAACAAGAGCAAAACTCCATCTCAAAACATAATAACAATGAGTTGCAGTGTGGTTCACAACCACCATGATAGGCGAAATCAGCACCAACTCGGAAGGCAGCGGTGTGTTCTTGGCCATAACGTACAACAGCTTCTTTGCCTACATGAAAAGGGGCGGCTCCCAATGACTGGAAATCTCCCTATAGCTGAGAATTATATCTAGAGTTTATAAATCATGTCACTAATTAATCAAACTACATTTGGTTATGAAAATTTGTGAAAGTGAAAAAAAATGGTTCTGCCATGGACTGACCTCAGGGAAAAAGGTCTCAGGCTATTTTAAGGCTTAATGAAAAATGGGGGTTAGCTACATCTATAAATTTATATTTGACTCATATAAACTGATCTCCACAGTCATCTAGTACCAGCTTTAAAAAAAAATCCTGAGATCTTAAGGATCCTCAAGGAAAAAAAATGGCACTTGGGAGAATCAGCTCAATTATAATATTTTAAGATTTATTGACTTTAAAGATTTTTGATAAAATTAAAAAGTTTTTGAAAGTATTGAAATAAGCCATTAATAGACCATTTCATAGGAATCACACATCATCCCACAACAGTTATTTCTAACCAAATGCCCTGTTTGATCACAGTAGGTTACATTTTACTTTTTTTTTTTTTTTGACAAGGTCTGGCTCTATTGCCCAGGCTGGAGTGCAGTGACCCGATCTCAACTCACTGCAACCTCCTCCCAGGCTCAAGCCATTCTCCCACCTCAGCCTCTAGAGTAGCTGGGACTACAGATGCATATCACCACACCCGGCTAAATTATTTTGCATTTTTTGTAGAGAAAGGGTTTTGCCATGTTGCCCAGGCCTATCTTGAACTCATGAACTCAAGAGTTCCACCCACCTAGGCTTCCCAAAGTGCTGGGATTACAGGAGTGAGCACTGCACCCAGCCTGAATACATCTTATTTTCTAGGAAACCTAAAGACACAATAATGCAAATATGCCAAATGTATTGATACATCAATTACTTTATTCAATATAGACCCCAAAATGAAAGAAGGAGGCATGAGAGCAGGCTGAGTTATTCTCCCAAGATGCATTAGATGCATTGTGTTGGATAAAAAGTGAGTCCAGGATGAAGGAAGAAATATTTTATGAGATCCTCAAAGTCCTAATGTGTCCCTAGAGCAGAAGCTAAGGGCCAGGAAGAAATCTGCGATACTTCAGCATTTTGTCATGGCACAAGTGAAGTTGTGACAGGCTCATCGCCAAACCTCCAGATGGCTTCCTAAATGACATCACAGCCATCCTGTGCAGTGGACCATAGCCAACTGCTCTCTGCTACCAGCACTGCTGGGGACTAGGAAAGCAAGGGGTCAAAGTGTGCTGGAGGATGTTATTTTATCCATGTACCTCTAACACTGCGTTTTGTGGATTCCATTCACTGTTATGGACCTACCATTCTACCATTCATGAGGTCAGAAAGCTTTTGAACCACAAGCCACTAGAACTTCAAGTTCTGTGAAGATTGAGGCTAAGCTATACTTGTCTAATGGTTAATACTGAGATTTACCTCTACCGTCTTTCCTAACGTGCAATATAAAACATAATGTTAAATAACATCCCAATAGATTACTAGAATTAACTCCTTTCTCCTAATCAAAATCCCCAACAGTATACAAATATTTAAGTAACTTATTTGGACTTCTCCATAACTTTATGATTGGTCAATAACTCTTGAGAACATTGGGTTTTTATAATATATTTCCGTAACATTACCTCTTCTGAGATAAGACAATGATTAGAAATAAAATTTGTGTTTATTCACTTTCAGATTAATCAAAATGTGTCTCCCTTTTGTTAATATTCAACTAATTTAAATAGTCTTATAACTTTTTCTGAATGTGTATCCTTGTACCATTTATACTTATTTCTTATTTTCATATGGACATTTTGCTTCATGCTCACGGAAAAAAGGATTCATGCTTCTGTTAAGAACTGGTATTGTATTGGATTTCTCTCAGTTCCTTACATTGCGAACCAAAAGCCCATGATCGATTGCAGCCATGATTATGAGAACTTTGGAAATAATTATGAGGTAAAGCCAAGGGGTCAATGTGTCTCAATGAATCCTTTCTTTTTATTGCTGTGTCTAATGTTTTCATTTAGCAACCTGGGATGACGCCTTCTTGATATAAAAGTCAGAAGTATATAGACATAGTAGGTTTCTTAGAGATTATTCCTATTCAAAATGCATACTATTTTTCCTAACAAAAAGGAGCTGGCATCTGAAGAGGTTCAGTGACTCTTACGCAGAAGAAGCTACTGCTAACCAGCAACACCATTGTAAGCCTAGTGCCAGACTCCAGTCCCAGACCCTTCCAGCTGCACCAGGTTATTTTCTTATACACCCAGCAATCTCTTAAAGGTAGAACCACCCTCCCTCTAGATACCTAAATTCCCAAGGGTGTTAGGGGATGCAGGAGCAAGAGTACAAAACGGGACTCTCCTTGCACTGAGTTAGCTGCCAAGTGGGGAAGATGGAAAAGCATCCTCTCCACTCTGCCAGGCGGCAGGGAAGAGAGCCTGGCATCTCTGCACAGCTAGATTGTGACAGATTCCTGCTCAGCTCTCAGGGAGCACTGTCTGATCTGCCTGTAGTGAGTGACAGCTGTGACAGGTGTAAATATCCCGTGTTGTAAATTTCATGAAAGCAATACACCTGGGCCATCTGGCACAACACCGCAGCCTGCTGTGCGCTCCTCCTCCACACCCCAACTGCTGGGAGAAGCACAATGCAAAGCTCACGCCCCGCCAGGGAAGGAAGAGCCAGGGCCACAGACAAGGCCTCCAGACTATCAAAATCATCGCAGCCGCCGGGTTGGAGCCCGGGCTACACGGCAGTTACTGCTGAAGTAAATGTTTTTACATCAGTCAATTTACTCTCCTCAGTGACTCTGTAACTGAGATAATACCCTCATATCACCGAAGAAGACACAGATGCAGAGAAGCTAAGTCACATGCTCAGTGTCTTGAGCTCATCAGCAGCTGATCCCTGATTGAAGCCCAGGTCTGTTGACTCCAGTGCTCGAGATTTTTATGACTACACTAAAACATTTTAATCCTTCGTTTCCTCCCTGTGTTCCTCTGCTCCATTGCTCCAAGAGGTGATAACAAGGGTTTGTTAATATAAGAAAAATTGGTGATCTGTAAACTTTCAGCCCTAGAAAGTCTAAGCAGAACATTTTCTTAGTCTTTTAGAGGCTGCTGTGGGGCCAGACATAATAGTTAAACAGCTGGAAAAATCACTTTAATGACTCACCACAGCTGTACTTTCTTTCTCTCCTTTTTTTTTTTTTTTTTGGCATTGGCTGTTTGGATTAAAACATGGAAAATGTAATGAAATCTTGTAAAGAGGAGAGTGAAAAAATGACAACAGAAGCTGAGTTCTGAAATGCACTGAGATATGATAACAGACAAAAGCCATCATGGGGATGAAGTGCGGGGGAGTATCGCACTGCATCTGCAGAAGAGCAGGCCCCAAAAACCAGGATGCCCTTTATGCCAAACACCCTCACACCTTTATGGATTGTGCTGATGTGTTTAAGCGTCCATCCCCAGTTCGTCTGTGTCAGCTGTGGAACCGTGGGGCTGATGTTTCAGAAGAACTCTGTTTAAGAGAACCTAGGCTATATACCTACTAATTATCCCTATACACAATTCAGGATTTGTGTGGCATTAGGAAGCTGCTTAAAGCAACACTACTAAAGAAACTAACAATAAAAGACAACTTTGAAAAGCATATAATTTTTCAGGAGTTCTCAGGACAAGATCACATTGTAAGACTCCATTATAGTTCCAGCTATGTTTTTACATATCTGACAATGACTGCATCCATGTCCACACAGCACATGCTCAAGCACACTAGGTGATCACTGAAAACATGGTTGTGCAGTTTAGTGGTGCTTACTGTTGACTCTCCTTTCCAGCCAATCTGTTTCCCCCTGGTGTCTCTGAGCTGCCAAGAGTGAGATCTGGATCTCAGCTTCAGGTTCAACTCCACTCAGTCCCTAAGCCAATCCTGCCTAAGGCTTATAGAACATCAGGGCCTCCCTTATCTCATGGAGGTTGTGGAAAATGTCTTGTCAGTTCAGTAATTCTTGTTCCAAAATACCACTACTATGCCTACCAACCCATGTACCAGTTATCTTTATTAAAAAACAAACCATCCCAAAACTCGGTGGTGCAAAATCTCCACTCATTTAACTGGTTATGATTTTGGGTCCTTGCAGTGAGAGTGGGGTGTGGCAGGGACAGCTGGGCTCTGCTCATGTGGTATTGGCTGGGTGTCCTTGTGCACCTGCAGTCAGGTGGCAGCTCAGCTGGTGACGGGCTCATCTTAGGTGGCCTCACTCACCTGCCTGGTGGTCACCTGGGGCTGTTGGCTAAGGCACTTCAGCTCTCTTCCATGTGGCCTCTCATGCTCCAGGAGGCTGAGCAGGACTCTATTTCATGATGGAAAAAGTGTTTCAAGGAGGCAAGAACAGAAACTACAAGGGCTTTTGAGGCCTCACTCTGAAGTCATGCCCTGTAATGTCCATGTCATCTACTGGGCAAAGCAAGTCACAAGGGCAGTCCAGATTCAGGGGTGGGAAAATAAGCTCCACCTCTTAGTGGGAGGGGCCTCAAAGAACATGTGGACATTTTTAACCCAACTCAATATGCTTATAGCATTAGGTGATGCCCTCTGTTCTGCATGTCTACATCCTTTTTTTTTTTTTTTTTAAGAGATAGAGCCTCACACCGTTGCCTAGTATAGAGTGCAGTGGCACAATCACAGCTCACCGCAGTCTCATTAAAGGCTGGGCTCAAGAATCCTCCTGCCTCAGACTCCCAAGTAGCTGGGTCTACAGGGCACAGCACCATACCTGACTGATTTCTTAATTTCTTGTAGTCACAAGATCTTGTTATGTTGCCCAGTCTGGTCTCAAACTCCCGGCCTCAGGTAATCCTCCCACCTTGGCCTCCCAAAGCACTGGGATTATAGGCATTAGCTGCAGTGCCGGGACCCATATATCCACATTCTTTAACTGTGATATTGAATCTATTTTCTGGTGGACATTGGTTAATTCACCGGGTCTAGAGTCCTATTCTGAGTCACAGCCTGTTGCATTCTGGCTGTCCCCTGTTCCTCAGAGAATAACTGTAACCCTAGAGCCTGTCTGGGCTCTTGTTCCAAACAGAAGCATGTTCTGATCATGACAAAAACACTGTGGGTTTTTCTTTATCCATAAGATCAGAGCACCTATATGTTAAAAGATTATTCATCCAACAAATATTTACTAGGCTCCTGTTACGTGTCGCTAGATATTAGATACTTGAGTTTCCGATCTTTTGGAGAGATTGGATATATGCATAGGTAAATTGCATTGTGATGTAATAATTCTGGTACAGAAATAGGAGTAACAAGCTGAAGGGCACCCAGGGCTAGGGAAGCTTGACAAAAGAGGGGATCTTTAAATTGGGTCATTAAGGGTGAATAGGAATTTCTCAATGAATAGTAAAGAAAGGAATTTCAGGTGAAAGAAACTGCAAAGTTATGGTGAGAAACTAGATCAGATTTAGAAAAACCTAAGCCCTGTTTTATGTGGACATGGAGAAAGGCAGAGGGAGGCAAGACTCGGGAGGTTGGTTAAGTGATTTGGGAACCACCTAAGTGGAGGGGTTGGGTTTTTATCCTGCGGGCTAGAATCCACCTCCTAGGTGTTCCCAGACTTGGCTGATCCTCAGATAGCCGGGATGTCAGCCCAGACCAGTGAATCAGGAAAGCCTTGGAGCCTGGGAGTCTGGTTATTAAAAACTACCCCGGTTCCTCTGATGACCAGCCATGCTGGGAGGCATGCCGTCATCTAACAAGGGAGCTCACAGAAGGGCTTAAAATAGGGAAAGAGAGGCGATGACATTGAGGTTTTGGAAAAGTGAGCCCAGCAGCAGTGTGGAGTTGCACGGCAGTGTGGAGAGAATGGGAAACCAGGGGTAAGGCTGGTGCAGTGACCCAAGGAAGACAGCAGTGGTGAGGGTCTGCACCAGGAGCACAGTTCTACGGGGAAGAGGAGAGTCAGGCTGAAGAGACATTTCTGTGGAAGAATCATCTGAATTTTATAGGGAAGAAGGTGAGGGAAATAAGAGAAATAAAGAAGAACACTACGGTTTCCAGCTCTGAAGTGCAAGTAGACAGGAATGCCATTAGATGGGGTCCGGCGTTTAGAAGAACTGACTTGGAGACAAATGAGGAGGCATTTCCTCTCGGACATGTGGAGTTTGAGATATCAATGAGACACCAGGGTGGATTTGTCCACATAATAGTTGGAAATGTGGATTTGAAGCTTACGAAGTAGGTAAAGAGCCCTAAATGTAAAGACATCCACCAAGAGATGGTAGCGGAAGCCATGGCAGTAAATGAGGTGACTGGGCATCACGCAGAGTCCTAGTTCTCAGACTCCGAGGTGCACAAGAATCATCTATGAAGGCTGCAGAAGGTGCACTCCTTGAATCTCTCCCCAGGGATTCTGATCCAAGAGGACAGGGATGTGGCAAAGTGGTGAATATTTGTAACCAGTAGTCTACAACCATATTCTTAAGAAACACAGATGTAGACAGAACACAAGGAATTATCTGAGATAATTGCAGAGAGCACCAGAAAATAAGAGAGGCAAAGAAAGAGAATCTGGCAGTAGGCAGTGTTGTGGGCTCAGGGACGCCCCCCGCCAAATTCATATGTCAAAGTTCTCACCCCTGGTACCTGGGAATGTGGCTGTATTAGAAGATATGACCTTTAAAGAGGTAATTACAGCAAAATGAGGTTACAAAGGTAGCCAGTGTGATGGGTGTCCCTATATGTGCAAGAAATTTGGACACAGATATCCAGAGAGGGATGACTATATGAAGATACCAGAAAAATATGGCCATCTGCAAGCCAAGGAGAGGCCTCAGAAGAAATCAACTCTACTGACACCTTGATCTTGTACTTCCAGCCTCCAGAACTGTGAGGAAATAAGTCTAGGTTGCATAAGCCACTTGGTCTGTGGTACAGGGTTTTGGAAGCCCTGGCAGACTGTTAGAGAAGCTAAGGTGCAAAAGCAGGAAAGTCAGAAATGAAAGCAAGAGGAAGTGTACCAAAAAGATGCGGGAAGGCATGGCCCACTGTGTCTCATTCTACAAAGAGGTCAATGACAATGAGACCTGGAAAGAGGATAATTGTGAGGTGATGTTCGCAAGACCAGCATCAGCAGAATAAGGCCATAAGGAGGAGATGACTAGAAGCTGGGCACACAAGGAGCTGTGGACTCCTCTTTCCAGAAGCATGGCAATTGTGAACTGGGCTTTAGGCTGAGGCCTTGAAGCAGGGCACACTTGAGAAGAAATGTTTTTAAGATGGAAGAGTTAAACATATTTAAGAATAAGAAAAAGGACCATCAGATAAGGCTATATGGAAGATTTTTTTTAAAGTTTTTGTTTAAGTCTGGGGTCAACTGGAAAGTTGTAAGGAAGCTAGAACACCAGGGTAGATAGAGAAGAAGGAGAAAGGAAGGAAGAATGAGGAGGAGAAGGGGTATATAGTATGGGAGAAAGAGGAGGTTACACGTTTTTCTACCACAGAGAAGCAGCAAAAAAAAGATGGATGAAATGATAAATGAATTTGACATGGAAGATTGGGCAAGGAGGAAGTTGACAATCTGTGCGCCTGAAAATAGGCATATTCTTTTCTAGTAGAGTAAAAAGTGTGGTTATCAGCTGGGAGAATTAGGGTCTGCGGGTGGGTGAATTTTTCTTTAGATTAGCTGTACACACTTTGAATGGGAACCTGTATGCTTACAGTGAAGTGTGATGATGCAGGATAACCTAATTTTATCCAATTCCCCAAATAAACAAAAGGGACATTGGACCCACCAACTTCTATTATTTTCTCTTCAGTGGACTAATTGCATCTCAAATGGGTCCAACCTGGCTGCACAAGGAACTGTTTGGTCAACACAATACTTAAAATTCAAGGGTATGAGATGAGAAAGAGAACCATCTGGGCATGTGAGTGTGCAACCATTTTATGCAATTGAGGATGGGCTTTCCTGCATTTAGCTTCCAGCTTTTCATTGAGTTTCCTATCTACGTCAATACAGTTGTGGGTAGCTATAAGAGAGGCAAAAATAAAGAAGATTTAGTGTTTGGTCTTATACAGGTCATAATCTAATAGGAAAAAGAGAAATTGCATTCAGCATAAGTGCTGTCCTGGAGGAGGGCTTCAGAAGCCCTCAGTGGCTTCTTTCAATCCTGATACCCACTCACCTTGTGATAAGAGCTTTGCTCTCTGTTAGCCACTGCTTATGAACTCAGTTGCTTTAATGGGGACCCCTGAAAATTTTTACAAAAGGGCTTCAAGACCAAAGTAGTGAATTCCTAATAATGGAATTTCAGACTCTGTGACAACTGAGTGCAATTTGGAGGAAACAGGTGTTGCTTGATGCCGGTTAATCAACCTCTCCATATTCACAGATGTATCAGGACCCAGGGTTTGACTGACCTGTCACATGGTCTGACAGCGCCTACAGTGGTTGAAATCGGGACCACCCAAGCACACCCAGGATCCACTGGCATCTTTCACTGTCAGGGTGGCCATCCTGTCCTTGCCATGCAAAAGGCATCCCACTCCTCAGACCAACCACATTTGTAGCTGGCCAATCTATTTCTTGGCAACCAGAAGGCAAGCTGTTGCATCTGCCAGCCCTCCCCACCTGTTATGTGTCTCGCTCCCCAACAGCTGGTGAAAACCAATATCACACTGAGCGCCAGCCCCTGCTGTGGTGGTGGACTTGGCCGGGGAATTAAACACACACATGTTCATTCAGGCTCCTTCTGATTTTGCAAACACATTGTGACAAGTAGCACACCATCCTGAGAAGAACCACAAAGCCTTTGGTTTTCATTACATGAAACGCCTCTGGTTAAAAATAAAAAAAGAGAGAGAGAGCTATTTTCTTTAAGCATCATGCAGTATCGTACTGCAGATTTTGGGCGGAGCCTCATGCACCCTGCCTGGAGGGTCTGTGTGCACCACTCTTCAATGCTCTGAGCTGAATTCTGCCTTGAGTTAGGCCAACCCCCCTAGCAGCAGGAAGCCAGAATGGGAATCTTTTCCCAGACATAGCCCAGCAGGGCTAAAATTTTCCCAGGCAGTGGAAAAAAACGATGATCTTCCCTCATCTCTGGCTCCATTTATCTATAAGGCAGCTATTTGACATGTTGCATTCCTCTGTTGTAAATAAATCCAATGATGTGAGCCTTCCAGGTTATAGTTTTACTGTCAACTATCAGGTGTCATGATCCGTATCTTGATACAATAAATTTAAGACTCTAGATCTAGTTGGGTCCACCTGTCAAAATAGCCAGGCTGTGCTGATGAATAGCCTGGCAGGACTGGTACTATGGCCTTAAAGAGACAAGCAGTATAAAAATCAGTAGATGTTTTATTTAGTTACCATGATTTTTAGGGTAACTTGCAAGGAGATAAGAAAAACAGCAAAGGGCAGACACATGGGAGTCCTTTTTGTCACTTTCTATGTCTAAGTGTTCCACTATTCTCTGCTGAAACACACTTATTGGAATCTGTTTTAAGTATTCTCAACCTGTTTTTTCTGCAGCCGCCATCACCCCTTCCACTCCTTAGATTTACCTTGTGGTATCTTTATGTTAGTCCTAGAAATCCTGAATGTGGGAAACACCCAGTGATTTATACATAAATGTGCAGTGAAGCCAATATGACCCCTGTTTCCATTGCATTTTCAACCTGATCTCTGAGCAAAGAAAGGAGAGGGAGACTTTGACCTTGTCTTATTTACCTTTGATTACTTTTCTTTGCCTATGGAGTAAAATCCAAATTCCTCAACATTCAGTCAACAAACATTTGAGCCCTTAACATTTTTATAGTATGGCCCTAATATATAGTATAACCCTATACAAAAAAGAAAAGCATCTATCTACAGAAGATATGGCAGACAAACCATAAATGTTTCCTGAAAGAATAGGAGAGTGACCCAAGGGGGAAAAAAAGGCACATATTATTTCCCTATTTGTGTTAGTGGCCTCATTGCAGAGATAAAGTATTTATTTTAGAGTTACCATAACCATGTTTAAATCAATTAAGAAATAGGCAAGGAGCAGGAAGATAGAAATCAAGAGTATGTTCATTGCTGAGAATAACCAAGTTGGAAAATGTGTGTTGTGAGGCAATAATGGAGTTTCTAACACAAAACCCCAGAATAAGACAAACCCACCTAGTCGCAAACACATGTTGAAGTTGTCCCCAGGAATCTTCTCAAGCAGAGAAGCAAACTATAATATCTGGCAGCCTGGCTCCCGAGAGAGGAGGATAGGGGAAAGGGTCAAGCTATGCCCACCCAGTTTTTTGTCCCAGTCTCACCAATCAGGGTGAGAAGCCAGAGTGTTCAGGGAAAAATTCCTCCCTCCTGGGCACGAGAGGAGCTGGGAATAAGTGTTCCTCTCCCATTATAATTCATCATGAAAGCTGTCTGACACAATATGTGGTTACCTGACAAAGGACTAGTGTGGACAAGAATTTTAGGGGAGGTACCATGCTGGAGTAAGGGAACAAACCAGGCCTGAGTCTCAAAGGGAGGACTTGAATGGAGCAAGAGGCATTCTTAGGACTGGAGGGAAGGTATTGGAACGGTGTTTGGGGAAGCTGGAAGCGAGCATAGAATTATCTGGCCTGACTTCCCCTCCCCATCCCTATCTCATCAGGCTCCAGCCACACCATTCGCACTCATCACTCCCTACACATGCCTCTCACATCCCAGTCCCTGTATCTCTGGCTGCACTGGTCTGTGTGGCTGCCTGCCCTCCCACCTCACCTCTACCTGTAGGTACCCTAAAGATCCTCCATCATCCACCTCAAAGGCTGCTCCTCCAGAATGCCCTTCCAGACCTCCTTGCCACCCCCTCCCTAAATGGAATTCTATGCTCCATTCCTGGATCTCACCTGGATTTTCCTTCTGGCACTTACCATATTCTGCACTCTTTCTTAGTCATTATTAAATACACCTGTCTCCCTAACAAGACTATAAAATCTGGCCGGCCACGGTGGCTCAAGCCTGTAATCCCAGCACTGTGGGAGGACAAGGTGGGCAGATCACTTAAGGTCAGGAGTTTGAGACCAGCCTGGCCAACATGGTGAAACCCCATCTCTACTAAAAATACAAAAATTAGCTAGGCACAGTGGTGGGCGCCTGTAATCCCAGCTACTCTGGGAGGCTGAGGCAGGAGAATAGCTTGAACCAGGAAGGCAGAGGTCGCAGCGAGCTAAGATGGCACCACTGCACTCCAGCCTGCACAACAAGAGTGAAACTCCATCTCAAAAACAAAAACAAAAAAGACTATAAAATCCAGTAGGATAAGGAACCTGTCTTTTTATCCCTCAAAAGTCTAGGACTGCTTGTGTTCAATGAATGTATTTTTAATTATAGGAATCTCAAGCATTGGAGTATTACTTGGATAAAAATTAATCTTCTTAGTTTCTGAAAAATCCTTCATAACCACACATCTTAAAAGAAGCAGAGAAGCTTCACCAGCCCTGCCTTGTTTGTCTTATAATTAACAAAAGAGCAAGTTAGGCCTTTTAAAAAACTGCAAGTTGGATTCCCAGACTCAACTGCTATCACTATCTCTAGCTCACATGGTGAAATTAACTCAGGTGTCTTTAAGGTTAGGTATTTAGGCACAGGAAAAACTATTTATGGTTACTTTGGACTTTAAAATTATTATGATTTGTTAAAGATACTAATCAAAACTCTTTATGTTTTACCTAAGCTTTTAAATTTAATTTATAATTCAATAAAGATCTTTAAAGATTTATAATCTTATATATTTTAATTATTTATAACATATTATTTATAATATGATAAATTTAAAAACCATTCATAAGGAGTCTTCTACAACTTCATTAATTGCCTTAAACTGCATACTTAAATGTAATATATTTGATTTCTCTTATGTTCTTCAACTGCCTCTAAGAACTAGAACCTTTCTAAAATATGTTTGCATAAATGAAATAAATTTAATGCATAAGCTTGACAACTTTTAGATTTTATTAATATATTAATACTGTTTACACGATTAGTAAACTTAGAACTTTTGAAGCACAATAATATCAACTATATTTTACATTTGAATCATGAGGGCTATTTGTTAGATATCTTGATTTGGCCACTATTTAAATTGCCCAAACATGTACAAATAGATGATTCTTAAAGAGAGTATTGTGGGTCAGGTTTACTTAGTTATTTCTGTAACTATGCTCATCATTCCCAGGATTAAATGGTGTTTATGGATTTCCAAACAAGTGGGGGTTTCCAGCTTGTTCCAATTTAGTTGACCAAGATTAATTATTAACCAGAGAATTTTGGGGCTGAGGTGCAGAAGAAATCAAACTCCTGGGCTTCAGCAATCCTCCTGCCTCAGCCTCCCAAAGTGCTAGGATTACAGTTGTGATCTGCCGTGCCTCGCCCCCAATTCTTAGAGATAGTAATATGACACTCCATTGGGCTCTGCATATCTCTCATGGCTTTGTGAAACTCTTTAGTTCTAATATTAAAGTCACGCTATTAAAGACAAACACATGGAAAAGACGTTTTACACTGCAGCTCCTGACCTTACTCAAACTGGACTCCCTCTTTGAAAACTCATGTTCCCTCCCTTGCTCTGCTTTTTCCATGGCACCTACCACCTTCAATCATGATGTAACATAACATCACTTGATGATTAAATTTTCTCCCCACCAACTAGAATATGAACTCCATGAGGGCATGGAGTTTTGCTGTCTTGCCCAATGATATATCCTTGCACCTAGAACAGTGCTTGATAGTTATTAGGCACTCAACAAAGATATGTTGAATCACTGATCATGAGAGAAATGCAAATCAAAACCACAATGAGATACCATCTCACGCCAGTCAGAATGGCGATTATGAAAAAGTCAAGAAACAACAGATGCCGATGAGGCTGTGGAGAAATAGGAACGCTTTTACAATGTTGGTGGGAATGTAAATTAGTTCAACCATTGTGGAAGACAGTGTGGCAATCCCTCAAAGATCTAGAAGCAGAAATACCATTTGACCCAGCAATCCCATTACTGGGTATGTACCCAAAGGAATATAAATTATTCTATTATAAAGCTACATGCATGTGTATGCTCACTGCAGCACAATTCACAATAGCAAAGACATGGAATCAACCCAAATGGCCATCAATGATAGACTGGATAAAGAAAATGTGGTACAAATACACCATGGAATACTATGCAGCCATAAAAAGGAAGGCGATCATGTCCTTTGCAGCAACATGGATGGAGCTGGAAACCATTATCCTCAGCAAACTAATGCAGGAACGGAAAACCAAATACCACATGTTCTCACTTATAAGTGGGAGCTAAACAATGAGAACACATGGAAACATGGTGGGAACAACACACACTGGGACCTGTCAGGGAGGGATGAGGGGAGAAGAGCATCAGGAAGAATAGCTAATAGATGCTCTGCTTAATACCCAGGTGATGAGTTGATCTGTGCAGCAAACACATGTTTACCTATGTAATGAACCTGCACATCCTGCACATGTACCCTGGAACTTAAAATAAAAGTTGATGGAAAAAAAGAGAAAACATGTATATTAAAGCAATGAAAAAAGAAAATCTATTTACCACAATTACCATATTTTAAAAATTAACTTTGTGTCTTAAAGTGGCCAGGGTCTAAGATATACTCTTGTTTTCCTAAAATAGAAATACAAAAGCTACACTACTAGAACATCAATAAAAGCCCAAAGCCTGATGTGTAAACATATTAAATATGTTATTTCTATTGCATAGGGGATTGTTCAAACCTTTGAGTTTGCTAACAGTATTAAACAGAACCAAGAGGAAAATTTATAAAAAAGGAAGGTATGACTATAAGCTGGATTGGCTATGTAATTTGCAGAGCCCATTGTAAAATGAAAATATAAAGCCCTTGTTCAAAAGTTGTGAAGAATTTCAACATGGCAACAGTGGAGTATTAGACCAAGCATGGGCCCCATCTAACTAAGCCAGGGCCCTGTGCAACAACACAAATCACGTACCCATAAAGCCGGCCCTGAATGTGAGTGCATATATGTACATGTGGTGGCACATGGTACATGGAACGATAATTGTTTTTGTGCATCTTTCTGACCTACTTTGTTGTAAAGTTGTGGACAGGGTTTGCATGTTCTTTATCTTTCTACCTCCAATACTTAGCACAGTGTCTGGCAACAAACCAGTAGATGTTTGCTGAATGCACATAGAAATGGTTATAAAAGAATGCTTTGACAAAGAGCATTTCAAATTCAGAATACGCTTTTAGACTCTGTTATCCCATGGATGGACTATGGGCATCACTAAAGGCATAAGGTATTTTCAGTATTCATGTCTTATTTGGGAATCCTCGGGTCTGGAATCATTCTCGAAAACATCCAGTAAAGAGTCATTAGCTATTCTTAGAGCACCTCTTTTTTCACAGAGAGAATTGGCACCAAGCAAGAGCGAGGAACCAGACACCAGTTATGGAAAATGTATCCCCACATCACATCGGGAGCCTAGCTCACAGACACTGCCTATGGAAATTGCAGAAATAGATCAACTGCAAAAGGTTACATAGGGGGCCCATATGTTACATTAATTCTCAGTGAATAAATTACACGTAAAATTTGAGAACATGTTTTCATCAAATAAGTATTTGTGAAGATAAATTTTAGCTTATGCCATATGCATAATGCGGTTGCATTGCTACCATATGAATAAGTATCTTCATAAAGATACTTTGTGAACAAATCAAGAAGACAAAATAGTTGTTACTAATATTTAGTTTTGTCCTTAAACACAGAGCTCAGTAGGATCTCTTTCTATTGACATTTTATTCTCTATATCCCTAAAATAATCTTAATCATTTAATTACAGAATTAATCAGTAAGGAATTTAAAACTAAGCTGGAAAGGCGTGAAACAGGATAGATGGAGCGGAGCAATGCTGTTCCCTGCGGTGAGAAAGAGAGAAAGGTGTTGCATCACCAAGGGCGAGTCTGGGTGACCGAGAGGTCACAACTTGATGAGTGAAGATAGAGTCAAGACAGAAAAATAAAGTCAGGAAAGCCAGTGCTGATGGGGAAACAAACATGCAAAGCATAACTCACAGTTCTGGAAAACCCCCAGTATTTTCAGTCTCTGTCAGGACATAAATAAGATTTGCAGTTAACCATTTGACCATTTACCTGAGGCCAGTAAGTCTCAGGGAAAAGCGTGTCCACGCGTGCCTCCTTGGTGGGTTCTAGAATTCTTCCCTCTTCCATTCCCCAAATGTTTATCAGTCTGATGTCTGAGCAGGGGAATGCAGAGCAGGCAAGACGCATAGAGAGGCCCCAGGAAGGGAAGTCTATGCATCATTCCTTGTGTCACTAAGACAGCACTGCAGAAGAGGTAAGCACAGAGCATGGTGGATCAGACGCAATTTTTTTTGAGACAGCTCTGTCGCCCGGGCTGGAGTGTCATGATATGACCTCGGCTCACTGCAACCTTCATCTTGCGGGTTCAAGTGATTCTCCTGCCTCAGCCTCCTGAGTAGCTGAGATTACAGGCATGCGCCAACATACCCAGCTAATTTTTCTATTTTTAGTAGAGATGGGGTTTCACCATGTTGGCCAGGCTGGTCTCAAACTCCTGAGCTCAAGTGATCATCCGCCTTGGCCTCCCAAAGTGCTGGGATTACAGGTGTAACATTCCATGGGATAGGGAAAAGCCAGAGGGAGCCTCTTAGCCTCCCAGAACACAGTCACATCCAGGAGGTACTTCTTTCTCCTATCTCTGCCATAGCCAGGCAGGACGAGCAGACCCAGAGTGGTTGGAGCAGAGGAAGCGGGAGGGTCTTGCACAAGGTATGAAAAGCAGAAGACAGCAGCAGCTGAAGCAGCACAATACAGCGACATCCTGGGAGGGAGGCCAGGGAGCTCGCTCAGCTTAGCGGGCTTGGGGATCGAGAGCAAGCTGCAAGATGTCCCCATGAGTCTGTTTCCTTGCTTGTAAGATGGACCAGGAGGTTTCTGCACCATCTTCACTCACTTAACAAACATGATGATTCGTCTGCAGTTTTCTAGTAAATTCAAGGGTTGTTAGGTTTTTCCTTTGAAGATAAAGTGTTTTCATAAAACATAAGGGAAAAACTGCACTCCAGTTGCTGGAAGAATGCTGCCTTAAATAATTTGCAAATCCTAAATAAATAAAGAATACTTTCTAAAATGTCTTTCAGAACAAAATGGAAATAAAAATACAAAAAGAATGCAACTCACAAATAAAGTCAAGCAAGATTTGAGAAAAAAAAATCAAAGACTCAACATAATATAATGCAGGGAAATTTTTGGCAAGCAGAAGAAAATGTGGAAGTACTTTGTCTCTCTTACAACCCAGCCCTAGGCTAGACATGAAAATCCGGTAATGATAAATTAGGCTAACCCAGTAAGTGGGTGTATGTACACCTGACATTTGTATCAATAGGATATACACTAGACACAAATTATCCAGACTGTAGTTCTGCAAAGACTAGTTAGAAAAAAGATCAAAGCCTATTTGAAGTGAAAGAATTGTAATTTTAAAATTAAGGGAAAGGACAACAGATTAAATTGAGTAGTTCCTGTTGCCCGCTATGATAAACCTTCAAAGTCCTCATTACTCTTTCTTCTAAAATCAACAACCAGGACAACAAAAGAGAAGGGAGTGGGTGGTGTGTTGCTCTGTCTTTACTGGGGGAAGGGAAGTCTAGTGGGAATTTAGAAGGAAGCCACTTCTCAATTTTCTGGCCCTACAAGGATGCAAATCACTTCACATTTTTACCCCTAATAAATTTACCTAACTTGCCCAGATAAGGGATTGCTATCCTTGCCAAAGCTACAAAACAATGCCTCTACATTCCACTCAATACACAATTGGAATTCAGGAAAATAAGTGAATGCATCTTAATTGTCCCACAGTTCCTAGCACCCTTGGGAGTTCTTCCTTTATTCGATGTAATATCCTTTATAGATACCAGAGCAGTGTGTTCCCATAGTTAAGGCAGAATAAGTATCTGATGAGTGAACGCATGAGCCAAAGAAGAAGAGAATGTGGGAACCGAAGAGAAACTCATTGATAATGATGGTGGGTTACAGGAATGTTTAAATACATCCTCTGGCTTCTCCTCACTTCTCCAGGTTTCCAGTCTTGCCAACCTCTCTAGCCCTCCTCTGATACCTCCAATTTCTGGGCTCTTTTGTCAGGGAGAGGTGGCCAAAAGAATGCTTAAACATGTCAATTTTATTATGTTTAAGAAAACTTGTCAAAATGGATAAAAATTTGTTTTTAATCTGGGGCTAAACCAGGAATGTAAGTCTTCTTTATTCCTTTAATTATTTCTCAGTTTCATGTTACTAAAATAACAAAGAAATGGCTGTGGCACTATTAACCATCTTTGGTTCCTCTGCCTGCAGTCTCAAATTGTCAGTGGCATTGCAGCAAAACATACAAAATCTTGTGTTCCAACAATTTGATTTTTTCCGATTTCCTCTATAATTTAGTTTGTATGATTTCCCCACAAAGCCTCTTAGTTTTATCCCAGCCAAGACCCTAAAATGTTTTTCTCGTAACCCCCTCTCCTCCTTTGCCTCTCCAATGCCATTTAGATGCTACCTGTGATTTCATGACTCACACATTCCTTCCTCTGACATTCTGTAGCTTTTGAAGAAACACAGCTCAGCCCTTACTGTGTGCTGCTGCTCCAGAGTTTCCTCTGATGATCTAGTAAGTTGTTGTTTTCCTTGTGCTTGGCATGCAGAGCTCACACTTACTTGCTAATCTATTAAAACCACAGATCTGTCTCTGTTTTCTAAGAGAAATGTTCTCAGTGTTATAATTTGTTCCATATCATGTTGGCTCTCTCCAGCAAAAATAACATCCAAGGTCACAGCTTTCTGAGTTTCTGCATCCCTAAAACTCTGTGACACAGCACTTCTGCATTAAAAGAAGCAGTTATGTTTCTCACCAAATTGGGATCCTCTCTCTTGAACAAAAATTGTACAATATTCTTGCATTGGGCATCATTTTAATTCACTTTGTCATTTTTCATTCATTTGCATATTTATATGCCCAACAAACACTTAATAAGCACCTGTGTAGAAGATACTTTTTAAAGTCATTTCTCTCTTTTTTTTTTCTGGAGAATGTCAATACGCTGAATATAATTTTGTCTGATAGATGTTGCATAAACACATAGGTACAAATGACAGAGAAGCCACAGCAAATGACAGCTCTGGATCTACAGTGTGGTTCTCGGAATCAGCTCACTGCTTTAAACTTCACATGCTGTGAGTTTACAGCTGCATTGGCTAAGTCCACATTGCTGCCTGACATCACCAGTGTCTACAGAAGAAAGTCTCCTGACAGTGTGTTGACAAAATATGCTCAATTAGGGTTGATTAGGTCCATTTGGCATTTGTTTCCATTTGTGTCTGCCTTTTGATGTCTAGAAAAGTGCCTCTTGTTAACCAAGTCACCCTGTTTGAAAGAAACTCCCTCTGATTTGGAGCCTTGCATGGCCAGACTTGCTTCCTCTCCTTTCACTTGGTTTAAGTGAGGTCTGGTCTGTAACTTCAAGGCTGCAGACTTCAAGGGGTTGGCCAGAGAAGGGAAGGAAGGAAGCCAACCTGGGACCATCCCCTCTGCTCCTGGATGCTACTTCAGTGGCTTCTTGGTCCATTAGTATGTTTGTTTTCTGTTTTAAATCTTCATCTTCTCTCTCTCTCACCAACCACTTCATGGATTATTTGAGGGTGGAGTTGTAGTTTTTACAAGGAGTAATTTCACCTGATACTTTTATGATCATTGAGAATCTAGCCCTGGAGGAGTGGAGTCAGGAAGCCTGAGTTCCAGCCTCGACTGTCAAAAATTAGCAAAACACAACAGCTGAGGCGAATATTAGCATTACATGTATTTAATCAAGTTAATTTTTCTCTTTTTACAGCAAAATCAAACAAAAGAGAAAACAAGAAATTGAGGTGATTTATAGAGAGATATACAACAGGTTAAAAAATAACATGAATAATGTAAGAAAATATAAGGAAAGATGAACAAAATTAACAATATACAAAATGTATAACTATGACACTAGTTGGGTTTTTAATTAGTTGCTAAGATTCCTAGTAATCAAAGCGAGAAATGTTACTTAGATCTTATTTTCTCAACTCTCTCATCTGTAAATTTGGAACCAAAAAAACACACCAAAATTATTAGGCGATCATGGGTGTAAACATTTGTTACCTAGTGTCTGACACTGACTAACCATTCAAAAATTAAATTTGAATTTAAATATTTCTTGAGCAGCTGCTATATAGCAAAGCCACTTTAAGAGTTTTAACTTCTATATAATGTCAAAATGTTATTTCATTAACTTGTATATTAGAGCTATAATATGTTAATATATTTGTTGCCTCTAATTATCTCATTACCAACAGTGGCTAGCAAGCAGATCTCAGTATGATTTTTATTTCCCTATGAAGAATTTGTAATTTTTAAAATCACCTTCACTATTTCTATAAGTCTAGGAAAAACTTGTTCCAATAGACATTATACACATTAAAAATATGTAATCTTTAATGTGGTCTTCAATGATATCACATATTTCTAGTTCATATTTTAT
Source organism: Homo sapiens (assembly GCF_000001405.40). Taxonomy (NCBI): domain Eukaryota; kingdom Metazoa; phylum Chordata; class Mammalia; order Primates; family Hominidae; genus Homo; species Homo sapiens. The sequence goes on along the minus strand of NC_000010.11, from coordinate 35,923,775 downwards.
AAAAGTTGGAATAGGCTGTATTTTACTGGTAGTTTTTCTTATTTAATGAATAATTAACAATTAATCATTTGATTATTCAATTCACACATACAAAAAACACACCCACACAGAATATACACCTACACACGCATACATACACACACATACACATGCAAACACTCAGTAATGGCTAGAATTGATAATTAACATTTTCGAAGATGAAGAAATAAAAGTTTGAGATGACTGAATTTATTTACAGTGCATCTGCTTCATGCAATGCAGAGGAAACTGCCTCGCACATCTCACATTAACCTTGCTATAGCTTGCTATTGCTTGTGGTTTAATCTACATGTGACAAACACTGTCTTTGTTACTTTCCTGGATTTTCACATGTGCTGAACTTAGACAGCTGGGCATTACTCTGTCAGATCCTATCATGCTTTGAAAAGAAACTTTCACAGTCCGTAATGAAAGATTAAACTATTTCTCACTATATCATATAATTTTTAATATTTTGGGAGAGACCACAACTTCAGAAAAGTCTGAAAGGGGTGATTGTTAGACTTAGAAATTGTACTGTTGCTGCTGGGAAGTGGGGGAGGCTGCATAATCTTCCTTTCAACAGGCTTCTAAGAATGTCTCTAATGCGCTTTGGTAATGTCCTTTAGTGCTACACTGTTCCTCTCTCCACTGGTCCCAAGACTTTGTGACTCTGTTTAATAAGCATGAGATAGTAACAATCACACCAGATTGTCCATCTGTAATTTGAGACTCCTGGAAGAAAAGTAATACACAGTAGCTTATGTTGGACTTAAATAGCTGACTTTCTTTCAGAGTGTTGGTGACAGAGGAGATGTTTCTCATGCCCTGTCTGAATGGCATGTCCAAAGAGTTAGGCTTCACAGTCAGGCAAATGTGGGTGCAAACACCAGGACTTGTTAGTGGTAAGAGTCTGGGCAAACAGTTTAACCACATTGAGCCTAACCTTTCCCGTTTAAAAAATAAAAATAATACTACATAGCCCACAGGATGCATTTGAAAGTGACTGGCCCATAACAGGCTCTAAAAAGAGTGGTTTGATTTTCTCAATTTATTATTCATGGTACCAAAACAATTATTGCAGGGAAAATGTCTTATAGAGACAAAGAAATGATTTAATTGTTAATTGTTAATTTAAATTAAATAATTTAATTTTTACTCTTCAACTGTCTTCAACTGTCTGCTTTAGTAAATTAAAAAGAGTCTTCGAAAAGTTTAAGAGAAGGTTTTCAAACTAAAAGCATCTTTTTATTGATCTCAATATTGTTAGTAATTAATAATAGCGTCTTGATCAGTTCTAGATTTTTGCCTAACAGAAAAGTAATGTTATTTATTGAACACGAAACTTAAAAGATAATGTAACCCCTTATTAATTTTTGAGCATTTTTCAGCTGTTAGTTTGGAATAAACATCACAGAATGTTTAACCCTGCCCCCTAGCAATACATCACCCAAGTGTAGATAATTTCGGCAACACATAGAGGCAACGTTTGTGAATTGTGTACGATTGATAGTTTTGACTTGGTTTTGGTTTCTGCTACATCTGCTTCTATGTAAGAGATAGCTCTAGTTCATTTGAGTGTCCGTGACAGTTCATCTGAAATCTGGCGGAGGCGAAAACGCCAGCAGCTGCGGCGAGCTTCAGACCGACAGCGGGACTTGTATTGAGAGCATGACAGCGATGGCTTCTCACTTACCTGGAATTCAGTGGTTCCAAGTGGTTGCATTTTTCCCCCAAGCATGAGCCAATCGTCTCATGAATAGACTTAGAAAATTACAGTGTCACATATTTACAAAAACTTTGACAGGACTCCTCTTTCTTTCAAATGTGATTCACTCCTTTGATAAGTGGCTGGTAGGTGTTAGGCTTGATTTATGCTAAAAATCAATTCCATTGTTGTAATCCAATCTATTTGATGTGGATATTGACATCTGCACAATGTGCAGTACCTGTCTGGGCAGGTCATTAGTTGTTTCTATATCCTACTAAATGCTCAAACAGTAAACAAATTTTGTCAAATAATCATTTCCCAAGAAACTTTCATGTAGAAATATAGTCCTAGTCAAACTGCAGATGCAATGTAAGGATTCACATTGACTTAGTAGCAGAAATGAAAAGGGATGTAAAAACCTGTGATTATTATTTTTAGGAAGTAAAAGATCCAGTTTAAGATGTTTGCCCCAGATACCATGGAAAGAAGCAAACAGTGTCAAGAAAAACCTGACTCCATCCAAGGTAATCGTGATTAAATAATGTGTCTGGGAATGTGCACCATTACCCTGCAAAAATTCAAACCATTAGAGACATTTCTATAACTATGTCTTGCATATTTCCTTCACTTGAAAAGTTGAGTTCTTTTTTTTTTTTTTTTTTGGTCTTATTTCTGTTATTTAGATTTTGTTTCCTTTCAGGAAAAAAAGGATGAGAGAAGATAAAAAATTTTATATATTTCTTTCTTAATTCCATTTAAATCTTTAGAATTCAACCCATCATACCTTCTAAAGCTTCAAACGCACTTATTATTTCATTCACATTTATATCATAGTTTACACGGGTTTGCTCTCTAACCACAAAAATGCAAATTTTCCTGAGTTACTGCGTCTTTCTAGCCTATTAGCCTGAGCGAGCACAGCTTTTTTCCCCAAAATTTTCTCTCAATAAAATTTTCAGGCCAGGCAAGATGGCTCACATCTGTAATCCCCACACTTTGGGATGCCAAGGTGTGAGGATTGCTTGAGGCCAGGAGTTCAACACTAGCCAGGGCAACATAGTTCTTGTCTCTACAAGAAGTAATAATAAAAAAATTAGCCTGTAATTGAGCACTTTGGGAGGCTGAGGCAGGAGGATCACTTAAGGCCAAGCATTTGAGACCAGACTGCGCAACACAGTGTGACCCCATCTCTACAAAAATTTTTAAAAAATTAAAAAATGATCCGGATGTAGAGGCACATGCCTGTGGTCCCAGCTACGCAGGAGGCATAGGTGGGAGGACTGCTTGAGCCCAGAAGGTTGAGGCTGGAGTGAGCTGTGATCACACCACTGTACTCCACCCTGGGTGACAAAGCAGGACCCTGTCTCAAAAATCAATCAATCAATAAAAAGAATAATATTTTCATGCACTTCATAAATTATTAGCAGATCTCCAGCGTTGATGATACCATATTCACCGAGGAAGGCCATGGCGTGAAACTGCTGCAGCTTAGAAGGAGGAGACAGAACACGTGGGTCTGCAGCACTTGCTCCATCACACCCAGCAGTGTCTGGGTGAAAACACCCTGCCAGCAACACACTGGCCAGCAGCATCTGCCTCTCCAAAGAGTTCATTGTCAACTACATCATTTAAAAGGAAGTCCCCAGGGAGTTCCAGAGGACATGTCAGAGGTCATGTTCCCAGCCTCCCACTTTATATAAACAGAAAGCAGGACCTGAAGAGTAAGCATATTTTCTATGACTGGGGTATCCTACCAACATGCATTCCCAAACTGAAGTATTGAGTTGTAGGTTCAGCTGGTCAACGTTAGGAAAACTTCTGAGCAGGTGCATTTCATACATTGCTGGCTTCCCAATGACCCTGTTAGCACCCCAGTATCACCTATGGGACTCACATGTCAATCTTCAATTCTCATGCCACAATTAACAGATTGCTGCCTCCTCCTTTTCTGATAAGGTCATGAGATACAATTTCAATCTATTGGGTTTTATGAAAAGATTGACACATAAGTGCAAAACACACAAACATTCTGGGAAGAGGAAGTTAGGAAGATATTTGGGGTCTGGGACCCTCCCAGTGCCCCTCAGCTCCCTTCACTAGAGAAGGGCTGCTCAGTGGAGAATGCAGCTAACCCTGGAGAGTGTGTGGGTACTGCCCTCGCCTGACCTTGGCCCAGAGGGAAAAGCCCCCAGGAACATTTGTACACCCACATAGTTCAAATGAACTCTGTACATCTGTAGTGGGCCTTCTTCTTTTGCCTAAGGTAAAGTGGAAACATGATACAATTAACTATTGTCTGGGTGATTTCTTAAAATTCCATATGTGAATAATCAAATTGGATCAATCCACTTTAAAATAATCAGCTCAACCGTGTCATGGACTGACTCCTTCAGTTTAACGTATGCGACTAAAGAAAACAATGGAATTCTAACTCACGGTTTTTATTTCTAGTAAATATGAAATATTTCAACTATTGGAAAAGTACATATATTTTCCATGGAATTACCTAGATAATAGCCTCTCACATCTCTATTTCTCTCCACTCTGCCAACTGAGATAGGGCCAAAGGGGAAGATAAATATGACTAGTTTAGCAAAATAATTTTACCATGTAAACAAAGCAAATATATGGTCAATTTTTAAAAATTCTGTACTGTAGATGTGTTTCTACAATATCAGCAAAATAGAATATTTCTTGGGATCTTTCATGGCTACAGAATATTTTGCACAGTCCCTGTCAAGAGGCCACATGCCAATGTGTTATAATACACTTCTGGAGTGTAGACACAAAACATGAGATAAAATACTGGATTTAAGTTCAAGTCTTGTGGCCCCAGACAGAGCTGATAGATTTGCATTTAAGGATTCTCATCAGCCTCCAGGTTCCCCAGGAAGCTTTAAGGATGTCCAGGAAAAAATAAGGCAGGAAGGGAAGGATTCTTCTTTCTTTTTTAATAGGATTTCCCAAAACCTGAAATCAACCCAAATGCTTAACGTTAGAAATTCAAATTTTATTCAGCAACAAGGAACAAAGGGATTAAAAGGCAGTTGGTGCAATGCAGAGATCCTGTGCTGAGAAGAAGGTTGTATTTTCAGTTCTGTCACTCACTCACAGGGGCTCTTAGGGAAGTCATGTCCGGGCCTCCATTCCCTCAACTCAGAAGTGGACAGGATGCCCTCTTGCTTCCTTCTTATGTCTATCACATGGTAATTGTACTCAGTGGCCTGGTGGGAATGTACAAAAATGTGTGTGTAGGCCAGAAGCCGTGGCTTAAACCTGTAGTCCCAGCACTTTGGGAGGCCGAGGCAGGTGGATCACTTGAGGTCAGGAGTTTGAGACCAGCCTGGCCAACATGGTGAAATACCATCTGTACTAAAAATACAAAAAAAACTTAGTCAGGTGTGGTGGCAGGCACTTGTAATCCCAGCCACTCCGGAGGCTGAGACAGGATAAATCGCTTGAACTCAGGAGGTGGAGGTTGCAGTGAGCCAAGATCATGCCACTGCACTCCAGCCTGGGTAACAGAAGTGAGACTCTTGTCAAAAAAACAAAAAAAATAAATGTGCATACCTCTAAAAAATGCTTCAAAATACCTTAAGGTCAACTCTAAAATTATTGAGGGCAATCTAGGTAATTTTTCAAGAAAAACTCAAGTGCATCATTTGCATGATCTTCAATATCCACTTCTTCACTGTGGTTCCCACCCAGCTTTTAGACCTGATTATCCTCCAGTATTCTCTACCGCAAAGAAGACATAACCCCACAATTCATCCATTGGCTCAAGGCAGAAATAAGGAGGAAGCCATGACACCGCTCTTTCCCTCACCCTCCTCCTCTACTCCATTGCCAGCTTTCCTGCCTATCTCCAACTCCACTGTCTGCACTTGAACTTCGGCACCCTGAGGCTCGAATCCACTCTGACTTTTTCCCAAACTATGGACCTTACCACTGCCAAAAGGACCTTTTTTTTTGCCCTTGTTATAAAATTAACTTTATTTACTGAGGTAGTACACTGTTAATGTGCGGTGACTGTGTAATGCAGGGTACAAAGATAATTATTTGGAAAACTGAAACAAAGAAACAAGTATGCACACACTTTCTGATATTCCAGGCTCACTGCTACTATGGAAGATAAATCAACAAATTATGAGAATTTGGAAGAGATCAATTTGAGAAAGCAGGAAAAATTCATGAGGGACACAACAGCTGAGTCAGATGACAAATCAGTGAGCCCCCTCCCCCGACAAATCAATTTATCCAGAATATCAGGAGGGTGCAGCCCAATGATCCAAATTGTAAGGAACCTCTTCAGGCAATCTTATTTTTTTTTTTGAGATGGAGTCTCGCTCTGTCGCCCAAGCTGGATTGCAGTGGCATAATCTCAGCTCACTGCAGCCTCTGCCTCCCAGGTTCAAGTGATTCTCCTGCCTCAGCCTGCTGAGTAACTAAGATTACAGGCATGTGCCACCACACCCAGCTAATTTGTGTATTTTTAGTACAGACGGGGTTTCACCATGTTGGCCAGGCTGGTCTTGAACTTCTGACTGCAGGTGATCCACCTGCCTTAGCCTCCCAAAGTGCTGGGCTTACGGGTGTGAGGCACTGCACCTGGCCCAGGCAATTCTTATGCATTCTAATGGTTGAGGACCACAACCTAAGTGATGGCACTTCTGTGTGTGGTATCTTATTAAGTAAAATTTTAACAGAGGAAAAGGGAGTGACAATTTAGTGGGAATGACAATTTCGTGGGACAATTTAGTGGGAATGACAATTTAGTGGGAAAACCAACTAAAGACAGGAACACTTGGGGTTTTATATTATATATAAAACCATCAGGCTAGATTAAAACTTTCTTAAGTTGACAATGTGTAGCCATAACAGCTTTTTCCTCAGAGCATTACGGTAACTATTTTATGGCTTAGAAGCATTATCTCTGTAAAAGTCAGTTCTGATCATGTCTCTCTCATGTGCATACGTATACGCACACACCACACACTCCCAAAACTCTTCTTCAATGATCTTCAATCTCAGCATAAACAAGTACAACTGGAGGGAGCCTCCCTTCATCTAGCCAATGCTTCCTCCTTCCTGACATTGCAGGCCAGAGCCTCTTTCTCAGAGAAGCTTCCCTGTCCTCCCTGGCCACTCGGATCCCTCTGTGATGGGTCCTCAGAGACTGTTCTCCTTTGCACCACTTGCTCCATTTGTAATTCTACCTGTATTTTTGCAGTTCTTCTGTCACCCCAATGAGACTGCAAGCTCCCTGAAGGCAGAGACCATATCCACTTTTGTTCATAGTTGTAGCCCTAGCAGCTAGCCCAATGTTTGACATATTTTGAGTGTTCAACAAAGACTAATGGGATGAACGCTGAGTGCTATATTACAAAGGTGCATTTGCTAAGCCCAAGACATTGTCAGAGTGATCTATGGATCATTGTTCAGTGTTAATCATCCAACAATTACTTACAAAAAGCTAAGCAATGTTCTAGGCAATAGGGATCTAGTGATGACCGTAACACGTGTCCCTTGCCCCACGCTACCCATATTCTAGCATCTGTTATAAACTGAACATTGGATTTGGTGATGTAGTTTCTACCAGTCAAGTAGGCTGGATTGCAGGAATTCCACCACTAATCAGCTCTAGAATCTTGAACCAGCTGCCCAGCTTCTTCACCTTCCATTTCTTCTTTAACATGAGAAAGTTGGATAAGATGATCTCTAAGTTCTCTTCTACCAATTTTGTTATTAGTGCTTTCTAAATGATGAGATTCTATAGGTGTCATTGATATAAAGTAACGGCTTAGCAAAAATACTTGCAAGCTCACTAGTGACTCACTAACAGCTTGACATTTTCTGACTCCCAAATACTTAATGAGTTGATTCTCTTGAGTCTTTAGTGGCAGTAGTATGACACTTGAATCAAAAATGTTTAAAAACTACTGCCCTAAAAACTTCTGTCTAAGGAAGACAAGCCTCCTCATTTGTCCCCTAATAAGGGACAAATGAACAAGTACATAAGGTGAAAAATAAAATTAAATATGTGTTTTTCCATCAACCAAAGAGTAAACTTACATGTTGTTTGGTGAGGGAAGAATTAATCATGAAAAACATTTCATCGAAAATTTAGGAATGATGTCCAAGTGAAAAAGGGTGAAAATAATCACCCAAAACTATCTTGTAGATAGTTACAAAATTTTTAAATGATCCAAAAAAAGTCTTCTTTCTACAACATGTTTCAATATGGAAATGACTTTACAGACTTATACAGTTCAACCTTTTAATTTTTCAAAATATGGAAATGGGGGCCCAGGGGTGAAGCAATTTGGGCAAGGTCAAAGGGCATCAATGACAGTATCTGGCATGAACTCCTTCAGTTGTGCGTATGGGGACAACAAAGGGCACGGACTCCAGAATAAAACACAAGGTTCCTCTGTTACACATTCTACCAGTTAGTCACTCATGTATTTGATAAACTCCACTTTCAAAATGCAAAATTATACTGAGAAGAGTGAAGTGAACCAGCAATTTTCCAGCCCTGTGCAATTCTGTGGGGTGGATAAAGAGCAGAGTGCAAGATAAAAGGTACCAGGACAGCAAACCCTGAGGAAGCTGGTGGGACAGCTGGGCGGAGCCCCACAGATGCCTCTGCACAGGTCCTTAAAATGAAAAGGGTGTTCTCAATTTTCATTTTGATTTATTCCCATTTTCTTTTAAATTTGAAAAATACTAAAAATGCAAACTTTAAAAGTCAATTATAGGTCATGGGAAACCAATCACCACTCTTAACATGTTGGCATATTTTCTTCAAATCCTGTGCATATACTTACATTGAGTTATGATCAAGCAGTTCTACTAGCTCTTGAGCAGTGACATATCACACTAAAATGTTGTCACTTTTTACTAAAATACAGGGGTTGTGTGTTAAAAAATAGTACCAGGGATTTCGTGGCTCTTTAACACAAAGGTCTCAGAACTTCATCCATGTGTTTCCCTCTCATTTTATATCATGGTTGGGAGGTCATAGTTGGGGATGGGAGAAGGATTAAAAAATGTGTTTTATTTACCTAGAAGCAAACCTTGAAAACAAATACTAGACAAGCCTGGAGTGTAACTGACCCTGTTAACTTGTTTCCACTTTCTGAACATGTTCGAGAGCATATCATTCACCAACCAATATCACAATTTATATTTGAATGAATTTAAGAGCAGTTAAGGACAAATTCCTCCAAAATGTCATAAAATGAATGGACTAATCCCAGTTAATACAAATACTCCATTTACCAGAACAACACATTAGCAGATGAGGCTAAGTTAAGAGTTTTTACCTAATGGAATTTCAATTTCTTTAAAAATAAACTGAGCTCCCAGGTCTGGGATTCTAATACCATTCTCCAATAAAAGGAACCAAGGTGCCTTGGAAAAATGACTAAAAAAAAAAAAGAAATCCCACCATAATGAGGGTGCATGTCACAGGGACAGAAGCCAATGAAAAAGAATTCCCAGTGGCCAAAGCTGGAATATCTGAACACAAAATAAAGTTGTATTGGATTATAATTCAAAGTGTAAGACAAACATTCATAAACTCATACTGATATAAAGAAGTAATCTAATAAGTTAATAAACAGGGAAATAAAGACAAATCTCTCAAAAAATCCAAATAAATTATGTAGACACTTCACTCTAAATGGGGGAACTATAACTCTCTGCTTTTTAATAGTGATATTCCGCTGAAACCTCCTTCCAAAGAATATAATATAGAAAGAGAGTGCAGAATAACTTTAAGGCAGAGAAATCTGATAAAGTCTATGTCAGCCAGGTGATCAAGGTCAACACCAACAATTGATATTATGTCCCCTTGATATAATGTGAGGAAAATGGCCACTTTGCCTCTGTGCTCTTCCTCTTCAAAATCCCTAATCCCAGCCTAATCATCAGATGAACATCAGACAGATCCCAATAGAGGGGCATCCTATAATATGCCTGACCAGTACCCCTCAAAGCACTCAAGGTCATCCCAAACAAATCTGAGTAACTGTCACAGCCAAAAGGAGCCCAAGGAGACGTGATGCCTGAAGGTAATATGGGGATCCCATACCTTGGATGGGATTCTGAAATGGAAAAGGGGCCTTAGGTAAAAACTAAGGAAATCTGAATAAACCTTGCACTTAATTAACAATGACTCATTACTTGCTCATTTGTTACAAATGTGTCATGCTAATGTAAAATGTTAGTAACAGGAAAACTATGTGCAGGGGAGTGAATGGGAATTCTCTATACTCTCTGCTCAGTGTTTCTGTACAACTAAAACTGTTTCATTAACTGAAAATAAAATTCAATAAATTATGAGTCATATTAAATTTTTAATTATTAAAAAATGCCCTCCTTAGTCTATTTCTCATACTTGGCTTCTAAAGAAATGAGCAGCTTCAGGTCAGGGATGATCCAGGCATCAATGTCTCTCAACCCAGCTACAGCATTTAAATCACCTAAGATATTCTAATAACAACAAATCAAAATCTCTGCTGACAGGCAGCAGGAACTTTTAAAAATCTTATCATACCATCAAAAGTCTAGTTTGCCAACAGAAAAACCTCATATAACCAAATCATAAAGATGCACTTTTTTGCCATCTGCATCAATCGTCCCTTTCTCATAATAGAAAGCAAAGTTGTTACATTTTTGTCTCTCCCTTGAGATACCCACGGAATTCTGGCAATATAAAAATAAGTTACATAGTAACTAGAATGGACTCAACACATTTGGGAAACTTAAAGCAGCCAGTTACAGAATCTCTTCTGTTTTATTTCTCTTTCATTTTCTTGGGAAAGCATTTCTTAGGATGTTAAAAATGAATGTGATTTAAAAAGAAAGATGAGCTTGAATTAAAAGAAAAACATGAAATCTTTTTTGATCTTAAAAAATAAAATCTAAATTCAAAGCATCTAAAGTTCTGATGAGTACTGCTAGAATCCCTGCTAGTTCTAGGGAAGTGCTATCCAAATCATCTTTCTGTAAATCACGACAAACAAGCCCTGAGCCCTGCATAAAGGCTACAAGTTATGCAACCTGCAGCTCCCAGCCATGCCCTGATTAACAACAGGGGTTTTCCAGATGCTTGGATAGACTTGCCAGGCTCAAAGCCCATCTCCATCTGTTTTTTAAATGCTATTTTAAGAATAAGAGCCTATCTTGGCCAATTGAACTAAAAAAGTGTCAATTATATGCTGACTAATTGAAACTCTCCTACGCTATGAAATCAGGAAGATGCAAAACACAGGGACACGAATATGAAGAAAGGAAATCAGGGTTTGTTTTTTCCTCTGCTGCACTTCACACTGACTATCTGATCTGGAGAGGTCAGTCAAGAGTCTGAAAAGCCCCCAGGATGGCGAGGTTTCTGTCAACAATAGGTATAAACTGAGATGTTTTAAAAATCAAGGTAAAGCGTAATTCTTCCTTAATCAGGGGGGCTTCCATCGGAGCCCTGGTTACTTAAGATAGTGAAATAAACCCTTCAGGTTTAAGATAGTTCTTTCTGAGTCCCTAGATAGAGAAATCACCGCAGACCCTTTCTGCATGCTTATCTCATCAGATTGAAACTCTGCACTGCGGTAAGGTGGAAATTGTGGGGTTTGGGGAGTCAGAAGATAAACGGGTGAAGTGCCAAGCGCTGCTATGACAAGCTGGTAGACAGGCTGTTGGAACTGTCTACCTCAGAAACTGTGCCTCAGTTTCCTCAGGTGCAAAATAATGCTAAGAATACTTAACATGAATAAAGATGGGATTCTTAGGGCCAAACGGATAATGTATGACTTCACTTTATATTGCATAAGTAGACAAATGCTATACTTATTATTAAATATAATATTATATAATTGCATTATATAATATTATTAACAGCATTATATTATATAATAATTAATTATTGATAGCATTATTAATTATTATTTTAAGGTCTGCCAACAACTGACACTCTCACCTCTCACTGATGTTCAGCCTTAGCTCAGATATATTTCAACCAGAAAAATCTACCCTCCACCCTCACATACGGGTTCTATTTCTTTGCCATTATCCTGGCCTCATATATTCTTCAATGACCTACATCCTCCTCTCCTGCAGACCTCTGCTCCATAGCAACCTACCTCAGTATCTTATTCTATCCCATGATAGGCAGTCTCTTCACTACCAAGACCCAAAGGTACCCTTTCATGTGTAATCAAAGAACTTCCATGCCCCACTTGTCAGAGACTCATAAATTCATTTTAGAGGTGAATGAGACTGTAGAAAACATCTGGTCCTGTGTCTTAATTTCACAAATGAAGAAATGGGGGCACAGACCATTTAACTGGCCTCCTGGCTGGTGGCAGAATGAACTAAAGTCCAGACCTCCAGAGAATCAGCATTTGGGTCCAAATCTGACAACATTAACTTCTGACAGTGTCAGCATCACTTACTAAAAATACAAGCAGAGTTTCTTAATATAGAGTATAGATCCCCAAAGTCTCACTGTTCAAGCAGTAGTTAAGTCTACTAACAATGAAGGAGTACAGCAGCTTCATGCAAAACACGTGAGTGACATGGAAGTTGAGAAATGTTTACTGGCAGCACTTATAACTGTGCTTTATACGCAGCCAGTGCTCAGTAACTGTTCAGCAAGTAGGTGAGTTCACGTATCAACAAATGAGGACTCATCAGATAAGAGTTTCTCAAAACCACCATCACAGGTAATTATTCATACCACTGAATAATTTAAAACTTAATTTGGCACAGAAATTCATTCCTTCTCTATAAATTTGGACATTTTGAAATTGAAATTTGAAGAGTTCCTGTGCTATTTGGAGAAAGCATTCTATACGTGCAGAGATAAAATACAAAAAGTTACCAAGTATTATAATAAACCAATGCAGTGCCAATCAAAACCTCAGATGGATTCTGGCAAACAAGTGTCATGCTGTTAAAATTACCCAACCAGACATTAAGACACAGAGCATGCCAAATCATGAAAATATTACATTTTTTATAAAGTTATAGAAAAATTGAGCAAGAGAACAAAATAGAGAGCCTAAAACCAGACCTGTATTCTATCAAAAGTGGGTAATAATAGAAGCGGCATCACACATAAGCAAAGAAAAAACTGGATCATTTAATTGATGCTGTTGGAGAAATTAGCTCATTGTCATGATATGATCCATTTATATCCCTACCTCACTCCATAAGCAAAAATAAATCCAGATGGATTTAAAACCTTCATATAAAATAAGTACTGAAGGAGAGGGAAATAGTAAAATAGTTTTATGACTTTGGATCAGGAAGTATTTCTCAAACATGTCAGAAAAAATATTACTCTAAAGAGGGGAATGAAACAAGTTGATGACATCAAAATTAAGGATTTCTGCTCTACAAAATACACTGCAGATTATATAACCAAGAAAGGGTTAATACCCAGGCTATTGAAGAAACTCCCGCAAATTAGTAAAAACAAGAAAGGAAACCCATTTCTGATTTCTGAACCTGATTTCTGAAGTAGAAATTGGGTGGACAATGGGAAGAGATGTGCCTACTCACTGATAGGTCATCAGGAAATTCCAGCTTACAGGCATCAATTGATGACTACCCTGATAAAAAATAAACACTGAGATAATAGCCAACGTCAGCAAGGCTGTGAAGAAATAGGAACTCTCACATGTGCTGCGACTTTGCAAACATTTATTACAGCCATTTTGGTATGAGCTAGCAACATGCAGTAAAATTTTGTAAGCACATATTCTATAACACAGGAATTTCTGGATATATACCCCCAGAGAATTCAATAAACACAGAGATACTTACTAAAATTACTATCATAGCAAAGTAAGGGGAAAATATTTTTAAACATGATTTATGCATACAATGGTTTATTACTCAGGGGTCAAAAGATGATTGATTGCCAAGGACAATCAATGGAAAAACAAAAGTTGATTTAAAAATATATAAGTTCAACCTGGAGTACTCTACAATAATATTTAGGTTGAGCTCAGAGCATATATAAAACCACATTATATATTTTTCTTAGATATTCATCTGGAGAAGGTGGACACCCGCTAAGAACATGAGAATGAGTACCCTATAGGAAGCCAGGCAGCTGATAATGAGGTTAGGAGACAAAGGGGGAGGAAAAAAGAGTCTGAGATTGGAATTATTCTTTTAATGTGGCACAAGGAGTAGCATTGGTCATATTAATGCACTTTTCTGCACTTAAAGGCCAAAACATCTATAAATACTAAAGAGAACATTTTTAAACTGAGGGAGGAGGAGAAAAAAATAAATCAGTTGTCTTTAATTTATGGATAGTTAATGTAAAAAGGGGGTTAACCTAAAATTCACTGAAGTCAGAAACGTATTGGGATGAGTGGCAACTCCTTTCGACTCCTTTCATAGTCAAGGGGTAATTGAGTGTTAATTCCATTGACCTTATTTGCGGTAGCTTTTCCATCCTCCCAGCATCCCCGGCTGTCAGGCAGCATGCTTTACATAGCTGTCGACTTAATGTTTTTCTTTTGACTGAATTTTTTACCTGAGGCATTTCAGTCCTGTAACTTCAGCAATCAATTTAGGCCCAAAGCAGTGCAGGCCTCAGCCCCCTCGAAGCAGGTATTTGCATGCAAGCTAACAGCTTAAGCACCAGGGAAATGAGCTAGGTCTAAACAGATGTAAGAACTAGGACTATATGCTAAATCACTACACAGCCAGCTAATTTGCCTGTCACAGAATTACACATTGTGCGTGATCCAGGGAGTGTGTGTGTGCACATGCACATATGTCTGTGTTTATGTGGTATGGCAGTACGATCGGTTAAATTTTTATCCTATTTTTTTAAGGTCGTAAGCTATTTTAAAATGGTGTTTCTTTTAATGATCCTAAGCTAATGTTTCAAGACGTAATCACGAAATTCCAATAGCTAGAGACGTCATAAAAGGAGAAATGGTTTGAAATGTAACTTGAATTGAATTCTATTAAGAAAATTAGAATTTTGGTTTTATTTTTTAGACAACCTAATGTCTTCAAAGGATAGGCACATGCTTTGAGAAGTAGAATGTAACTTGTACTGAGAATGATATACTTTTAAAAATTCTTAACTTCTAAAATGACAGAGAGGCCATTTATTTTGACTCATTGCAAGGATACAGGAGAAAACATTTTGGGGACTTATGGAAGCAAACCAGTACGATCATTTATTATATTTTAGATCGTGTAACCAAGGGAGAAATCACCACATTCATTGCCATGATTTGTGAAAGAGTGGCCAGTTAGAAGTTTCCTGTATCCTCCTAGATATGTTACAGACTAAAAAAATCAAGCCTAAATGTGACTGGCATATAAAGAATCTCAGATCCAGATATTTGTGGGTGTTTGGAAAGAGAACAGCCTGTCTCTCAGCTGTACTGAAGTAGAGAAGACTGTAATATGCATTCTTGCTAGCCTTTGGGATAACATTCAACATTCTTAACTCCCCCTCTCATAGCACAGGAAGGGATCCCCTACATAACAGTAAATATAAAATAATTGCACCCCATTGGCCTGCAAGTCAGTGCCATGAAAAAAAGTAATTTCTTAGTAAAAAGCAATGCATCCATTTATGTAAGGACAGAGGATCCAAGAAGAGTATTTAAAAAAAAAAACTGCATAAATATTGTCTGGAAACTGACCTAGCAGGTTTCCATCCACCCTGTTGAAAGTAGTGACAGAAGATGCAGAAAAATAAAGGCAGGCATTGTGTAAGCAACACAACATAAGATAAATAAATGTATTCTTAGCAGCAGTGTTTGCCCCAATTATAGCAAAATTAATAAGACGAAATTCATTTAGGATCGAGTATGTTCAGTGGGCAAAAGACTGCCTTTAGAATGAACAGCAGCTCCTGCCTCTGCAAACTGCCCCTGCCCCAGAGGCTGGGGACTTGTTTTTCAGGTGGCATCTAGCAGAAGAAATGATTACCGACAACATTGTCTTCACAGAGCTTCCCTCCCTCCATGAGCCAGCCAGGACCCCTGAAGGTGATCAGTAGCAGGTCTCTCACTGCCATTTGAATAGTGCGTCCCTCATCACCAATCAGAATGCTTTGCCAGGACTGAGTATCTGAAACTGAAGAAGATCCTTTTACATTTGAGATTTCAATAAAGTTATTAAGATGTGGGCAAAGAACGAGGTGGAGGACGAGAGAGACTAGAGAGTTCTAAGGCAGTGCTTCTTATGGGAATCACCTGGGGATTTGTTAAAGTGTGAATTCCAATTCAGGAGGGCGGAGGCGGGGCTGGAGGCCACGTTTCTAACCAGCTCCCAGGCGTGGGCCTGGTCTGACTAACCAAGTTTCAATGAGCAGAGGAAGAAAGCACAAGGAAGTGACAGGTGGCAAAACGACTCTATGTCCGCATGATGGGGGAGACCCTGTGAAGTCAATGACTGCACCTGCCCTGCCTCAGGAAGAATGTTTCCTAAGATTCGTGAAAGCTCATCTTGTGCAGCCCTGACTCTTGTACTCTTTTTTTTAAAGAGAGACAAGATCTCTCTGTTGCCCAGGCTGAAGTGCAGTGGCACAATCATAGCTCACTGCAGCCTTGAACTCCTGGGGCTCAAGCAATTCTCCAGTCTCAGCCTTCCAAGTCGCTGGGACTACAGGCGCACGACACCATGCTATTTTTTTTTTTCACTTTTTGTAGAGTCAAGGGTCTCACTATTTTGCCCAGGCTGGTCTTGAACTCCTGTCCTCAAGCAATCCTCCCACCTCAGCCTCCCAAAATGCTGCAATTACAGGGGTGAGCCACTGTGCCTGGCCCAAGCCCTGAACTCTTGATTTTCCCCACAGATCTATGCCTGTCCCCACATGCCTAGGTCTGTTAATGACATCGTCAGCCACCCAAGAGATTTATTGTCAGCTCCCCCTTCTCTCTTAACCACACCAGACCCCAAGTCCTGTCAAGTGGGCCTTCCCAATCTCTCTTTCTGTGTCCTGCCTCTATTCTCCCTCTTACAGCTGAAGGTCAGTCCTCATTGTCTCTTTCCTGGACCACTAAGCTGCCCTCTAAATGGTCTTCCTTACTCTAGTTTCTCTCCTTTTTTCTTTAAACAATCTCCCATCCCTCCACATTGCTGCCAGTGTTATAATTCTCTATCTCAAACATGAATCCACATTGTTTCCCTCTTAAAATTCCTCCCACCTCACATGGCTTCCCATTTCCTAAAGGATAAAGAGCAATGCCCTTAGCAGGGCCTCAAAGACCTTCACAGTCCGACCCCAGCTTCTGCCTCTGACTCATTCACTGTCTCAACCCCCTCCAGACCCTCTGCTGCACCACAGGGACTGCCTTCACTCGCTCACAGGCCCAGGTCACACTCCTGGAAGTTCAGCCCAGCCGTTTCCTCTTCCTGATGCTACCTTATCCCAGCTGTCAGTCTCCACTACTTTTTGGGCTGGAAAGCACCTTATCACACAAAACTCAGCTCTAATCAGTGTCTTCTCCTCTACAGAACCTTCCAGGTGTGATAATTCCTGCCACTTAGGAGGTAAACAAGAAATATTACTGAGTCAATGACCGGGACTAGAGAGCCATGGGCTGACCAAGGCTTCCTCTAAGTTGTTTCAGTCACATGGCCAGGATGCAGGCTCGGGTTTGGAGGCAAAGGCAGGAAGCATCAAATGGAGATGCTCATGTTCTAATGACTTCCACCAGAGCCATCAGAATAGATGAGTCATGGTTTTGATGTCCAATACATTAGGGCCGAAGAAGCTTTTTTCTTGGCCATTAAGAACAATGTTGGAGGCTATGAGATTCTTCAAGGACAACCATATGAGCACCTGGACCTAGAAGACCCAGGATGGCAGGGAATGAGAGAGACTTAGCTCATCTTCTCAACATCAAAGCTGTCATCCTTTGGCTACTATTAAAAAGTCAAGAAATAACAGATGCTGGTGAGGTTGCAGAGAAAAGGGAATGTGAAAAGGGAATGCTTATACACTGCTGGTGGGAGCATAAATTAGTTCAGCCACAGTGGAAAGCAGTGTGAGTAATCCCATTACAGGGTATATACCCAAAGGAATATAAATCATTCTGCCATAAAGACACATACACGTGAATGCTTATTGCAGCACTTTTCGTGATAGCCAAGACATGGATGGAATCAACCTAAATGCCCATCAATGGCACATCAGATAAGGAAAATATGGTACATGTACATCATGGAATACTATGCAGCCATAAAAACAATGAGATCATGTCCTTTGTAGGAACAAGGATGGAGCTGGAGGCCATTATCCTTGGTTTGCAGGAACAGAAAACCAATCACCTCATGTTCTTCCTTATAACTGGGAGCTAAATGATTAGAACACATGAACATAAAGATGGAAACAACAGACACTGGGACCTCCTTAAGGGTGGAGGGAGGGAGAAGGGAGAAGATCAGAAAAAATGCCTATTGGGTACTATGCTTAGTACCTGGGTGATGAAATAATCTATATACCAAACTCCCATGACATTAGTTTACTTATATACCAAACCTGCAGTTGTATCCCTAAACCTAAAATAAAACAAAATTGTCAAAACAACCAACAACAACAAAACTGTCATTCTTTTATTGATTACTTTACTCTTAGGGATCCCAGAGCAATCCAAAACTTTGATGAAGTTTCCAAAATCTTGCTTAACTTGCCCTAGCAAAGTAGTACATTAGTCTGAGATGAACAAGAAATAAGAGGTATCAATGACACTGGACTCTTAAAAAACATTTTTTTAGATAACAGCAAAGGTTCCTCAAAGCTAATACTGTTAGGTATTTCTGAGGCAACCACATAAGGAAATTAATATCCAGAGAAATGAAGTCCACACCCATTAATTCCAGTCAATAACATAATATGATTTTATAAGAAGGACAAAAGAAATTCATACTTTCTCATGAGTTGTAAACATGTTAAAAAATAAACAAATATTTTTGTTATGTTGAAGAAGATAGAAAGTTAGTTTCATTACACTATCACATTGTCTTACTTTCATATTGGAAGTGGTAAAACAAAAATAAATAAAAATGACGCTTCATCCATTCATTTATTCATTCAATCAATTAAGAAGTGTGTATTGAGAACTGGTGGTTGTAAAATATGCCCCCAAATCCTCTGACACTTCCCCCATCAAAGAGGTCAATTCCTCTGCCTTTGAAAAGGGATTGGCCTATGATACTGTGAATGAACATGACACAGTGGAGACGCTGCTGCTTGACTCCCAGATGCATTAGAAAAGGGGTGCAGTTGTGCAGGACTCTCTGGGGGCATGTGTCTTTGGAGCCCTAAGCTGTCATGCAGAAAGTCCAGCTACCCTGAAGCTGACATGTTAGAGGGACCACCTGGAGAGCTCAAATACAGATAGAGAGGCATACCTGAGGAACATCAGCTTCTGCAGCTCTTCAAGTCTTCTCAGCCCAGGAAATAGGCATGGGAGGCCTTTGAGATGAACCCAGCCCAGTCACCATCTGACTGCAATCACATGAGACGTCCCAAGCCAGAACCACCCAGTTGAGCCAACTCAATCCCCAGGACCAAGAGAGATCATAATAATAAATCATTGTTGGTATTGCATACCATTAACTTTTAGTGATTGGTTACACAGCAGTAAATAACTGGGGAAAGCCCCTAAGGTATGTCAGGCACTGTGTTAGGTATTAGAGTTACCCTCCCCTAATGGAGTTTAAAACTTGCTGACCCTAGCCAGGTATGGTGGCTCATGCCTGTATTTTCAGTGCTTTGGTAGGCTGAGGAGGGAGGATTGCTTGATCCTGGAGTTCAAGGCTGTAGTGAGTCACGATCACACCACTGCACTCCAGCCTGGGTAACAGAATGAGACCCCAACTCTAAAAAAAACTTTCCCACGGAGTACTCTGCATGAATATAAGAAACAGTGCCCTGGTCTCCCTGATTTTTCAGTCCAAATAGCAAATAGGAAAAGATTCATATTAACAGATACATGCCAATATAACAAAATGTAGATAAATGCTAAGTAAATGAACAGCAAACAGAACTGACTAAAAGGAGGGTGCTCTTGGGAGCTGCAGAATCAGGGAAAGAATCAGCAGGGACAAAGCAGCTGGGCTAATGTCAAGGATTCATGTGGTAAAGGTGCAGGGTGGGAAAGGCATGTTAGTCTGAGTATGATGGGGCAGCATGAGCTGGTAGGGAAGAGAGCTCTCATGCAGGGAAGAGGAGCATGAAGGAAAATCAACAAGAGGCAGAAAATCGAGAGTCACAGCAAGGCCATAGCATGGCTTTAAAAGAACTAGACTTTATTTTCTTGGCAAGAGGAAGGCCCTGAAGGTTGATGGAAGTACAGTTAGCCTGGCAGTGGAAGGAACATGGACTGGTGTGTTGAAATCAGACCACCGGAAGGGAGACCCATCAGGAGGCTCTTGAAATAATTTTCAAACACTGTAAGAAACGTCTTTCACTCTGCTACCCTCCTCTCCCATGACCTGCCCCAGCTCCTCCAAAATGTCACATAGTGCCTCTCCTGTCTGTTCCAGCACTTTCTGGTCTCTGGAGCCATGACATTCTCTTAATAACTCATGTTTTCTCATGCTGGGGACCCAGTTATGGGGAAAACTTCCCAGCAGCTTTCTGCTGAATTGGTGGGCTCATTCCATCACCAAGCCCACCGACAGCGGCTTCCCGGTGATCCAAGGAGTTCTGAGTGTTCATTTGTTTGGATTGTTTGATCCCCAGCGCGCTACACAGTATCATTAGTTCACTGATGCCTGACAAGTTTTATCCTAAAGTGAACGATACAAGTGGAGACACGTTCAAGTGTTCCCTGAAGTAGAAGCATTCCTGGTTTCTGGAGGAGATGATATGTAATAACAATTACATGGTGCTTTCATCTTCAAAGCCCTATGCAAGCATCATCTAATTAACCCTCACTACATACCTGGAAGGCAGGGAAGCATCATTAAACCTGGGTTTCAGGAGAGGAGATTGGAAACTACACATTAAATGACAAGCCCTCTACCAGAAAGTCTCAGCCTTGGTGCCAAAACCAGCAAGGAAGAACTCCTCACCCTTACTGCTAAGCTGAGGCCGAGAAGAAAAATCAACATTGAAATTTTAAAATTTATTGCAAAGGTCATATACGATAGCTTCTTGTAAAGCTTATCAGAGAATAGGAAAATAAATGGTATTCATACAGAGAGGCAGGATTCTAAGGTGCTGGCTCTGGATTTTTTACTGCCTAGCGGTGTGACCTAGCCATACTTTGAATTCCTCATCTGTCAAAGAAGCCCTATTAGTCTGTGATTCCCAACACATAACAGCCCTAAAACAATTCATGAAAAAAGTGCTCCAAGAATGAACTCTAATGAGGTCCTATGCGATACAGATCATTTTAACAGCTGGGAAAAGGTGTAAGATAGACGAGTCCTCATCCTTCCTTTTTACATGATTTCTACCTCATTCTGCCACATTTCCACCAGCAGAGCTATCCCTCATTACCACTCCAAGCAGTATGGTCAGGCTCTCTCTCTCTCTCCTCCATCAAACTTCCCCAGACACAGCCTCAGAACTCACTGATGCCAGGGCTTCGAAGCAAGTTCAGGTTTAATGGAAGCCTTCCCAGGGGGACTTTGCATTTTAACATGGACAAAAGTTCTGTTCAGCCAAACTGAAGTCTTGATTATGGTGTTCCGGCTACCGGGAACTAACTTGCAGAGGAGGTGTCTGGGATAGTGGGGCCTGGATATCATACCACCCCACATTGACAACTACCCCAATAGCAAAAGCAGCCTACTTTTTTTTTTTTTTTTTTTTTGAGATAGAGTCTCTCTCTGTTGCCCAGGCTAGAGTGCAATGGCGCGATCTCGGCTCACTGCAACCTCTGCCCCCCAGGTTCAAGTGGTTCTCCTGCCTCAGCCTCCCAAGTAGCTGGGATTACAGGCACCCACCACCACACCCAGCTAATTTTTGTATTTTTAGTAGAGACAGGGTTTCACCATGTTGGCCAGGCTGGTCTGGAACTCCTAACCTCAGCTGATTCACCCACCTCGGCCTTCCAAAGTGCTGGGATTACAGGCGTGAGCCACCGCGCCCAGCTACAGCCAACATTTTGTTAGTATTTACTGGGAGCCAACCTTTGTTTTAAAAGAAGCCTGGTGTTGTGATCAAGAGAGCATGGTCCTTGGTCTTCCTGCTGTTATGAAACGACTTTGTCTCTCTCCGCCTCAGTCTCTTCATCTCTGAAATGGGAAAATAAGGCGTATCTATCCCCTAAGGTTATTGTGATGATTAAATGAATGAATGCCATAAAGTGCAAAGCACAGTGCCAGGTACGTAATAAGCACCAAAAGAGAATGGCTATCGTTATAGACACAAACTTGTACTAACAAGCATGTGTTAATGCAACCTTATGAGGTGGGTGCTAGTCCCATTTTATGCAGAGGCTGAGGCGCAGAGATGAACGTGCTTGTCTCAGATGAATGGCTAGTCGGTGGTAGGCAGCCTGGCTACAGGGCCCAGACCTTACCACCGCACTGCACTATGGGGTCTCATGGTTTCCAGGCCCTTCCGGGGCAGCAGCACAGGGCTGGCACTTACCAGCCTGGGTTCAGGTCATAACTCGTCCACATCAAATACGTGAATGAAGTTCTCTCTTTTCTCCCTGACTTGGTATCTCCATCTTTAAAATAATATCCCCCATAAAAGCTAGCCATGAAGATCAAATGACTTGTGCAAGCAGATTTTGAAAATTCTGAAATACTCTCCCTTCAAAGGCAAGGAATTATTATCTACTGCAGCATAAACTGAAGCGAGGCAGCTATAGGCAAGGGCTAGAAGAACCCAGACTCTGAAGGCCTCGGAAGACCACCTGTGCTTCAGTGGATCCTCAAGTCATGGAGACAATTGGCCTCCATGATCCATCATCCATGGGTTCCTCCACGGAGAAACTTGGCCAGAGCTGGGTTCAGTGGGCCCGGGAGCTGGGTACTGGCAGGCCAGGAACCCAGGGGCAGACCCCATGCTGCAAACTCTACTGCAAGCCCTGCCATGCACCCCTCCCCACCACATCATGAGGTGGGAATCCTCTACCCACCCCATAAACCAGGAAACCTGTCACCAATCAGGCGCTGTGCACAGCTGTCTTTCACTCCCTCCCTGAAGTCCCTCCTGTGGCCAGGCAGCCACAGGAAGGGGCTCTTGGGACTGTGAAATCCAGAGGTCTCTAAGGAAGGTAGGAAGAAAGGGGGCTTTGCCAGGGACTGCAGGGTTCCAGTGTCCTTGGCTCCCACAACAGAAGCCGTGTCTGCCCTCCTGTTTTTTCTGTTATTGCCCAAGCCATGCTGAGGTGCCCACAGCACTGTGGGCTATCTGGGGTCAGTACCCTGGGGAGAACATGTACACACACACACACACACACACACACACACACACACACACGTCTTTGGAGAAATTCACCCTAAGTCCCTGGGGACTGGCATTCTCAGTGTGTGGCCTTTTAAATTCCCAAGGGCAATGACTCAAACTACTGTACTGGGCAGGTTAGAGGGTGCAAATAGGCATTTTTGAATGACTGACTATTTTCTAATGGCGGCAAGTCTGCTTTCACAGCTAATCACAGCTAATAGAACATGATCTACTGTAAAAATTATTATTTTTCACAGTACAAGACACAATAGCCAAGATTTGGAAGCAAACTAAGTGTCCATGAACAGATGAATGGATAAAGAAAATGTGATTCATGTGCACAGTAAAGTACTATTCAGCCATCGAAAAGAATGAGATCCTGTCATTTACAACAACATGGATGGAACTGGAGGTCACTGTGTTAGGTGAAATAAACCAGGCACAGAAAGACAAACTTTGCATGTTCTCACTCATTTGTGCAAGCTAAAAATTAAGAACAACTGAATTCATGGGGAGAATAGAAAGATGGTTACCAGAGGCTAGGAAGGGTAGTGGGGTGGGGCTGGGAGGAATAGCTAATGGATACAAAATATAGTTGGACAGAAGGAGTAAAATCTAATATTTGATAGCACAACAGGGTGACTACAGTCAACAATTTTTTGTATTTTTAAAAGTAACAAAAAGAGTATAATTGGAATGTTTGTAACATAAAGAGATGATAAATGCTTGAGGAGATGGATACCCCATTTACCCTGATGTAATTATTATGCATTGTATGCCTGTATTGAAATATCTCATGTACCCCATAAATATATACACCTATCATGTGCCCATAAAAATTAAATGTTTTGCCGGGCACAGTGGCTCACGCCCGTAATCCCAGTACTTCGGGAGGCTGAGGTGGGCGGATCACGAGGTCAGGAGATCGAGACCATCCTGGCTAACACGGTGAAACCCCATCTCTACTAAAAATACAAAAAATGAGCCGGGTGTGGTGGCGGGCGCCTGTAGTCCTAGCTACTTGGGAGGCTGAGACAGGAGAATTGCTTGAACCCGGGAGGTGAAGCTTGCAGTGAGCCGAGATCGCGCCACTGCACTCCAGCCTGGGTGACAAAGCAAGACTCCATCTCAAAAAAGAAAGCGAAAAGAAAAATTAAACGTTTTAAAAAATATGATTTTCCTATCTTGTGTTTTGGTTAACAAAAGCCACCATCTCTCCTCCCAGTATGAGAACAAACAAAGCACCCAGGACAGCCCTGGAAAGGTAGTATCCAGCCGGCTGGCTGCGTTCCATCCTCCATCTGCAGCCACGGCCCAGGTGCCAAGCTGGCTATGGTGATGAGGTCCGGGGATAATTATGCTGGCAGCGTCCATGCTGCCCCTGGGCTGTGTCACTCCGTCAGCCTGCTCATCCGCTGCCACTCTGTCGGCTCCCCTGCTTGCGATTTCCTGTCCTTGCAGCTTGATCTCACTACAATTTGCACATACTTTCCCGCTCAGGAAGAATGTCTCCATTCAAATCCCTCGCAGGATACAGTCTATTTTGGAAGCCACTTAATGGCAAAGGTGAGCAATGTGCCCAAGCTTGTACTTATTTACAGAGCCCTCCTTCCCACTGTTTTCTCCAAATGCCACCCCTGGCTCAAGGGCTTTGCCTGATCGTCACGGTATTAGCGTTGAACACTATCAAGGCTGCTCTGTGGGCCCAGCACTCCAGCAAATGAATAGAAACATAATGTTCCTGCCAAGCTGATTTATCTATCATTTAACCAGAGTGAGCGAGAGAAGAAACAAACAGTGGGAGAAGATGTCTCACGCACACTGAAGTTAGACCACTGCAAAACTGAGCCAGACGGCTTTGTTGTGCAGCTTTCTGATGCCTCCAGGGGACAGCTGCTTATCGGAGGGAGACTATTATGGGGTGAGTTTTAAGAATTTTTTTCCCCAAAATAAGGCTGCCACTCAATTTGGGACATCCCCCTAAACACAGTCCTGGTCCTGCTCCCGACAGCCTACCCACCTGCCACAATCCGGACCCACAGCTTCTCCTCTGCCACCCCATCTTGTCATTTAACCGGGGAAGAAGGCAGGTTTGGCTGAGTGAGGTGGCTCATGCCTGTAATCCCACTTTGGGAGGCCAAGGCGGGTGGATTACCTGAGGTCGGGAGTTCAAGACCAGCCTGTCCAACATGGAGAAACCACGTCTCTACTAAAAATATAAAATTAGCCAGGCGTGGTGGTGCATGTCTGTAATCTCAGCTACTCAGGAGACTGAGGCAGGAGAATTGCTTGAACCCGGGAGGTGGAGGTTGCAGTGAGCCGAGATGGTGCCACTGTACTCCAGCCTGGGCAACAAGAGTGAAACTCCGTCTCAACAAAAAACAAACAAACAAACAAACACACACACACACACACACACACACACACACACAGGAAGAAGAAGAGCTCTGTAGACCCCGGCAGGAGTATTCATCACGCCTCTGTTGTGAGAGCAGACTTTCTGCATGGTCTGGGCTCCTACATCCTAAACTAAGTCAGTGCTGCTATCTGGCATTGCTTTCCTTGGTTCACAGTTGGGAGACATTAGCACTCTTAGCTGCACTAACTTTTATTCTAAAATAAGTAATGATTACAACTTTGAAATAAGTCTAAGAATGTGGGGGTGGGGGAAGTAAGAAGAGTTTATATCAGGCAACTTCATGCAAGAATAAGGTCTTAGATAAGTCGGGTTTCAAGATCAGTGTCAGGCAGGAGGATCCCCTAAGGGGTGGTGGGGGAATCCTTCCCAGGACCTGGAGGAGCCGACAGGCACTTCATGCCCCAAAGCCACAAGGAAGAGTGTCATCCACAGCATTTTCCCCTGAAAGCAGAGCCAACTACTGATGCTAGAACAGGAGCCTTGGGACAGACCTTCCTGGAGCTTGTTGGAATTCTAGCTTAAGCCCCACAATTTATCCTTTCCTGGCCATGGGTTCATGATTCTCAAGTGGCTTCGTAGCGGGACTCACTGACGTTTCCTATTCTCATGGCCAAACATCCTAGCAGTGATGACTGAAGAGGCAAGATACAAACTGGGGCCAGGGCGTCTGCCAACAGGCAGAATTGTCTTCGCTTTGACAGCCTCTCCTCTTGTCCTCCTCCAGGTTGGGGCTGGAGATGTTCCATGCAGCATCCTGCAAGGGGAAGCAGTTACTTTATGAGAGCGATGCTTCAACCAGCTAACTGGATAGCCCTCCCTTTTGCAGCTGGTGTGGGTGAAGATGTGGAAGCTTGATTCTCCTTGGAAGCTCTGATCACCCCAGCCCAGAACCACTAGTCCCCACTTAGTCTTGGAGAGGAGGCAAGGATGTGTGTCCTCTGCGTGTAGCCTTACGGTCTGCAAATGCTTATGAAAACCTATGAAAGAGAGACTATTCATTTTAGTTCCATTTTAGAGAAAAAAAAAAAAAACCTGAAGCTTAGAACATTTAAGAAATTTTCCCTAAATCCATCTAGCTAGCAAGAAGTGGGGACAAAATGAGAGTCCACTTGGCTCTCAGATCCAGCCTCAAGTACCTTTGAGAGCCACAGGGGTTGCACAACATGGACTTCCTCTGCTAGAGTGGGAAGACAGTCTTTTTTACATGAAGAGATTAGGATAGGCTGGGCGCAGTGGCTCACACCTGTAATCTCAACACTTTGAGAGACAGATCACTTGAGGTCAGGAGTTCAAGACCAGCCTGCCAACATGGTGAAACCTCATCTCTACTAAAAATACAAAAATAGCCAGGTATGGTGGCATGTCCCTGTAATCCCAGCTATTCGGGACCTTGAACCCGGGAGATGGAGATTGCAGTGAGCCAAGATCACGCCACTGCACTCCAGCCTGGGCGACAGTGCAAGACTCTGTCTCAAAAAAAAAAAAAAAAAAAAAAAAACTTAGAATAAATTTTAGGTAATCATTAAGTGTATTTTCATTTACTGACATTGTTTGATCATGTTCTTACACCATCAAGTCTGTTTCATCTCCTCATTAGACTCTAAGATTCTCAAGAATAAGAACCATATTTCCTTTTAAATCATTTTCTTCCTTGCTTCCCTTCACTAAGGTAATTTCTGACTTGATTAAAAAGTGTCCCCAGTCTGTGTCACCTGGCAGGGCACAGCTTAGAATGCAATTGCTGGAATTTAGTTCCATATTTTTTTCATAACTTTTCTATCAAGCCAGCTGCAACTTCAATATGTGATGCATTGCTTCTGAAACCAATGTTTGCTTCTAATCATCCATATATACTTACTACCAAGAAGACTTAGGTACACGCTTAGTCCCTTAGACAAAGGCGGGGTTGGGAGACCCTAAACAAGTATTGTTATCAGAGCTCTGTGTTCTCCATACCCCGTTGGTAAAGGGCATGTGTGCTGTGTGTGGTCAAGACTTCATTCCTAACATTCTCCTGTAGTTCCACTGACTAAACTCTCATGATATTCAGTGTTGTCATCATTTGGAAAACATGTTTATACTCATACTTACGCTCCATCGTCAGCCAAGCCAATTTTGCTGTCTTTATCTTAGAATATGCAACATAAATATTAGGCCAAGCACTTCAAAAAAAGCACACAGAGTACCCTCCCAAAATTCAAAATGCAGATTTTAAAGACAGACTTTAATATATCACATATTATCGGAGAAAGGAAGACATGTCATTATCATGTTAGGGCAGGGTGTCATATTTACAATACACCATCAATAAATCAAAAGAAATTCAGTGATCCCGTGGAGTATTGGTTAAAAATCTTTCTCAAAAGTCATTTCTCAGGAAGTCATTTCACATGGATTATTTTCGTCTTGACTTGCTTCTTACTCAGAGATAGAAATTCTTGCAGGAAACTATTTTAATTGAGAACAAAGGGTATTATTCCCAAAGTTCAAGTAAAATATTTTTAAAAAGAAAAGTAAAAGTGCACGTGAGACTAAAAGGTCATTGTCCCAATTTGAAATAGACTTTCTGCACACATTCTCATTGTCAGGAACCCAGAAATATCAGCCCTGTCGACCAAAAGGAAGGCCCCTTAGTGAGGCAAGCAAATCTCAACATGAGAATACCAAGGTAGGAATGTCCAATTTCACCACAAGTTTCTGGATACTGTCTCAAGGGAAAACTTCAGAGAATTTGCACACCATCTGAATACATAAGAGCAGGCAGATCATCAATGTGGGGCAAATAAATTAGTGATAACTTTCATAGCAACAGAAAAATACTATAGCAGCAGGTCTACATGCTATGAAATGGACATTTGACTAAGCTCCTTTCTCAGGTGTCATCAGAACAATGTTTTTTTCCTCACCTGAGTGTAAATTCCTCTAATATAATTTATATTTATTTGAAAACCTAGACATTTAATAAGATATTTTATTTATTTTTATTTTTTAAAGTCAGGTATATTGATATATAATTAACATACAGTAAAATTTACCCCTTTTAGGTGTACAGTTCCATGAGTTTTGAAAATATAAAGTTCTGTAACCACCACCACAAGTACGTAGAAGGATTCCATTAGCTCAGAATGTTCTCTTAAAGACAGACTTTGATATACCACATATTATCAGTTCTCTTGTGCCTCACTATAGTCAATTCCCCTTCCCCACCTCCAGCCCAACGCAACCAGTGATCTGTATCCTGATTCTGTGTTATCCAGAATGGCACACAAATGGAATCATAAAATACATAGCACTCTGATGTGAATTGACTTTTTAATTTTTTTTTAATCTTTTATTTTAGGTTCAGGGGTACATGTGCAGGTTTGTTACATAGGTAAACTCATGTTATGGGGGTTTGGTGTACAGATTCTTTCATCACCTATGTACTAAGCATAGTACCCAGTAGGCATTTTTTTCTGATCTTCTCTCTCCTCGCAACCTCCACCCTTAAGTAGGCCCAGTGTCTGTTGTTCCCATCTCTATTTCCATGTGTTCTCGTTATTTAGCTCCCACTAATAAGTGAGAAGATGTGGTATTTGATTTTCTGTTCCCACATTAGTTTGCTTAGAATAATGGCCTCCAGTTTCATCCATATTCCTGCAAAGGACATGATCTGATTTTTTTTTTCATGGCTGCATAGTATTCCGTGGTGTACATGCACCATGTCTTATTTATCCAGTGTGCTATTGATGGGCGTTTAGGTTGATTCCATGTCTTGGCTATTGTGAATAGTGCTGCAGTGAACATTTGTGTGCATGTGTCTTTATAGTAGAATGACTTATACTCCTTTTGGTATATACCCAGTAATGGTATTGCTGGGTTGAATGGTAGTTTTATTTTTAGCTCTTTGAGGATTCGCCACACTGTCTTTCACAATTGTTGAACTAATTTATACTCCCACCAACAGTGTTTAAGTGTTCCCTTTTCTCCACAACCTCACCAGCACCTGTTATTTTTTGCCTGTTCAGTAATAGCCATTCTAACAAGTTTGAGATGGCATCTCATTGTGCTCTTGATTTGCGTTACTCTCATGATCAATGATATTGAGCTTTTTTTCATATGCTTGTTGGCTGTGTGTATATCTACTTTTGAAAAGTGTCTGTTCATGTCCTTTGCCCACTTCGTAATGGGGTTACTTATTTTAATCTCATAAATTTGTTTAAATTCCTTATAGATGCATAGTTTCCAAATATTTCCTTGCATTCTGTATAGTTTCCATTTACTCTGTTGATAGTTTCTTTTGCTGTGCAGAAGTTCTTAAGTCTAACTAGATCCATTTGTCAGTTTTTGCTTTTGTTGTGATTGTTTTTGGCATAGAAATATATTTTAAAAGGTAAATTTTTCTCCATGTAAAAGTCAAAGTCTGCTTTTGAGCACTTGCCCAAAAGTCTTGAGTATGATTACATGTAGACGTTTTAAACATGTGTGCCTCGTGGTTCGTTTCTCTCTTGTCAGGTACCTGGTGTCCTACAACAGCTAAATCCTTGGGGTAGAAGGTGACATGGCTTTTCTTTTCTTTTTTTTTTTATGAGATGGAGTTTCACTCTTGTTGCCAAGGCTGGAGTGCAATGGTGCCATCTCGGCTCACCACAACCTCCACCTCCCAGGTTCAAGCGATTCTCCTGCCTCAGCCTCCCAAGTAGCTGGGATTACAGGCACCCACCACCACACCCAGCTAATTTTGTATTTTTAGTAGAGATGAGGTTTCTCCATGTTGGTCAGGCTGGTCTCGAATTCCCGACCTCAGGTGATCCACCCACCTCGGCCTCCCAAAGTGCTAGGATTACAGGCGTGAGCCACCGTGCCCAGCCTGACATGGCTTTTCAAGTGTCTCAGTGTCTCACTCTTCTTCACTGGTGGTGCAATGGAGGTAAAACAGAAACCAACCTGACCTGAATATTCTTGCCACTTGTTGCCGGTGATACCTTCCCAGGAGAAATGGGAGGCAGGGAGTGGGAGAGGAAGGTGGCAACACTGTTTCCAAGCATGAAATGTGCTTCCGGAATCCTCTTTTACCTCGCTATTTCCAAGGCTGAGTCTGGTTAATGAGTCAGTCTGGGGTTTGAGTGTAACTTTGTTTTATAAGACTTGACACCTCAGTTCAGACAATATTTCATTTTTAAAAACAAGCAAAAGGATGACCACTTATTTGTAGGCTCACATTTCTTCTCTGGACTATATATATATATATATATATATATATATATATATATATATATATATATTTTTTTTTTTTTTTTAAAGAAATCCTTCTTGGTTGTGGCTCTAACTAACTGCTCATTAACTTTCTCTTCAGCAAGTACTCATTTATTCCTAATTGGGCCAGGTGCCTCAATTAGGAAATGGCACCACTGGATTTGGAGTTACAGAAAGCTTCTCATTGTACATGTAATGGAAAGATGTGTGTGTCTGAGAAGGGCTTAACTTCACATATCTGAAAGTAAGTGCAATCCCAAGGGATTTGTTTTGCGTGAGTCTCTAGATAGCAAGATGTAAGATGAGAGGGAAAAGAGGGGGATGGTATATTCCCTTGCTTGCAAACAGACTCCTGTGTCTATAGCTAAAATATCGGTATGCACATATCTGTATTCCCCTGAAATAAGTCCTGTAACGAAGGCATCTACCCCTGGAGAGTGGCATATTTAATTAGAATGGATTTATGTGCAGTTGGCTCTCCGGGATAGCCTCCAGAGATGAACATCTTGTTATGGGAAAGCCCAAGAGGTGTAGCCGCCAATCTTCCTCCAGCAGACGTGGCACAATACGAACAGTAAAGTATAGAACGTTCTGCCTATAATGAAGATACAAAGCCAGACTCGCTGGCTGCTGCTCATTTTTTAAGAATTGGCTCTTAGAACCCAAGTGTACCACATTTTGCTGAAATAAGCAACTGACTTCTATAGTCAAAGTTGAAACCCCAAAAACCTATTTCTTGGACTCATAGCTGCTGTCATTTAGCAAGAAGGAAGGGTCTCCATCCTATCCAAATTCCTAGTGTATTGGATTTCTACATATAAGGCATACGCACCCTTTAAATGCAAATAAATATTCCATTCTTTGCTCTATAACCAAAAAGGTACTCTTGACAATGCACCAAATGGGACCATTTTTTTCATTAATTCCTTCTAGAAGACAGTTTTCTTTAAAGATTTTGCGTAGTAGCTTATTGCATAAAGAAAAAACCATAATGATTTTAAAGAGGTAGCATTTTATGTAGTTTCAATTTTTAAAACTAAAACAAAAATATGGGTAAATATGTTATTAAAATAGTAAAGAATGGAATGTCACGATAGCTTATATTTGCACAACTCCTTTCAGTTGACAAAAAAAAAATCTTATAAATCTTTACAGCAGTTCTTTGGATAAGGCAGGGAAGGTATTATTATCACTCACAGCCCACCAGCAACTCTTATTCTCTGCTGAGAAACTGTAAAGTAATTAGAGACTGCAGATTAAAATACCATAATAAAAATTTCAAATTGAATTGGAGATTGTGTTAAACTAAAATGTGACTGAAACTGCCACTGATATATGTAGCTATCATCCTAACTGCTCTGGTCACTTTTATTGGCTAACTAGAAATTTCTAATCAAAAATTTATCTAATCCTTACTAGTGTTCATTTATAAGCAACCACAGAGCCACGTGAGAAGCCTGGGGTCACCTCTGTTATCCAGCATGTGCAATCCATAATAACCCAACAATTTAATAGAAATATTTTCTATCAAAGAAAGTTTACCAGAATGATTTCTGCCTTATATTGTGCACATATACCAGGCCATGCTGGTGATCCTTAGCAATTCTGGTAAGGTTTTAGAAAACTGCTTTATCAGGAGGCTTACCAAATAAACCACAGATTATTTCACAGAACATTTCACAGAACAGCATCAGAAAGAAACTTTCCAGGGTTTAGCAAAAAGATACAGGCAAGGAACACAGGCTGAAATAAGGAATTGGCAGCTCCAGAAGAAGAGGGAGACAGAGAAGCACATGCCCTCCCAGGGTTCATTCTACCTCTTGAACTGCTGGTAGTAAAGTTAATCTGTAAATGCTTTGAGGTGATTAAGAAGCTGGGCATCACTCTAAATGTAAATAAGTCCCGTTTCATTTCCTGGAAGCTGACTCTGATTGGGGCAGTCACCAGCTACTTAGCCTGCCGATAAATTTAAGATCCACAGTCTAGCTCCTAATTAACCTTGTCTTCTTATGAAGTCAAAGCTTAGCAAACTCATTTGTAAATACAAGCACACCCAGAGACCTCATTCTCCACAAGTTCAGGGAGGAAAAGTTGGTTTGTTATACATAGAAAGCCATGTTAAAATCTGAAAGCCTTGTGTTGATGATGGATTGCTTACCAAATATTTGGTAGAAGGTGATGTCATTTCCTTCAACCAACAAATCTGAAAAGTAATTTGAAAGAACATTCTAGCAATTGAATTTTGGTCCTTTTTCTGATAACAAGATTTCTGTCCCTTCAACTTACAGCTTCTGGAAGGAGACAATGAATTATTTATTTCCCACTCACTTGCTCGCTCTCTCTGCGTAGGCCCTGTTCATTCCTCTATCTTATCGTAATAAGCCAGGTCACCTCTGAACTGAACTGAAATCACGACTGTTCAGTGTTGCCTGCTTTATGGGTCTGGATGGCCTACTTTATATTGTTTGTTCTTCACTGAAGTTGGTGTGCTGGTGTAAGATTGTATAACTGCTTTACCCCGGGAACCCTCATAAAAATGAGAGGGTTGGCTCATAAAACTATCCCACTGTGCAAAACTGTAAATAACTTCCTTAGAGGCAGGACAAATTCAAGGCTGCAGAAAGTGCATACTTTCAGGGCCAGAGAACAGAACCATCCCCTCTCAAGTTGGTGCCTCTGCGAGCGGCTGCGGTCCTGCTTGTCCTGGGAATCGCAATGCCAATTGTTCTCTCCATGTTTTGCAACTCAACACCATTTCCTCACGCCTATTTTCCTTGTTTCCGCTTTGCCACTGTTTGCAGACACAGGAAGAGGTCAGTGGGCTCAGATGAGGACAAGGCCCCTGCCGGAGCACAGTCATGTTTATGGGCCGAGTGATGATCCATCACCCTCACTCTGTTTACGTGAGGGATTCCATAAATAAACAGTCCCTGTACAGCTGCTGTTTTTGCTATCTGTTTTCAGGATTCAGAATGGTGTTCTAGTACAACTAGAGTCTGATGCTGGTGTATTGAGCGGAAGCGAATGTGGGGATTCTTTACCAGCCTGTATTGTGTACCACACTTTCATACCCAGTACCCTGAAACACACGGAGTAGCTTCTTCAGCGTCACTAAGAGCAACCGGCACTTCAAGCCAAAGTGGTTTTCTCCCCAGAGTATTTTCTTAGAATGCTCAAAAGAAGAAGTAGAATCCAGGGTGACTTCACAACTGCGGATACAGGGCAGGAAAAGGGTAGCATTTGGAGTCCGGGTGAGGAAAGAAAGTTCTTCCATCTACAGGTAGCATGAATTTAAGCCGCAAATTAATTGCAAGGTACATTTCACCTTCCCTAAAGCAGATACACCTGAGGGAGACCGTGGGCACAGCAGAAGCATAGAGCAGTGGTTCTCAAAGTGGGATCCCCATTAACAACATCTGGGGACTTATTGGAAATGAGAATTCTCAGGCTTATAAATCACAGACTTTGAGAGCAGGGGCTAGAAAAGCATGTTTTTAAAAGCCCTCCAGGCATTTTGATGCAGCTAAAGTTGGAGAACCAGTCCTAGAAACAGCACAGCATACAGCAAGGTTAGAGTCCATCCTCAAACTGCTGTGTGCCAGCCCGGGCTCTGCTGACCTTGACCAAGTGATGTAATTCTTGAAACCTCAGTTTTCATCTGGAAAACAGGCAGTAACAATTAAGCTGTTGGGACCATTTTGTGAATGTATTTTGCCTGTTACACACTTAATATAGTGTCTACTGATTAAAATACTCCACGAATAATAGTTGTCATTGCTTTTATTCCTTTGGAAACACTAGGACTGGAACAAAGTATACACTCAATAAATGAGATGAACAAAGGAATCCATGAATGAATGTCAGGACTCTAGGTGGTTAGCTTGTGTTGAGAAGAAAGATGCTAATGGCACTATATAACTAGACCTCTGCATTTTAGAGAAGCATTTAGAAACATACTGTTCTCTGAGACCTTGTGAACAGCAAATGCATTTAACAAATAGAAAAGGTAGGAAAAGAGGAAGGAAAGAGAAAAGAGAAGGGAATGGAAAGGGTAAGAATTGGGGTAGTTTTTCTGCATCCCATTTTATATGCAGACTGTGGCTCAGAGCATTTATTTCTCCAAGTATCTACCCTAGAGCTGTGAAATCCATAATGCCGTTAGGGATTTATTTCTCTTTCCCTCTACCCTTCTCCCTTCAGTTGAGGGCAACTTGTTCCTGATGAAGAGCTACTTTTTGTTCCCCCAAATTCTGACGCTTGCTGGGGAGGAGTGCTCAAACGGGGAAATTGGCGAGGGGTTCTGAGAGTGCCAGGTAATGGGATGAAAGAGGTGGGGCCCAGGGGCTCTTGAGGGAGCTCCGAGGACAACTGATTGGGATCACAGGGAGCATCTGCTCATGGGATTATAGGGGTGTCTGCTTATGGGATCACAGAGGTTGTTTGATCATGAAATTACGGGGGGTGTCTGATTATGACTTCAGAAAACAATGTCACCACACCCACATCAGGTTTGAAGTTAGATCAGAAAAGGCAAGGAGAGACTGTATTTTGAGAGCAAAAGAAATTTATAGTGACAGGAGACAACCAAATGCCTGGGCAGATAGGGGTGGCTCCTGGTGAAACCCCACCTCCAAGCCGAAGACAGTTTAAAGCCTGAAAGCCAAGCTACCAGTTAAATCCTCAGACTAGGTTGAGAACTTGTCTTCCCATTTGGTGTGTTTTCCTCTGATTGGTCCCCACCCTTCACCTATTTTACATATACCTACTCTTATTTAATTGGTTTTTCTACACTGTCATGCCCACATTTAAGTGGTGCCTTCACTTTAACTTTTTTGGCATATTCACAAACCAATTAGCACGCAATCCCCATTCTGAGTTCATAAAAAGCCCTGGACCCAGCCACACGCAGAACTTTCTCACCTTTGGGTAGGGGGACCACCCCCATGTCCCCTCTCAGCTGAAAGCTGTTTTATCACTCAATAAAATTCTTCTCCACCCTCCTCACCGTTCAATGTCCAGCATATCTTCATTCTTCTTGGGCGTGGTACAGGAGCTTGGGAACTGCTGAACGTAGGTACAAGCTGTAACACAGGCAAGCTGGGGCATGCCAGCATGCAAGCAGGGCCCACGTGGGGCATCACCAGCCAGAAGTCCCTGGCTTGCAAAGTGACCAACAAGAAAAATCATACATCAAAAGCTGAGGCAGCTGCAGAATGTTAAAAGGTGCATGTCAAAACGAGTTTAGCTGAGCATTTCTTCATTTTTCTTCCCATATCAGGCCTATAGGAGGAGTCAAAAAAACAACAAATAAAAGAATCTATATGAATTGTGAGGGAAAGACACTTCTTGAAAGTCAGAAGCATAGCACTCTGAAGGAAGATCCCCGGCTCACCCCAAGGCTTGAGGCAACAGAGCTCCCTGCTTTTAATGACATATTTGCAGCAGGGTCTTTGTGGCTATGACCCACAACCGCCATTCCACCTTCCCCAGCCCTGCCCTGAGTCCAGTTTCTGCAGATAAAGCACCCCAAGAGCCATGACTTCTTTTGATGAGACTTCCTTCATAAAGGATACAACTGTGAGTCAGGATATAAACTCCCTCCAAGTTAGGTTAATTGTAAGCCAACATAGTAGACACAAGATGTTGTTTATCCTCAGTAGAAGGATGTCTTAACTGAATTCCTCCCCTCTGGTCACCACAGATTTTGAGCATCTGAAACTATTTGATCAAACAACTCTTCTACATGAAAGAGATTTCTGCTCTTCTTCCCTGAAAGTTATTTGTCCTCACCTGGCCCCAGTGAGCAATTTCCATCCCTTTGCTCCCACCCCCAGCCCCTATCCAAGATCAACTTTCCTCTAGAAAGGAGGCTACAACCAAGAGCATTTGCATCCTTAGTGCTGAGAATGTTGACGGTGCTCAGCCAGTGGCTGGTTGGGTGGCAGATCCTTAGAGCACAAATCGTTTCTACGGAATGAAAACCCTTTTCTCTTTTCTGAAGTCCTTTTCATTCTTACCTCCAACCCTGCTAATTTTGGTCTTTACTATTCTCTATGCAGAATCATCAAGCGTGGGCTATATAGAAAATCATCCCCTGCTAACCCACCAACGCTATCAGACACAGAATAAGTGCAGGGGGGACCAGAAGGAGGAGTGACAAATTTCTCTTCTAATAGTTATTATCCAATAACAAGGAAGTGAATACTCTAAAGCCAACATAAATAAATGAATAAATACATAAATAAATAACAAGTACCCATGCTCAGCTTAGAAATTCAGCCCTTTATGATAAAAATCCTTTATCAGAGAGCCTCGCATAATATATTTGTGTTTCCCTGTGCTCGCCTCCTCATTTTATTAATATAAATGACCAAAGGCAACATAGAGGAGATATCATTCACTGTACTAAAGTAGGAATCTAGTAAGTGAGAAATTCAGTACTCAATAATTGTTAGCAGTAGAGCTAACTCGTGAGGGGTGGGATCAAGGTCACTGAGGTCTTCTCCCTTCTCACAGTCTTTTAGGGAGTTAGTACTTAACATTTCTTGTGGAAATGCAATTATAATTGAGGAATACATAAGGTGCTCTGTAAATGTAATGTTACCAGGTCAACCATAAGAACCCATATCTCTGAGGAAATAACATCCTCCGTGCCTTCATTATGTCACTGTCATTGGCTGAAACAATAAAAGTAAAACAGTAATTGTGGCTGTGTGGACAGTGATTAAAAACAGGCTCAGCAGTGAAACAAATGTGTGATTGAATGTTGGCTCCACTTATCAGAGCCTCAGTTTTCTCAGCTGGAAACTGGGATAATAATTATTCCCCTCAAAGGGTCACTGTGATGATAAAAGAACACACTGTTGCCCAGCATGGTGGTGCACATCTGCAATGGCAGCTACTCGGGAGGCCAAGGTGGGAGAATCACTTGAGCCCAGGGGTTTGAGGCCAGCCTGGGAAACATAGCAAGAGCCCATCTCTTGAAACAAAAAACATACACACAGACACAACCATGGGAACAACAAACACTGGGGATTCTAAAAAGAGGGAGGAAAAGAGAGGGGCAAGGGTTGAAAAACTACCTATTGGGTACTATGTTCACTGTGTGGGCGATGGGATCAATAGAAGCCCAAACTTCACATCATACAATATTCCCATGTAACAAACCTGCACACATACCCTGTGAATCTAAAATAGAAAATAAAATAACTTTTTTCAAATAATAACAATAAATATTATAAAGAATAAAGAATACACTGTACACCTAGCACAATTCCTGACACCTCGTGAATATTTATTTGTGATTTACTACTTTTGCAGTTTTACAAAGAGCTTGCATTTACACTGTCCTAGTTGAGAGACAAATGAGGAAATTATTTTACAAGTTAAAATAAAAATGAAATCAGATAGATGAGCTGACCTACATTTGATCACACAGCACGTGGTAGAGTCAGCACTTAAGTCCAGGGTTCCTGACTAAAATACATGCACCTTTTACTACATGATTTTTTACCTTCATAATAATATAAAGTGCTTTTATGGTTAACATAAAGTTATCTTCCCTGATTCTAACAGGTATCACATAAAACAGGCGAGGTGGACATTATATTTTTGCAATTTGACAAATGAGAAACCAAGTTAGGGAGGGAAGTTTGCTAAGGATGACACAACTGGTTAGGGAGCAGTGCAGCACCTTCAACCAGGCCTGTAAGCTCTTAATCCTCTTTCCACTAAACCAGCCAACACCTCTGAAAGAAGAAACAAACTCTTCGTTAAACTACGTGGAATCAAATATTTCCATTAGTTACCCGTGTTCTAAAAATGTTCAAACATTAACTGTTTTCAATCTGCAGAAGGTGCTTCCGGCAAATCATTTCAAGGGGAGTTAACCTTCCAGGACTTTTTAAAGGACAATTTATAAACAAAGGCACGGAAAGATAAGCTATCTCATACAAATGTGTCATGCAAGGTTTCGCCTAATCTCTGGCTGTCACTTTGCAGACTGTGGAGTTGGGTTGGAGGCGTGGGGAGGCATGCACAGAAGGAGGCGTGCATCCAGGTGGCCGCTCGCTCAGGAGCCACCTGGGCTGGAGGAGCAGCCTGTCCCCAGGCAGGAGCCCTGGGGACAGGCTACTCATTCAGGTGCCCCAGATAGCCATTATCAGAGGGGTGTGGTGCAGTGGTGCTCTGCATGCAGCCCAGGAGAGGAGACGCTGCGGCACAGCAGGAGCACTCCTAATTCTGTAACCAACAAATGAAAGAGCAGAGAAAAACCAGCAGGAAACCTTTCATTCGGGGTATCTCTAATTTGTGCAATTATATAAATGCCTTATGCTGCTCTCCTTAGATTCGGTGCTGCTGTGGGACACTGAATATTAAAACTGCCTGACAAGGCTCACGTGGAATATTTGTTATGAGTTTATTTGGAAAACTGGGGGTCTGGAGGGTGAAAAGGGCTTTATTAAATTTAAATATACCATAGTTTTGGAATCTTTTATTTCTGTTCCATTGTCTGAATTGGACTGAAGTGGAATGGGACGTTTGTTATTTCTGTACTGCCATCCGGTTTTGCAATGAATTTTATACAGACTGACAATCCTTAGAGTTATTTCCATGCAACAAGCAAGATCAAAGAAGGCAAGTGGATGGTTTGACAATAATGGGGAAGGGAGAAGACTTCACACCCACTGTGGGAAGGATGGGTGGGAGGGGAGGGTTGGTATAGCCAAGCATGACCAAGTGGGAATTGGATCACCTAGCTCTTGGCCACGCTGAAGACAAATAATGGATTCATTCATTATTCCTTCTCCTCCCAAATGATTGTGGCAAAATGTCAAATTGAAGTGAACATAGAGAATAATAATAACAGTCTTTGTAATCGTTTTGTAATGGCAATTACTGGTTCTTTAAAATGTCTCGGCTTGAACCTTATTTTTGTTTGCTAGAAGTGTCAGAACGAAACCTGATGTTCAAGCAAAATAACATCTCACCTTCTAGTGAAAAAAGCCCCCTTGGCTTTGTATATGATTTCTAAACAGTTTCTCTGATGTAGTTCCCTAAAGCGTGAGCCTACGTATAGTTTGCAGGCAGAGAAAAGGGCAAAGTTTGACTGAGGAGAGCAATGGATGGCGAGCTCTCAGAGGCTGGGAGGTGGGGCTGGTGGCCTTGGGACCATGATCAAGGTGGCTGTATAGTGAACATGGTCTGTAGTAAAAGGCTGGGCATGGCCATTTAGATTGGGGTGATTTGGAAACTGGATCGTGGAGAGCATTAAGAGCCAGACAGTGAGTATGAGAAGGTTTGCAATTATTACATTCATGTCCCAAAACATCCGTGAAAAGTTATCTCCATTCTGTAAATGAAGAAATCGTCTCAAAAGGCTAAGGGTTTACACAAACTCATGCAGCAATTTTAGGGTACAACCAGGACTTGAGCCCAGGCCTAAATCCAGTGTTCCTCGAGACCTTGATAAAGGCTGTGACATAGAATGAAATCAATGTTCATTTGAATGAAATGATTTATTCCACAACTCCTCATTGATATGGGAAAGAAAAACCAAATCCCTACCCTGGAGGGGCTCACGGTCTTGGAAAGAACAGAGGAGTAAACTGTCACCCTGTGGTGTGGTCAGCTGAGACCAGGGTCAACCCCAGGACCATGTGGGTTCAGGGAAAGAGACCTCTCAACCTGGGGGAAACTGAGAAAAGGAGGCTTCCAGAGTGGGAGATGCTTGACTAGTCCCAGGGGAACAATGGCTAGCCAGGCTACAAAGTGGGAAGACAGATGAAAACAATTTGTGCAAAGGCGGCAAACGTACTAAACCAGAAGAAGAAATTTGAAGGGGTTTAATATGCCTGGAGTTCAGGGCACCTGAAGGAAAGAAGGGAGAAATGGGGCTGGGAAGGGAAGCAGAGCTGGATCGTGAGATCCTGAAGTGCATGCTGAAGATTTTATGGTAAGGGTGCGGGGGAGTCTGAAATACGGAAAGTGGGACAGTTACATGATTGCATTTGCATTTCTGAGTGATCCCCCTGACACAGAGGTTGCTGCTTGCCTCCTACGCCCCCTGTCTTCCTGCCTCACAGGTTGTGTTGTGTCGCTGTGCTGCCTGTCTGCATCTGTCCCTCCAGAACTGGCCTCCTCCCTCTCTATCCTGTTCTCCACATCACCAGCCTTTGTTACCCTCTGGCTTCTGTTTGGGTCCAGCCTTGGGGAGCACAAGCATCTGGGAGAAGACAGACCCTGGGATATTTCTTTCTATCGCCTCCTGGCCTGGCTGTGGCTGTGTGTCCCTCCTTGTCCACAGCATCTGTCTGTGGGCCCCTCCCATGGCTACAGCTTTTGATGTGTGTCAGTAACATTATTCCCTCTCCCTGCCCCTCAGGCACAGGGATGGCACTAGCGTCCCACACTTACTGGTCCCCTGACAGCGTCACCATTGTTGGTTGGCTCTTTTCACCCTCCCTGTACCTCACTAATGTGCCTCTTTATTGAATTCTTTTGGAATTGAGTATGCCATCTGATTCCTGCATAGACACTTGTCTTGCTACTCCAACCCCAGCTCGAAAGGGCGATCCTGATTAGTCCAAGCCATTCAATATATGGCATTGCTCTGATAACTGTTCTTGGTTCAGGCACTGACAAGAGACTTATTTGGGCTAATCAGCCTAAAGAGGATGATGCATATAATATGCATAGGAGAGATCTCTCTGTCTGTGTCTGTCTCTGTCTCTGTCCCTCTCTCTCCCTTTCTCTTTGCAAAACACGCATTCACTGTTGCCGTGAACTGCCACAGATAGCTCCATAGTGAAACTGAGGCTGAAAAGGGTAGAGTAGGGGCACAAAGTGAGCCGTGGCTCTTCATGGCATCACTCAGACTCAGCTGCCTTGAGCCAGCTCCACCCCCGACTCCCAGGTATTCAACATAATAAATTTGGTGGTGTTGTTTTGTTTTGTTTTGTTTTTGTTTTTGTTTGCTTTTTTTTGAGATGTAGTCTCACTCTGTAGCCCAAGCTGGAGTGCAGTGGCATGATTCGGCTCACTGCAACCTTCACCTCCCAGGTTCAAGCGATTCTCCTGCCTCAGCCTCCTGAGTAGCTGGGACTACAGGTGCATGCTACCACGCCCAGCTAATTTTTGTGCTTTTAGTGGAGACACGGTTTCACCATGTTGGCCAGGCTGGTCTCCAACTCCTGGGCTCGAGTGATCCTTCCTCCTCAGCCTTCCAAAGTACTGGAATTACAGGCGTGAGCCACTGTGTCTGGTCCATAGTAAGTTTTTTATGGTTTAAGTCAGCTTAGGTCAAATAATGCTGTTTATTGTAGCCCAAAGCATTCCCCAACATACTAAGGGGAAAAGGAATAGAAGCAAAAGAGACATAACGGTCTATCACATTTGTCCAAGCCATGAAAAGAAAAAACAAAAGGAAAAGAGAGAGAGCTCATACCTAAACTAGGGCAACTGGCAGTGATGATGGGGAGAAGAGAAACAGCCAAGATTCTCAGTAGATGCACTTTCTGCATGTTGTGTGAATGATGAACACACATCCCCACACCACCAATCCAGAGGAAGGTCAAAATAATAGGCAGAAATCATCATGTTGTCTAAACACTCAGATACGCCATGCTAAAATGTGTTTTAGAGATCAGATGTGAATGTGCTATAAATAATACGAACAATCATGTTTAAGATGATTTTTGTGATTTCAAGTCATTCTAAATGCTGTTTTTTTGTTCTGTCCGATATATATTATTGTCAGCATT
This sequence comes from Homo sapiens, assembly GCF_000001405.40. Classification (NCBI taxonomy): domain Eukaryota; kingdom Metazoa; phylum Chordata; class Mammalia; order Primates; family Hominidae; genus Homo; species Homo sapiens. The sequence goes on along the minus strand of NC_000010.11, from coordinate 35,881,224 downwards.
TGGTAACACATTGTCTTCTCTCAGTTCAATTACTCTACTGCTAAATATTCTAAAGGTACATGGTGCTTTATGTTACAGATGTATTACTTGTCACATGTAATGTGATTTTCCTTTTTTTTTTTTCTTTTGAGACAGTTTCCCACTCTGTTGCCCAGGCTGAAGTGCAGTAGTACAATCTCGGCTCACTGCAGCTTCGATCTCCTGGGCGCAAATGATTCTCCCACCTCAACCTCCCAAGTATCTGGGACTGTAGGCATGTGCCACCATACCCGGCTATTTTTTTTTTATGTGTAGAGACAGAATCTCACTATGTTGCCCAAGCTAATGTTAAACTCCTGGGCTCAAGCAATCCTTCCATCTCAGCCTCCCAAAGGATTACAGGCCTAGGATTACAGGCATGAGCCACCGTGCCCATTTGGAATGTGATTTTCTATAAGTAATGGCCACATTTCACATTTGAAGTCCTCTACAAGTGCAATTGTTTCTGTGTAACCTATGCTAAACCTTTTAAAATGTTTTGTTAAAGTGAAGAATTCCCGTATAAAGCAATCAGACTCTTGAAGTGTGTTCAGATTTATAAAGTCTTGGTTTTACCTAAAAAAATTTCTTAAAATACAACATAGCTTTATAAATCCAGTCTCTTGAAATTGCATTGTTTAATAAGCAAATATTTATTGTTTATATGATATTTTAAGATACTTTCCCAGGTACTCCCAGGTCAAAAAGTCCTCAAATATTTTTTCAACAGTCCAGTTGAAAGAGTACACAAAATAAGCTTCACTAGAAATCAAATAAATATGATAATAGAAGAAAAAGGGATTTAAAAATGTTACAGAGCACAAGATCTCTAGGAGTAGGCAGAGATTACACAGGGTTAAGATAATCAAATATGGCAGATACTATGGATTGACTTGCCCAACGTCTTTTCCAAATGCCTTCTAGAACATTAATGCCACACACACAAACTGCATTTCTCAGACCTCTTGGCAGCTCTGGTTCTAGATATGGTCTAGGTGTTGCCAGACAACTGCACCACCATGAGAAGTTTGCACCATGAAGAAGCAATCATACACACAGTTGGGCTATTTTTGCTGACACAACGGCCCAAGTGTGGGCTTCTGGGAGAATGCTGGTTGAAATTATTGTGTACATTCCCAGTATCGTAGGTGCTAAGTGACATTAGGCTGTGGCAGTAGGGTAAATGTAAAGATGAAAAGGTCATGTGGATATGTGCACTATTGTGGGACAAATTTTAATATTGAACAAAATTCAAGGCAAAAATCATCATGAAAAAACATATATACATATCTCTAGATATAGAATGATATATACTCCTTTAGAGGAAAAAAACAGATCAAAATGTTTTAATAATCACAAACATATATGTATCTGATAATATAGCCTTTATTTATGTTCAATGAGATTTAACATGTTCATCTCAGAAAGGGATAGATCAAGCTGCAAAAAGTTTGCATACATAGAAGATCTAAATAGCATGACTAATAAGTTTGAAATATTAGATAAATGTAGAATCTTAAAAATATAATTTTTTCAAGCACACATAATATTTGTAAAAATTGACCAGGTACTACTCACATAGTAATCTTCAATAAATTTTAGAAAAAGATATAGCATTGCATAAACTGTGTTTATTTATCACATTGACGTAGGAGTAGAAATTATTAACAATTATTAACAAAAGTAGAAATCAACAAAAATGTTAGCTAATAAAAAATTAGAAGTTCATATGTCTGGAAATCAAAACACATGCCACTAAGTACATCTTATATGAAGAAGAAATTATAATTTTGAAATACTAAAACTGAACATCAATAAAAAGTACTTCATGTCAGCACTTTGGGGTGAATATGGTCAAATGTAATTTATGGTATTTTTTAATTTTATGTTTTTATTTCCATAGGTTTTTGGGGAACAAGTGGTGTTCGGCCACATGAATAAGTTCTTTAGTGGTGATTTCTGAGATTTCGGTGCACCCATCACCCAAGCAGTATACACCGTACCCAATTTGTAGTCTTTCATCCTGCAACCCCCTCCACCCTTTCCCCAGAGCCCCCAAAGTTCACTGTATCATTCTTATGCCTTTGCATCCTCATAGCCTAGCTCCCACTTATGAATGAGAACATGCAATGTTTGGTTTTTCATTCCTGAGTTACTTCACTTAGAATAACAGTCCCAGTGCCATTCAGGTTGCTGCAAATGCTATTATTTCATTCCTTTACATGGCTGAGTAGTATTCCATGGTGTGTGTGTGTATATATATATATATATATATATATACCACAATTTCTTTATCCACTCATTGATTGATGGGCATTTGTGCTGGTTCCATATTTTTGCAATTGTGAACTGTGCTGCTGTAAACATGCATGTGCATTATCTTTTTCATATAATGACTTCTTTTCCTTTGGGTAGATACCCACTAGTGGGATTGCTGGATCGAATGGTAGTTCTACTTTTAGTTCTTTAAGGAATCCCCATACTGTTTTCCATAGTGGTTGTACTAGCTTATGTTCCCACCAGCAGTGTAATACAGTATATCTTTTTTTTTTTTTTTTTTTTGGGTGGGGGACAGAGTTTTGCTCTTGTCGTCCGGGTTGGAGTGCAATGGCGTGATCTCAGCTCACTGCAACCTCCACCTCCCGGGTTCAAGCGATTCTCCTACCTCAGCCTCCCAAGTAGCTGGGATTATAGGCTCCCATCACCTAGCCCAGCTAATTTTTGTATTTTTAGTAGAGATAAGGTTTCACCATGTTGGCCAGGCTGGTTTCAAACTCTTGACCTCAGGTGATCTGCCTGCCTTGGCCTCCCAAAGTACTGGGATTACAGGTGTGAGCCACCGTGCCCAGCCAATATGGTATAATTTTAAAAGGCTAGAAGAGGGGATTTTGAATGTTTGCAACAAAAAGAAAGGATAAATGTTTGAGGGGATAGATATGCTAATTATCCTGTTTTAATCATTACACAATGTATACACATCAAAATATTATTCTGTATCCCATAAATATGTACAATTATTATATGCCAAATAAAAGTAAAGGGGAAAATACTTCCCAACAATACGTATGTGATAAAACAAATGCAATACTCAGAAGGAAATTTGTAATTCCAGATATATTTATCAGAAAACATGTGAGATCAAAAACAAATCACCTAAGCCTGTGCCTAAATGCAGAGCTTATTTGCACTAACAGCTTTTCTCTGTAGCTTTAATTCAATGCAGGAAGATTTGAGGAACCACGCTGCCTCCTTACTTTCTCCTTATCGAAGATGTCCATTTCTATTCTTCTGGGCACTGGCAGAATCATGTTGCTGGGAGTATATATTTTCCACCATTCTATCAGGGCTCAGTGATATGACTGATTTCACTGGCACCCCACATCTACTCAGTGACATGGCAGCAGCTGCTCGTTTCAGTGCCAGCCCACAGGTTTCCACTGCTGACTCCACAGGGTCCTTGCCCCCAGGCATCTGTGTCAGACCCTGCATGCAATCACCTGGCTCCCCTCTTCCCATGCAACCCCAGACAAGCAAGACCTACAGAGACTCCTCAGGCCTTTCTATTCCCGTGGTCCTAAATATTTTCATTCCCCAAATGTTGATTTGGAAATACAGGTGCTCCTTGGGTTACAATGGGGTAACCCCTGATAAACTCATTTTAAGTTGAAAATACAGTAAGTTGAAACGCCTCTAATACACCTAAGCTACCGAACAGCAGGGCTTAGCCTAGCTAGCCTACCTTAAACGTGCTCAGAACACTTACAGTAGCCTGCAGTTGGGCAAAATCATCTTGCACAGAGCCTATTTTATACTGAAGTGTTGAATTTCTCATGTAATTTTTTGAATATTGTATTGAAAGTAAGAAACAAAGTGGTTTTGTGGGTACTTGAACAATTTCTGCTATATTGATAATTAGCAGAATAAATTAGTTACCATTTGTGTGAAATTTTCTTATTTAAGAATTAAAATGTAGGCCGGGTATGGTGACTCATGTCTATAATCCCAGCACTTTGAGAGGCGAAGGCGGGTTGATCACTCAAGGTCAGGAGTTTGAGACCAGCCTGGTAAATATGGCAAAACCCTATCTCTACTAAAAATACAAACAGTAGCCAGGCGTGGTGGTGGGTGCCTGTAATCCCAGCTACTTGGGAGGCTGAGGCAAAAGAATAGCTTGAACCTGGGAGGTAGAGATTGCAGTGAACTGATACTGTGCCACTGCACTCCAGCCTGGGCGACAAGAGCAAAACTTTGTTTCAAAAAAAAAAAAAACTAAAAAGTATATGAAACGTAAAACAGGACTAACTGCTTTGGCTATACACACACACACACACACACACACACACACACAGTATGTACATATATATGCATATACATACACACACACAGAGAGAACACTTAGTCCTGTATTGCTCCAGGTTCTGAGGATACAGCAAAGAACCAAAATGACAAATATCCCTGCACTGGAACCTTACAATGTAGTTGAGGGAAAGGCAATAAAATAAATAAATATATTGTATGATGGTGCTGAGGAGAAAAGTAAAGCGAGTCATGGACAAAAGGAGAGCGGGAGGTAGGTGTTAATGATTAAAGGATGGATTTAGAGCCTACATCTGACTCCAATGAGGAAAAGGAGATGGTATCACCATCCTCTAGTCAACCATTACCAGAACTTTTTTCACTTCCTTTTCTTCATCCCTGATCTTATCAAAGTAGCCACCAATTTCTTTAGTGTTTTCATTCCTAAAGTCTCTGTCATCCACGGCTCCTCCCCATTCCTGTATGCAGACATCCTAGTCCTCCCTCCTCCCGCCAAGGTCCCGCTCACATCTTTCCCCTTCCAGGAATTCTCCCAAGCTCCTTGGCCTGAACTGCACTCTGTGTTGTTTAATTCTCAGCACCTCTCTGTGGGCCACTTAGCACTGGCTGCCATAGCTGTGTAAGTTCCAATGAAAATCCCAATTATAATGCTTGTGGGATGAAACTTTCTCTGTGTCAAAGCACATGAATAATTAGAAAAAAAACAGTAGAAACTGTCGAAGCTGTGCTGCAAAGGCCTGCAGCTGGCATGACAAAATGCTGCAGAGAGCCTCCTGGGGATGGGAGAAATTTCACTGTGTAGCCTCTGAAGCCTCAGCTTCTTCATCAATAAAATGGGAGTGAATAATCCGTACTTCATAGCATTGTTGAAATGACTGAGTGGAATTAAGTAGTCACCCTGTGCCTGGCACATAGTAAACCAATAAGCCTTTGTAGGGCCATCATCACAGCAAACGTGAGCTTTCTCTTCTGCTTCTTCTCTCCCTGAGTTCAGACTCCCAGATCTACCCCAAACTCCCTCCCTCCACCCTTCTCTATCTTAAAGTTTACAAAGCAAGTCTGCTATTTGTATTTATACTTGACCAGTAGTGTGATTTTATTTAGTGGGCATAAATTTCAGTGTGTCCCCTCAACCAGGATTTGCATTTTAAAACTTCAGTCTGGTTTGGGAAAAGTTCCCAGCCTCATCCAGTAGGCTGGGAGAAGTGTGGCCAGTTAGGGGGTTTTGGAGTCTGCCTCCAGAACGTCTCCTTCTGGCTTTGCTGAGATGAATGAATTAACAGCTTGCTCAATTGCAGCTGTGGAAAACTGCCTTCATGGTCAATGACATTTTCCAGAACCTAACATTTGCCCTCCCCCACTCCAAACTCCCCTCACGTCTCCCCTCCTGCCATGATTCAGCTGAATGCAAGTTTCAGTTCACAGCCTCCCAGGAGAGGCCTCAGCACCCTGAAGAGAGGCGCTCCCTTTTGAGAAATGCCACACAGAGTTGCACATTCTTTCCCCGGGAAGGACCGCCTACAAGGCAAGCGTCTCTATATAGGGCTGTTATAAATAGAATCCTAATCTTCACAGTTAAGTCTCTCAGCATAAATGAATATTCGACATCAAGTTCATCAATCCCCTTTTTGTTGTGAATTTGGGTCACTGGAACACAAGACCCAGAAGCCAACAACTCCCACTGGAGCAACTACCAAGGGAGGCCCTTAATCTGCTCATGGTCACAGCCAGCCCCTGGATGGGCCTTCAGGGATGCCAGCAATGAGCACCGAATCTCGCTAGGACCCCATATCCTTACTATGACAGTAAGATGATGAAATCCATTTCGGATCCATTACCTAACAGAGTCTTATCTCCCACTCTGAATACAAGCTCTTTCTGGGAAAAACAAGCTCTCTATAAAAGGTGCATCCTGCCAGTTCTAGCACCTTGTACATGACATGGATTTCATTCTCACATTAATTAATCAAACATACCAAGTACAAAGGCAGGCTCTCCCCACGCTCCACATTCCATCATGCATTGTCTGTGGATGGGCCCCTGGTGGGAGGGTGGCGATCTCATGGCATCTTCAACCCTGTAGCTTTAGAGTCCTACATGTGACTGAAATCGAACAACATCACCCCATGGCTGACTGGGGAGGGATTTGAATGTTAACAACAACAGCCAAAAAAAAAAAAAAAAGCACAATAACGTTCTGAGATTCATGTCTAGTGTGTTTTATAAAAAGGGACAAGACTTTCCTGAAAAGTGTCCACCACTCCTGCAAGCTTTCCCTTATACATGACTGATTGGAAACATGAGGTTGTAAATTACTTCAAGCTGGTGGGGCCTGTTCTTAGGGATGCCAATTAGCATGGACTCTAGATTGACAAGGCTGAGACCTGTGTGTGTCATTCAACTCTCTGTGAAGCTACCAGTGACGAAACTGATCCTCTGAGGCAAAGTCCCTCATCAATGGGATTATTAGCTACATGGGCAAGAAAACGAGAGTGCTTAGTGAAAATGAAGAAAAAAAATGTTTTTAAGAAAAATCACCTGAGCAATAGAATTTCTTGTTTTGTTTTGGCAGCTTTAACAATGACTGTAACAAGCAGCCAGCCACCATGCCGAGTTCTTTTCAGCTGCATCTAATCTCACACCTGTTCATACTCATTAATCCTTAACGTCTGATAGCATTTCCATAATTTCCGTGGAAAGGGGCATTTTCTCATCTTAGTAATTAACTGTGCACTGCATGCAGCTGAAGAGAAAACCTAGCAAGTGCCCAGGATTGATAAGCAGGGTCCTGACTGAGTTGCAGGGTCCAGGCTGGGCATGGGGTAGGTGCTGAGGTCTGTGGGACACACAGAGGCAGAAAGGCCTGTTCTCTCCCTGAGCCCCCCGAGGCTGCAGGTCAGCAGCACTGTTCACTGAACCAACACCAGGAGCTCTCTCTTCAACTAATCAAATGCATTCTTATCACACGTTTGATATTCTTTATATACACAATGTATTAGTCTGTTCTCATGCTGCTAATAAAAACATACCCAAGACTGGGTAATTTACAAAGGAAAGAGATTTAATGGACTCACAGCTCCACATGGCTGGGGAGGCCTCATACTCATGGCACAAGGCAAAAGAGGAGCAAAGTCACGTTTTACATGGTGGCAGGCAAGAGAGCTTGTGCAGGGGAACTCCCGTTTATAAAACCATCAGATCTCGTGAGATTTATTCACTATCACAAGAACAGCCTGGGAAAGACCCACCCCCATGATTCAATTACCTCCCACTGAGTCCTCCCATGACATGTGGGAATTATGGGAGCTACAATTCAAGATGAGATTTGGGTGGGGACACAACCAGACCATATCAAATGACATCCCATTATTTAGTTTTCTCCCTTGAAGCCTAAGCCACATGGACAGTAATCATGTTTAGTACAGTATCCAAATTAACTGGAATTTGAAGATTTCCAATGACCTGCACTGTCTATTAAATACTTATATTAGAATTACTAGAATTATATAGGAAGTTGCAAAGATATTCACAGACATGTGGGGTTTTCTTGGGGGGGGAGCAGTACAGAGGCAATAAAATTATTCCTGCAATGCCCTTCTTACAATTACTCTGCCTCTGTCACAGCGTGTTTTTTTAAGAATCTATTTTGTTAGAATGGCACTCTGATATATTTCTTTGCCAGTGATCTTGTAGCCCCTGTTGGTGGTGACTTCTGGAGAAGGTCTGTGGTCTATATGAACGTCGGAAACCTTCCAGGCATGGGCTGTGGCTCAGCGAATGTCATCAGTGCCTGACGCTGGAGACAAGCCTCTGCTGAGGCTCTGTGTCATGACAGGCTCCGTCTTCTCTCCCTTTTCTGAGTCTTTCTTACCTGAAACAGAGAAAAGCAGAAAATACATGCGTCCAGGGGAGCAATTTTGGTCACCATTGGGGAAGTTTTGCCAGTGCTGACGCCTGATTCTGAGAAAACGGGCACTCCATTTTTGGCTTAGAGCCACAGTTGGCCTCCTTCCTTGAATCCCCCGCTGAGGGAGACAGCTGGGGAGAGACCAGCCTTCCCAGCCAGCTGGTCGTGGAAACTGTGCTCTGAACCAGCCCACAAAGCTCCTCACCATCCAAGGGAAATGCTACTCTTAATTTCCCACCTTAGATGTGTCTACCTGCATGTCTGTCTTCAAGACTTAAGGACTGTCCTGGGGAGTGGAGGGCTTTGCCATGCCTCACACTGCATCCTGGGATTGTGTACGAGGCCTGGCATGTCAGAGGCATGTCGTGGATGACTTTATAATAAACAAGCAGACGTGTGGGTCTATAGACTCCCTTCCCCTGCGTCCTCTGGCCCTCAGACTTCACTTGGCCTTTTACGATTCTCCTTCCCCTCCATTCCCCACATGGATCTGATTTTACCTGGATGAAAACGGTGGGGACAAAGCAGAAAGCACCATGGGATCTCATGAACCTCTTCGTGCTGGCCCCAACAAACACAAATAGTACAGAGAGCAGTCCTCACTCCCAGATGTACTGATCTGTGATCACCCCCAGGGCACAGGTCTCCCGACCTGCCAAGGTGTGACCCACACCAAACTAGACCCTACTACAAACTGACCACAGAGAACCAGACAGAGACAGTGGGCTGATTATTCGCATATCATTTTCCTTCCTTCCTTCCTTCCTTCCTTCCTTCCTTCCTTCCTTCCTTCCTTCCTTCCTTCCTTCTTCCCTTCCCTGTTACTGAACCAGTCACCAGATTTCAAGGGAAAAAAGTTGGGTCTCTCCTCATTTTACCAAGTGCTCCCAAATTTAACCCATTTAATCTGGTCCAAAACAAGACACTGACCTGCAACACTTGTGGGTAGAGACCCTCCAGAGGGCGGAGCTTATTGCTCTCCCGCACACTCACTGGCCCTGTGACTCTGAATATCTCACTCAACCAAGTTTTCTCATTTTTTGAAAGTGAGATGACAGCATGTGCCCTTGTTTCCTCCTGGGTCCCTCTGGGGATCCCAGGAAACCGCATGTGTGGGGCTTTGCAAATGCAAATTCCTACCCTGAGGTAGTAGTAATTGTCTCTCAGCTGGTAAAGGTTTGGAATTTTGTAGTAAATTAGAGGGGAAACTGTCCTGCCACCTTTTTTTTTTTATTTAGAGACAGGGTCTCACTCTGTTGCCCAGGCTGAAGTGCAGTGGCACAAACATCACTCACTGCCATCGTGAACTCCTCGGCACAAGCAATCCTCCCACCTCAGCTTCCTGAGTAGCTGGACAGGTGCATGCCACCATGCCCAGCTATTTCTTTAAAAATTTTTGTACAGTTGGGGGTCTCACTATGTTACCCAGGCTGGTCTCAAACTCCTGACCTCAATCAATCCTCCCACCTCAGCCTCCCAAAGTGTTGGAATTACAGGCGTGAGCCACGACAACCAGCCCAGAGAGCTCTTTCTAAAACATAATTCAATTTATGACATTTCCTAATTAAGACCTATTTATGGGACATGCCTCCCCCAGTCCAAATACAGACAAAAAAATAGATTAAGTAGAAACACAGAGCACTGAAGGCATAGTGAGACTCAAATAACAAGATAAATCTCCCCATGAAACAGAAACAGGAGAGAAATGCAAGTCAGTGGGCTCTGCTGGAGCTGGGGGCCTGCTAGACGGCTGTTCTGGAAGGAGGCTGTGGCAGTCTGCAGTTTGGTTCCAGTGGGGTAAAGAGGATACATTTACTCTACTCAACAGTATGGGACTAGCATCACTCACCAATTCCCACCCCCGCTCCCAATACCCATCCATAAAAGAAATTAAAAGCTGTGGCTAACCCTCCCCTGGGAGCTAGAGTTTTGAATAAGCTACAAACCTAGGAAGGAAAAAGAAGACAGAAACACAGTGTCCGATCAAGACAGGAAGGAAGCCACAGTATATCCCCAAAGCCACTGTGGGACAGGAGCACTGCAGCACTGCCAGGTTTAGGGCAGGGAGTCCTGAACAGCTGCACAAAGGTGACCACAAAACCCCCGGCCCAGGAGGGGTGAACACAGAAGGAAACAGAAAGAAGAAAAACAAAAACAAAAGCCTCCCACTCAAAATAAGCCTGCAAAGCAAAATTCCAAAACAGAGGAAGAAATCTAATACTGAGAAAGACAGCCAACAAAATCAACCTTCAAAACACGAATATGCCCTAGAGGAAATTAAGTGTGTGGATCCAGCTGGCAAAACTTTAAAATAGGTATGTTCAGTTGCCCAATGAGATAAATGAATAACTTCCATTTTAAAAGTGTGAGAAATTAAAATAAAAGCAGATGTAAATGAAAAAAAATGAAGGCATTGAGTTAAAAAAACAAAACTTAATGAATGATATATGCCCAGATCTGACACAGAGAGAAGCGAAAAACTGCTAGGAATCTGCCCGGAACACAGTACGGAAAGATTATACAAATTAACATCCACAGAGAATGACTGACATGATCTAAGGGTCCAACAGGAATTCTCTAATAGGGAAACAGACAAAATGGTGAAGAAGCATTATTCAGAATTTAAAATTTTCCAGATTTGAAGAAAGACATGAATCCTCAGATGGACAGTACACCCCAACTACCCATCAGGATAAATAATGATAAAGCCATTCCCAGAACTGTCACAGTAAAACTGCAGAACATGAGGAATAAAAAGAAAATGTTTACAGCTACCAGAGAGAAAAGACAGATTATCTGCAAAGGAACTACAGTTAGAACAACATTGGAACTTCTCATCAGCAACAATAAATGATGGAAGACAATGAAATTATATTTTCAACTTGATAAGAAAAATTAGTAACTCTCAACCTCAAGTTTTATCCACAGATAAACTATCAATTCAAGACTCATGGAAGGGAAATCTGTGTTTAGAAAAAACAAGAGTTAAATACCCACAGACCCTCGCTAGGGAAATAATTAAAGGATTATTTCAGGGGGAAAAAAAAGTAAACTCAGAGATATATGTATATAGAATTTTAAAAGTAAAAGTGATCAGGGAAAAGGTAAAATGTTTTAGTAAACGTATTTAACTATTAAGTGAAAAAGAATGTTTTTTAAAAAAGAAACTAAAACCAATGTTAAGATGGATACAATATTCCATGGATGGTTGATATACGCCCATGTCACATTCAGGGGCAGGAAAGAAATAATATGTTAGAAAAATGTACAGCTAAGGGTGTTGGTTAAAAAGTTAAAAATAACTGAAAAACGGAAACTCGATGTGTAGCTTCCAAATCAGTACAGATTAAAAGGGGGGACTCTAGAAAACTTTGTCCACCCAATAGAGAGCAGAAAAGTGAAAACAAAAAGGCAGATAAAGATGGTATAAAGAACATTCAAGCCGGGTGCAGTGGCACATGCCTGTAATCTCAACACTTTGGGAGGCCGAGGCGAGTGGATCACTTGATGTCAGGAATCTGAGACCAGCCTGGCCAACATAGTGAAACCCTGTCTCTACTAAAAATACAAAAATTAGCCGGGTGTGGTGGTACATGCCTGGAATCCCAGATACTCAGGAGGCTGAAGTAGGAAAATCACTTGAACCAGGGAGGCAGAGGTTGCAGTGAGTCAAGATTGCATCAGTGCACTCCAGCCCAGGCTACATAACAAGACTCTGTCTCAAAAAAAAAAAAAAAAAAGAAAAAGAAAATTCAAAATAGGATGGTAAAAATTGTATCAGTAAGTACATTAAATGTAAAAGGATTTATCCATATATTCAAAGATAGAGATTATCTAATGATTATAAAAATAGGTCAGTGGTGGTGGCTCACACCTATAATCCCAGCACTTTGGGAAGCCAAGACAGGAGGATCCCTTGAGGCCAGGAGTTCGAAACCAGACTGGGAGACATAGCAAGACTTCCATCTCTACAAAAAATTAAAAATTTATTGGATGTGGTGGTGCACAGCTGTGTCCCAGCTGTTCAGGAGGATGAGGCAGGAGGATGGAGGATAGCTTGAGCCCAGGAGGTAGAGGATACTATGAGCTATGATCACACCACTGCACTCCAAACTGGGCAAATGGTAAGACCCTGTTTTTGAAAATAAAATAAAATAAAATAAAAACTCCTGCTATATGCTACTTGTACGAGAACATCTAAAACAAAAGATCCTACAGGATTAAAAATAAAAGAGAAAAAATATGCCAGGCAAACACATATGTGAAAGACAAACCTAATACAGCAATGTTAATACCAGGCAAACACATATGTGAAAGACAAACCTAATACAGCAATGTTAATACCAGGCAAAACATGAATTAAGAAAAAATGAGTAAGAAGCGATAGAAGGGGGATAGAAAAGAATGGCTGTATATAATTCTGCACTCAAAGAACTAGCAATACACATTCTTTTTACATCAAATATTTTTTAACAGTGATATTTTAGGTCACAAAGGAAACCTCAATGAAGATCAAAGATTTAGTATAATATAAACCGCATTTTCTCATCAAAATGTAATCAAATTTTGTAAAAATATACAAAGATAGCACCAAAAAATGTGTGATTAAAGACATTAAGTGCCCAAAATTAACTCACAAGTAAAACAGAAATTCACAATGAAAACTAGTACTGTTTAGAACTAAACAATAGTAATGAATTAACTACATATAAAAACTTATGAGATGAAGCCATAAAAGTATTTAAGTATAAAATTATAATGTTAAATGTATTAATGTATAAAACATGTAAGATGAAATATAGATGGGTTAAGCATTCAATTTAGATGCTTGGTGCGAAGACATATATAAGAAGAAGGAGGGAAATAATAAAGATAAGAAAGAAATATAATAAAAGCAAAAGAGTAACATAAGGTAATGTAAAGCTGATTATTTGAAAATGATAATGACAAATCACTTTCAAGACTGGTTAAGAAAAAATTAGAAACACGTATTAATAATATTAAGAATAAAAGGGAGCCATGATTACAGGCATAAAAATTTTAACTGAGAGAATTCAATAAATAATTTTATGAAAATAAATTTTAAAACTTGATAAAATAACTCTTTAGAAAATAAAAATTACCAATTGTATTCTGCTGTTCTCACATTGCTATAAACACCTGAAACTAAACCATTCATGAGAACTCTTCCTCCATGAGCCAATCACCTCCCACCAGGCCCCACCTCCAACACTGGAGATTCCATTTCAACATGAGATTTGGTGGGGATACAGATCCAAACCATAACACCAATATTGACTATAGAAGAAATAGATAACTGAATAAATCAATAATCCATTTTAAAATTAAATCAGTAGTCAAATCTTCATCTCCAAGAGTCATCAGACCCAGAGCATTTTAAAGGAGAGTTTTACCAAACATTGGTGGAATAGATAATTTCCCTTGAACTGTTGCTGAGTTGGAAGAGAAGAAAAAGGTACTCATTTTGGGATATTAGTTAAAACCTTGATACCCAAAAAAGACAAGATCAAGCCATAGAAGAAAGTTACAGATAAATCTTGTGTGTGTATATACATGTAAAAATCCTTAAAAATTAATTTTTAAAAAGCAAATCAAATTTAGATGTTTGTAAAAGTAATACACCATGTAACAATATAATTGTGACCAAGTAAAGTATATAAGGATTTTAAGAATATTTCAACATCAGAAAAAATCTATTAAAATAATACAGCATAGTCAGAGATTGAAGGGAAAAAAATCAAACTGTCAATAAATGGAGAAAGAACACTAGATGGGCCGGGCGCAGTGGCTCACGCCTGTAATCCCAGCACTTTGAGAGGCCAAGGCAGGTGGATCACCTGAGGTCAAGAGTTCCAGACCAGCCTGGCCAACATGGTGAAACCCCACCTCTACTAAAAATACAAAAATTAGCCAGGCATGGTGGCACGCGCCTGTAATCCCAGCTGCTCAGGAGGCTGAGGCAGGTGAATAGCTTGAACCCGGGGGGCAGAGGTTGCAGTGAGCCGAGATCATGCCACTGCACTCTATCCTTGGTGACAGAGTGAGACTCCGTCTCAGACAAAAAAAAAAAAAAAAAAAAAACTAGGTGAAATTCAACATCTTTTCATTATTAAAATATATTTGAAAACTAGGTAGGAATAGGAAAATTATTTATTTATTAATTTATTTTTTTATTATACTTTAAGTTCTAGGGTACATGTGCACAACGTGCAGGTTTGTTACATATGTATACATGTGCCTTGTTGGTGTGCTGCACCCATTAACTCGTCATTTACATTAGGTATATCTCCTAATGCTATCCCTCCCCACTCCCCACACCCCACAACAGGCCCTGGTGTGTGATGCTCCCCATCCTGTGTCCAAGTGTTCTCATTGTTCAATTCCTACCTATGAGTGAGAACATGCAGTGTTTGCTTTTCTGTCCTTGTGATAGTTTGCTCAGAGTGATGGTTTCCAGCTTCATCCATGTCCCTACAAAGGACATGAACTCATCCTTTTTTATGGCTGCATAGTATTCATTGGTGTACATGTGCCACATTTTCTTAATTCAGTCTATCATTGATGGGCATTTGGGTTTGTTCCAAGTCTTTGCTATTGTGAATAATGCCGCAATAAACATACGTGTGCATGTGTCTTTATAGCAGCATGATTTATAATCCTTTGGGTATATACCCAGTAATGGGATGGCTGGGTCAAATGGTATTACTAGTTCTCGATCCTTGAGGAATTGCCACACTGTCTTCCACAATGGTTGAACTAGTTTACACTCCCACCAACAGTGTAAAACTGTTCAGTAATAGGAAAATTCTTAAACTAAAATACCTCACCACAAACTTATATAAATGTTGCACTTCGGTTTGAAATTTAGAAAATTTTTATGGAAGTCAAGAACTTTTTAGTTTCCAGTTACCACAATTTGTATTTAACATTACATTGAATGCCCTATTCAATTCAATAGGACATGAAAAATAAATAATAAGTATTAAAATTAAAAAGAAAAAGACAAAATTTGCCTTTATTTGTAGGTGCTATTATTGTTCACAGAGGAAATCCAAAAGACTAGAGTTATTATTGTAATCCTTTTAATATAATATAGAAATTTTGCAATAATATAGGTACATTGACAACCCTTCTCAGCTTTGATCCTATAGTTGTTTTATATATATATCTATATATGGATTTATAAACGACCCAAGTCATTCTTACACTTTATGCCTTAAATAAGAATACATACTATCAAGTAATTAAGAGGAAAATATAGACGTGAAAATTTATCTATTATTTTAACTATTTCTCATGTTCTTCTCTCCTTCAGAAAGATCTGGTATCATTTCCTTTAAGCATGGCAAACTTCCTTAACATTTTTATAACTGAAATATTTCTTGAAATTTAGCATTGCTAGTTCTGCTGGAAATAAACTCCCTTCATTTCTTTCATCTGAAAATGTTTTATCTTGTTATTATTCCTATTAAGAATATTTTATCTGGATATAAAATTCTGGGTTGACAGATTTTGTCGTTTTCTTTCAGCACCTTACATATGTTATTTCACTAACTTCTGGACTCCATTGTTTGAGGAAGTCATCAGTCATTTGAATAATTGCTTCCTTATATACAACGTATCATTTTTCGCTGTTTTGAAGACTTTCCCTTCATCTTTGGTTTTCATCAGCTTGACTGTAATGTGCTTGGGCATGTTTTTCTGTCAATTTATCCTACGATTTATTGAAATTCTTGAAACTGTAAATTTATATCTTTTATCAAATTTGGAAACTTTTATAGCATTATGATTTTTTTTTTTTTTTTTTGAGACAGGCTCTCACTCTGTCACCCAGAGCAATCACAGCTCACTGCAGCCTCAACCTCCCAGGTTCAGGTGATTTTCCCACCTCAGCCTCCTGAGTAGCTGGGACTACAGACATGCGCCACCATGCCCGGCTAATTTTTTGCATTTTTGTTAGAGACTGGGTCTCGCCATGTTGGCTAGGCTGGTCTTAAACTCCTGAGCTCAAGCAATCCACCCATCTCAGCCTCCCAAAGTTCTGCAATTACAGGCATGAGCAAACATACCCAGCACATTGTCTTTAACTAATTTTTTCTGTCCATTATCTCTCTCCTATACTTCTGGGACCCCAGTTATGCATATGTTAGATAGCATTATTTCTCCACAGTTCTCTGGGTCTCTATTCATTTTTTCCTCATCTTTTTTCTCTCTGTTCTTCATATTGCATAGTTTCTATTGATTGATCATTAAGATAACAATTATCTTTTTTTATTATAATTATACTTTAAGTTTCAGGGTACATGTGCACAATGTGCAGGTTAGTTACATATGTATACATGTGCCATGCTGGTGCACTGCACCCACTAACTCGTCATCTAGCATTAGGTATATCTCCTAATACTATCTCTCCCCCCTCCCCCCACCCCACAACAGTCCCCAGAGTGTGATGTTCCCCTTCCTGTGTCCATGTGTTCTCATTGTTCAATTCCCACCTATGAGTGAGAATATGCGGTGTTTGGTTTTTTGTTCTTGCAATGGTTTACTGAGAATGATGATTTCCAATTTCATCCATGTCCCTACAAAGGACGTGAACTCATCCTTTTTTATGGCTGCATAGTATTCCATGGTGTATATGTGCCACATTTTCTTAATCCAGTCTATCATTGTTGGACATTTGGATTGGTTCCAAGTCTTTGCTGTTGTGAATAGTGCTGCAATAAACATACGTGTGCATGTGTCTTTATAGCAGCATGATTTATAGTCCTTTGGGTATATACCCAGTAATGGGATGGCTGGGTCAAATGGTATTTCTAGTTCTAGATCCTTGAGGAATCGCCACACTGTCTTCCACAATGGTTGAACTAGTTTACAGTCCCACCAACAGTGTAAAAGTGTTCCTATTTCTCCACATGCTCTCCAGCACCTGTTGTTTCCTGACTTTTTAATGACTGCCATTCTAACTGGCGTGAGATGGTATCTCATTATGGTTTTGATTTGCATTTCTCTGATGGCCAGTGATGGTGAGCGTTTTTTCATGTGTTTTTTGGCTGCATAAATGTCTTCTTTTGAGAAGTATCTGTTCATGTCCTTTGCCCACTTTTTGATGGGGTTGTTTGTTTTTTTCTTGTAAATTTGTTTGAGTTCATTGTAGATTCTGGATATTAGCCCTTTGTCAGATGAGTAGGCTGCAAAAATTTTCTCCCATTTTGTAGGTTGCCTGTTCACTATGATGGTAGTTTCTTTTGCTGTGCAGAAGCTCTTTAGTTTAATTAGATCCCATTTGTCAATTATGGCTTTTGTTGCCATTGCTTTTGGTGTTTTAGACATGAAGTCCTTGCCCATGCCTATGTCCTGAATGGTAATGCCTAGGTTTTCTTCTAGGGTTTTTATGGTTTTAGGTCTAACATTTAAGTCTTTAATCCATCTTGAATTGATTTTTGTATAAGGTGTAAGGAAGGGATCCAGTTTCAGCTTTCTACATATGGCTAGCCAATTTTCCCAGCACCATTTATTAAATAGGGAATCCTTTCCCCATTGCTTGTTTTTCTCACGTTTGTCAAAGATCAGATAGTTGTAGATATGCGGCGTTATTTCTGAGGGCTCTGTTCTGTTCCATTGATCTATATCTCTGTTTTGGTACCAGTACCATGCTGTTTTGGTTAATGTAGCCTTGTAGTATAGTTTGAAGTCAGGTAGTGTGATGCCTCCAGCTTTGTTCTTTTGGCTTAGGATTGACTTGGCGATGCGGGCTCTTTTTTGGTTCCATATGAACTTTAAAGTACTATTTTCCAATTCTGTGAAGAAAGTGATTGGTAGCTTGATGGGGATGGCATTGAATCTGTAAATTACCTTGGGCAGTATGGCCATTTTCACGATATTGATTCTTCCTACCCATGAGCATGGAATGTTCTTCCATTTGTTTGTATCCTCCTTTATTTCCTTGAGCAGTGGTTTGTAGTTCTCCTTTAAGAGGTCCTTCACATCCCTTGTAAGTTGGATTCCTAGGTATTTTATTCTCTTTGAAGCAATTGTGAATGGGAGTTCACTCATGATTTGGCTCTCTGTTTGTCTGTTGTTGGTGTATAGGAATGCTTGTGATTTTTGCACATTGATTTTGTATCCTGAGACTTTGCTGAAGTTGCTTATCAGCTTAAGGAGACTTTGGGCTGAGACAATGGGGTTTTCTAGATATACAATCATGTCATCTGCAAACAGGGACAATTTGACTTCCTCTTTTCCTAATTGAATACCCTTTATTTCTTTCTCCTGCCTAATTGCCCTGGCCAGAAATTCCAATACTATGTTGAATAGGAGTGGTGAGAGAGGCCATCCCTGTCTTGTGCCAGTTTTCAAAGGGAATGCTTCCAGTTTTTGCCCATTCAGTATGATATTGGCTGTGTGTTTGTCATAGATAGCTCTTATTATTTTGAAATACATCCCATCAATACCTAATTTATTGAGAGTTTTTAGCATGAAGGTTTGTTGAATTTTGTCAAAGGCCTTTTCTGCATCTATTGAGATAATCATGTGGTTTTTGTCTTTGGTTCTGTTTATATGCTGGATTACATTTATTGATTTGCGTATATTGAACCAGCCTTGCATTCCAGGGATGAAGCCCACTTGATCATGGTGGATAAGCTTTCTGATGTGCTGCTGGATTCGGTTTGCCAGTATTTTACTGAGGATTTTTGCATCAATGTTCATCAAGGATATTGGTCTAAAATTCTCTTTTTTGGTTGTTTCTCTGCTCGGCTTTGGTATCAGGATGATGCTGGCCTCATAAAATGAGTTAGGGAGGATTCCCTCTTTTTCTATTGATTGGAATAGTTTCAGAAGGAATGGTACCAGTTCCTCCTTGTACCTCTGGTAGAATTCGGCTGTGAATCCATCAGGTCCCGGACTCTTTTTGGTTGGTAAGTTATTGATTATTGCCACAATTTCAGCTCCTGTTATTGGTCTATTCAGAGATTCAACTTCTTCCTGGTTTAGTCTTGGGAGAGTCTATGTGTCCAGGAATTTATCCATTTCTTCTAGATTTTCTAGTTTATTTGTGTAGAGGTGTTTGTAGTATTCTCTGATGGTAGTTTGTATTTCTGTGGGATCGGTGGTGATATCCCCTTTGTCATTTTTTATTGCGTCTATTTGATTCTTCTCTCTTTTTTTCTTTATTAGTTTTTCTAGTGGTCTATCAATTTTGTTGCTTTTCAAAAAACCAGCTCCTGGATTCATTAATTTTTTGAAGGGTTTTTTGTGTCTCTATTTCCTTCAATTCTGCTCTGATTTTAGTTATTTCTTGCCTTCTGCTAGCTTTTGAATGTGTTTGCTCTTGCTTTTCTAGTTGTTTTAGTTGTGATGTTAGGGTGTCAATTTTGGATCTTTCCTGCTTTCTCTTGTGGGCATTTAGTGCTATAAATTTCCCTGTACACACTGCTTTGAATGCGTCCCAGAGATTCTGGTATGTTGTGTCTTTGTTCTCATTGGTTTCAAAGAACATCTTTATTTCTGCCTTCATTTCGTTATGTACCCAGTAGTCATTCAGGAGCAGGTTGTTCAGTTTCCATGTTATTGAGCGGTTTTGAGTGAGATTCTTAATCCTGTGTTCTAGTTTGATTGCACTGTGGTCTGAGAGATAGTTTGTTATAATTTCTGTTCTTTTACATTTGCTGAGGAGAGCTTTACTTCCAAGTATGTGGTCAATTTTGGAATAGGTGTGGTGTGGTGCTGAAAAAAATGTATATTCTGTTGATTTGGGGTGGAGAGTTCTGTAGATGTCTATTAGGTCCGCTTGGTGCAGAGCTGAGTTCAATTCCTCGGTATCCTTGTTGACTTTCTGTCTCGTTGATCTGTCTAATGTGGACAGTGGGGTGTTAAAGTCTCCCATTATTAATGTGTGGGAGTCTAAGTCTCTTTGTAGGTCACTAAGGACTTGCTTTATGAATCTGGGTGCTCCTGTATTGGGTGCATATATATTTAGGATAGTTAGCTCTTCTTGTTGAATTGATCCCTTTACCATTATGTAATGGCCTTCTTTGTCTCTTTTGATCTTTGTTGTTTTAAGTCTGTTTTATCAGAGACTAGGATTGCAACCCCTGCCTTTTTTTGTTTTCCATTTGTTTGTTAGATCTTCCTCCATCCTTTTATTTTGAGCCTATGTGTGTCTGTGAACGTGAGATGGGTTTCCTGAATATAGCACACTGATGGGTCTTGACTCTTTATCCAATTTGCCAGTCTGTGTCTTTTAATTGGAGCATTTAGTCCATTTACATTTAAAGTTAATATTGTTATGTGTGAATTTGATCCTGTCATTACGATGTTAGCTGGTGATTTTGCTCATTAGTTGATGCAGTTTCTTCCTAGTCTCGATGGTCTTTACATTTTGGCATGATTTTGCAGTGGCTGGTACCAGTTGTTCCTTTCCATGTTTAGCGCTTCCTTCAGGAGCTCTTTTAGGACAGGCCTGGTGGTGACAAAATCTCTCAGCATTTGCTTGTCTGTAAAGGATTTTATTTCTCCTTCATTTATGAAGCTTAATTTGGCTGGATATGAAATTCTGGGTTGAAAATTCTTTTCTTTAAGAATGTTGAATATTGGCCCCCACTCTCTTCTGGCTTGTAGAGTTTCTGCCGAGAGATCTGCTGTTAGTCTGATGGGCTTCCCTTTGAGGGTAACCCGACCTTTCTCTCTGGCTGCCCTTAACATTTTTTCCTTCATTTCAACTTTGGTGAATCTGACAATTATGTGTCTTGGAGTTGCTCTTCTCGAGGAGTATCTTTGTGGCGTTCTCTGTATTTCCCGAATCTGAATGTTGGCCTGGCTTGCTAGATTGGGGAAGTTCTCCTGGATAATATCCTGCAGAGTGTTTTCCAACTTGGTTCCATTCTCCCCGTCACTTTCAGGTACACCAATCAGACGTAGATTTGGTCTTTTCACATAGTCCCATATTTCTTGGAGGCTTTGCTCACTTCTTTTTATTCTTTTTTCTCTAAACTTCCCTTCTCGCTTCATTTCATTCATTTCATCTTCCATCACTGATACCCTTTCTTCCAGTTGATCGCATCGGCTCCTGAGGCTTCTGCATTCTTCACGTAGTTCTCGAGCCTTGGTTTTCAGCTCCATCAGCTCCTTTAAGCACTTCTCTGTATTGGTTATTCTAGTTATACATTCTTCTAAATTTTTTTCAAAGTTTTCAACTTCTTTGCCTTTGGTTTGAATGTCCTCCCGTAGCTCGGAGTAATTTAATCGTCTGAAGACTTCTCTCAACTCGTCAAAGTCATTCTCCGTCCAGCTTTGTTCCATTGCTGATGAGGAACTGCGTTCCTTTGGAGGAGGATAGGCACTCTGCTTTTTAGAGTTTCCAGTTTTTCTGCTCTGTTTTTTCCCCATCTTTGTGGTTTTATCTACTTTTGGTCTTTGATGATGGTGATGTACAGATGGGTTTTTGGTGTGGATGTCCTTTCTGTTTGTTAGTTTTCCTTCTAACAGACAGGACCCTCAGCTGCAGGTCTGTTGGAGTACCCGGCCGTGTGAGGTGTCAGTCTGCCCCTGCTGGGGGGTGCCTCCCAGTTAGGCTGCTCGGGGGTCAGGGTTCAGGGACCCACTTGAGGAGGCAGTCTGCCCGTTCTCAGATCTCCAGCTGCGTGCTGGGAGAACCACTGCTCTCTTCAAAGCTGTCAGACAGGGACATTTAAGTCTGCAGAGGTTACTGCTGTCTTTTTGTTTGTCTGTGCCCTGCCCCCAGAGGTGGAGCCTACAGAGGCAGGCAGGCCTCCTTGAGCTGTGGTGGGCTCCACCCAGTTCGAGCTTCCCGGCTGCTTTGTTTACCTAAGCGAGCCTGGGCAATGGCGGATGCCCCTCCCCCAGCCTTGCTGCCGCCTTGCAGTTTGA
Organism: Homo sapiens; assembly: GCF_000001405.40. NCBI lineage: Eukaryota > Metazoa > Chordata > Mammalia > Primates > Hominidae > Homo > Homo sapiens. Next base: position 35,859,074 of record NC_000010.11, on the reverse strand, counting down.
TCTCAGACTGCTGTGCTAGCAATCAGCGAGACTGCGTGGGCGTAGGACCCTCCGAGCCAGGTGCAGGATATAGTCTCCTGGTGTGCCGTTTTTTAAGCCCATCGGAAAAGCGCAGTATTCGGGTGGGAGTGACCTGATTTTCCAGGTGCTGTCTTTCACCCCTTTCTTTGACTAGGAAAGGGAACTCCCTGACCCCTTGCGCTTCCCGAGTGAGGCAATGCCTCGCCCTGCTTCAGCTCGTGCACGGTGCGCGCACCCACTGGCCTGTGCCCACTGTCTGGCACTCCCTAGTGAGATGAACCCAGTACCTCAGATGGAAATGCAGAAATCACCCGTCTTCCGCGTCGCTCACGCTGGGAGCTGTAGACTGGAGCTGTTCCTATTTGGCCATCTTGGCTCCTCCCCCTAAGATAACAGTTATCTTAATGTCATCATTAAGATGACAATTCCCTGTCATCTCCAATCAATTGTTAAGACTGTCTAGTGAATTTATAATTTAATGTATTTTATTTTTTAGTTCTAGAATTTCCATATTTCTGAATTCTTATTCTTCTGCTGAAATTTTCTCTCCCTTTGTCCATTCTGAGCATATTTTCTTTTACAGCATTGAACATTTTTATAGCTGCTCCTTTATACAGTTTGCCTGATAATTTCAACAGCCAGTAATGGTCTCTGTTGATTTTCTTTCCCTAGAGAATGGGTCACATATACCTGAATCTTTGCAGTCAAATAATATTGGATTTTATCCTGGGCATTGTGAATATTATGTTATGGAATCTCTGGGTTTTATCATTGGTCTTTCAAAGAGTGTGGATTGTTTGGGTTTGTTTACAAAGCAATTAATATGACTAGACTCAAAGTAAAAACTCTGTGTGTTTGATAGCAACTCAAATCTCAGTTCACTTCTTGTATTGTTAGTTGAGCTTCTCAGAGTCTGCCTCACATAGCTATGGCTCAAGTGTTAACCAAGATTTGGGCAGAGTTTATACAAACAATTTGGAGATTCCCTTTCTGGCTTTCTGCTATCTGAGATTCCTCTTTAACTTTCCAGAGACTGTTGTTGCCTAACTTTTTCCTCTGGTTCTTCATGCCAGAAATACGATAGATTTTCTCTAGAATTTTAGCTGCCTCACATGCTGCAGAATCCCCTCAGTTGCCTAAAAATGAGATACTCATCTAGAGTCATTGCCTGCTTCTAAGCATCAACTCCCTTTCATAATATTCCTGCTTTGGTTCACCTTCCAGTGCCTTCTAGTGTTGCCTTTGTTTTCTCTTTTTGCTTTATTTAATTTTCTTTTTCTTTTGTTTGTCTGTTCAATGTGTATAGTTATTAAAGGTGAAAGCTCAGTCTGATAGGAGCTTACTTGGCTATTAGAAGAGGAACCAATATTTTTAAAAACTTATAAATTGTTTGAATGTATAAAAGAGTACAGTAAGGTGTTAGATACAAAGTCAACATCACTTTATTTTGCACCAGTAATAGCCACTTAAAATGTAATAGAAAATATAATTTTTTAAATTCCCACAGAAAATTCCTATCAAAATTAGAAATACCTGGTATTAATCCAACAAACAAAAATATATAAGAATTTTAAAAAAATAATTATTAACAGACATGCAAGAATTTTGGAATAAATGAGAGAGCAACTATATTTATAGATAGAAAACTCAGAGTAAAGATATCAGTTCTTTAAAAATTAATCTATAAATTTAAAGCCATTCTGATTAAAAGCCCCAAAGAGGTTTTCATTGACAAGCTGCTCCTTAAACTCATATGGAGAACAAATGTCAAGAGCCAGAACAACAACTTATGATGTAAAATACCAAGACATTTTATGAAGTTACATATTCTATAGTAATGAAATCTATAAGTAAACATGGAACAGAATAGAGAGTACAGAAAGAGAACCACACATATATGAAAACTAGACATATAGAAAAAGTGACAATGTAAATTAAGGGAAGGAGAAAGGATGAAAAACTCAAATGGTACTAGAACGATTGATTATTCATAAGGAAAATGGAGTAAAATTACATCCATACCCAAAAATAAATTCAGTTGGATTCAAGACCTAAAAGTGAAGTATCAGACTCTTAAAAATTTAGAAAATATGAGAAATAACTTAGAATAACATCTTGGGTAATGATTTTTTATACTAGACAATGAAAAATACAAACCATAAATGAAAGCACGACATTCTTTCACTAAATTAAAAGTTAAAGCTTATTGTATGTCAAAAAACATCATAAACAAGATAAACCACCAACCTGAAGAAGTTATTTACTATGCATGCATACCTTTGTTTATTACATTGTATAATTTTCATTATGTTTGAAATACAGTATTTCAACACAATCACTTTGAGGATTGTTCCATGTTTGAAATACAATATTTCAACACAATCACTTTGAGGATTGTTCCATTGCTGTTCACTTCTCTTAGAAGAAAGACAAAAGCCTCAAGCTGCTTTTTGTCCAGCGTTTTCTTTCCAGACTCAGTTCCTCACTGTCCGTGACTTCCTGTCTCGGGGCCTTCACATAAGCTGAGCTATTTCTTCTAATAAAAACACCTGCCTCCCCGCTTCACTTAGTGAACTCCTCTTCCACCATCAAGCTCAAATGTAACCCTGCCATAACGACTTTTCTTGCCCATCCAGCATAACACAAGTTAGTCCCCTGTTACAAACTCTCACGCACTGTGAACTTCTCTTTCATTGTCATAAACATTAACATTATGTGTGTATTTTTTTACTGTCTGCTCTGTAAATTTCATGAAAGCAAATAAAATGTCTGTACTATTCACCACTTAATCTAGCACAAGGCTTGACACATAGTGTATGCCCAGTTGATGTATTGGGGAAAAAAGGGCAATAGAAGAAAGAGAAAGAGGGAGAAGAAGGGAGGGAAGGAGGAGAGAGGGGAAGAGGAAGGAAAGAAGGAAAGAAAGGAAGAGAGAGGGGAAGAGGAAGGAAAGAAGGATAGAAAGGAGGGAAGAAGAGAGGTAGGAAGGGAGGGAGGGAGGGAGGGGAGGAGGGTGAGTTCTGGTCATTATGAACTGCTGGTTGGGGATGGTGAGGTTGAAGTGGGAGTCCAAAAAAAGTGAAAGAGGAGAGACAAAGATGAAGCAAGATTATACCCAAGATAGCTTCAATTTCTTAAAATCTATATTGAAAGGAGTTTGGGGGCTGATTTCTATTGGCATTGGCCTACACTCAATTTCCCAGTGTTTTGTTATCTACAATTTCTGACCCATAATTATACTTCCATCAGGGGCCCAGTTGCAGGAAGTCATGATTAACAGTTCCTGCTAAATTGGCCCCTTGTGTATTAGTCATTATTTTAACATTCACTGTAACAAAATATTCAATAGTGTATCTGTATATTTAAAGGGGGAAAGGAGTCATTCTCTGTTAATACCAGGCATTAGTTCTGCAAATGAAGCAATTAATTTAAGTGGATCAGAGTTTTTAAAGATTGGATCTACTAAAACAAACACACATACACACACTCATCAACACTTTCACACATTAATACTTATGCTCATACTCACACTCACACACACTGTTTAATTTGTTACTAATGCAGTAAATACCTATTAGAAGAGAAATCTAAAGAAAGCTATTCCTGAAGGGTTTAAATTCATTTTGTATTTTGAAATAAGAGGACAAAGGTGGTTAACAGTGATGATGATGATGATAAACGTTGACACAGAATAATGACTAATATTCAGTGCATGTTTACTATGTGCCAGGCATTATACAAAGTACTTTACATGCAATAATTGTCTTACATAATCCTTATAAGGCCTTATGAAATAAATAATTTTATTACTCCCTTTTACACTTGAGAAAAGTAAGGTACTCTTACCCAAAAGTTATCTAACATTAAAGCCTATGATATGCCTAGCCACTTGGTTGTCTCACCTGCCACCACCACATCCCCAAAATTGTGCCACTTAAGTGCCACGTACCACATGCCACAAATATACATGCACAAACACACCTTAAAGTTCATTTTCACAAATATATAGTGGAAGCCAGTTGTAGAAAAACTTTGATTCAAATGCTTAAAAATAAAGGCATTCACAGTAAACACAGACCTTCACACTGAATTCCCCAAATCGTAGAATGATTAATCTAATTTCCTCCTCCATGTTTTAACTCTGAACAGATGGCCACACAAACTGTTTAGCCTAGTTGGTTAGTATCTATTTCCCAGACAATTCAAAGTCCTGACAGATGCTTGAGCCTAAACATCATGAATTTATAAACGAACCTCCCACTACTGATTTTTTGTGCATTACAAAGCACCATACCTGACATAGTTGGTGTGTTTATTTTAAAATAAATAGAGCTGAGGTTTATCATAGCAATAACACATTAAATGACAATTTCAGTTATGGTGAACATATGATTGACAAAAAATAAATGGAGATCCAGCAACCCATATCTGAGACAGAAAACTAATCTCATATATTTCCCATGAGAATTTAGAGGCCATCCAGATGGAAATAGCGTGTTTTCTAGAACTGGATAAGAGTTCAGTTGCCCCAAGTGAGTACTGAATGTCCAGGATTCTCAAACAAACTTCATTACCTTAAAATGCCCAATTTGAATGGCATCCTGAGCTTAGATGGATTTTAAAAGCCAGGCAGGTATCTGTCTTTGCATACTGAAACAGAAAAGCATAACTGAAATATTTACAACACAAAGAAATAATCAGTGATTGAGGTGACAGGTACCCCGTTTACCCTGAAGTGATTATTACACATTGTATACCTGCATCAACATATGTCATGCACCCCACAAATATATACACCTACTATGTACCCATGAACATTATTTAAAATTTTTTAAAAGAGGGCCCGGCATGGTGGCTCATGCCTGTAATCCCAGCACTTTGGGAGGCCGAGGCAGGCGGATCACGAGGTCAGGAGATCGAGACGATCCTGGCTAACACGGTGAAACCCCGTCTCCACTAAAAATACAAAAAATTAGCCTGGCATGGTGGTGGGTGCCTGTAGTCCCAGCTACTTGGGAGGCTGAGGCAGGAGAATGGCGTGAACCCAGGAGGAAGAACTTGCGGTGAGCTGAGATTGCACCACTGCACTATAGCCTGGGCAACAGTGTGAGACTCCATCTCAAAAAAAAAAAAATTTAAAAGAAATATCAAAGAAAAAATAAACAGAATTTTAGAAGTGAAAGGGAATTTTCTTCTTGCCTTAGGTAGAATTGGAACAAACAAAAACTAATATTAAGCTTGGGACAAAAAGAAATAATTAAATGAAAGAAAAATCAAAATATTTCCATAATTTTTAAATATATCTTTTCTCTTTTTTGTTTCTCTCCCCTCCACACCCTTACCAGAAAAAAACAAACTCTCATCTGGAGAGAGGGACACGTGGGACCATGGTTAACCACCATCAATTCTCAGATCTCAGATGCAGTGATCAATACTTCCAAGCCAGAGGCAGTGACTTTACTGTCAAACAAAGAATGGCACTCCCAGCGTCATTTTCTGACAGCTTCTGACACTCATCACTGTAATATGGAACTCTGCAATAGGACAGTAAGAGGTAGACAGAGAGACTTAGTCTTTCCTGATCTTCCCCTTTGTTAACTCCTTGATCTTGGACAAGTTACTAATATGAGTCTCTGCTTCTTTGTCTATAAAATAAGAGCATCCCTACCTATCTGATAACAAACAGAAACACCTAGAATAACACTAGACAGGCACACAGTGTACTGTCAACAACAGCGCATAGTTCATGCAAGTAGAGTCAATTCAAGGAATAGAGTTTTGAGGGTCGACAGATAATATTGTCACAAAATCAAAGAATTTTAGAATCAGAAGGAAACCTTTAGACCATTCTAGTACAGTCCCTTCATGTTTAGGAAGAGGAAACTGAGGATCTTACCATCCATTAGCATCTTTTAATACTTAATCTTTAATACTTTAATAATTTAATACTTAATACAAGCGCAGACTTAAAATGATAACCATTAAAAAAAAAAAAAAAAAAAAAGCTGGTTCTAAAAAAAATAGTCCTGACACACAGCAAAGTCCCCAGTGGACAGGGCCAAGCCAGAGCTCAATATATTTCTAGTGGAAGAATGACTTCATAGAAAGACTTTGCCAATACAAACCTTATAGTCTGTAGTTTCTCAGGAGAACTCAAGGTCAGCCCATTGTTTTTAACTTAGGCGTCTGGCCACTTGGCTCCCACTTAACTGGCACTAAAATAGGGGTTCTTTTTTCCAGTGGCTGATTTCCAGTCTTTCCTCTCAGAGCCCCAGTTATTACAACTATATATAAAAATGTCACTTATTCCCAGTGCTGAATTTTAATCTTTCTAAGTTGGTTCTTCTCCTGAGAAATTGAGGAGTAGTACATGACGAGAAGCAATGGACATCTGATTTCCTTCTAGGCATGCCATCAGCCATCGAATAATGGAATCTATGAGTTGGAGTTTATTCCAACCTCCCAATCCTTGAACGAATCCCACCTACAACATGAGCAACCTGGTTATGCCATCCCAGAATATATCTGGGTTTGGTCATTCTTGGTGTCACAAAGACATTCTTTCCACTTTCCAATGGCCCTATTTCACAGAAAGGTTTATTTTTCTTTTCCCCTAAAATCTGCCTCTCTAGAACTTCTCCCTATTGTTAGTTCCTGGTTCTTCCCCTGGAGCTACAGCTTGTACCCTGATGTATTAATCATAATTTTTAGTTTTTATATTTTATGATGTTTTGACCTCTTGGGGGACTTAGTTGGGTAAGAGAGACTGACCCCCTCCTCCGGGCTAGTTAATTCCTAAGATGATAAATGACTGGGCTGTTTGAGTGCCTTTCATACGCAAACCAACCAATCCAAAGTCTATACCCCAAGCACCTCCTGTACCTAACACATACCAGGCCAATATTTTCCCTGTCCAAAATCAACGCAGGGCCAGGTACCAAACAACTAGGGACAGCCCCTCTGCCCCCAAACCCACTGGTGTCATTCATACTAGCCTATCTTAAGCTGCTTCCCTGCCATGACTGTTCCACAGAAAACACAATGAAGACTGGCCCACGCTGTCTCCTCGCTCCTCTCCACCTCCTGTCCAACACTGGCCTTCCCCCATGTGGCCCTGTGTGGCCTGCCATGCCCCTCCTCTTGGGAAGTAGAAGCAATGAAAATCTTTCCATGACATTAGCTGCTCAGTCACCTCTATAAATTAAAATCAATGTGTCTTCCAGCACTTTGGGATGCCAAGGTGGGAGAATTGCTTGAGTTCAGGAGTTCAAGACCAGCCTGGGCAACACAGCAAGACCCCACCTCTACAAAAATGAACACAGCAAGATCCCACCTCTACAAAAATGAAACAAAACTAGCCTGCTGTGGTGCTGCAGGTCTGTGATCCCAGCTACTTGGGAGGCTGAGGCTGGAGGATTGCTTGAGCCTGGGAGGTCAAAGCTGCAGTGAGCCGTGATGGAGCCACTGCACTCCAATCTGGGTGACTGTCTCAAAAAATAAATAAATACATAAATAAATAAAATTGATTTGTGTGATCAGTGAGATGCCTGAAAACCCATTGAAAGCAGTTACCCAGTTTCTTCCAAAGCTTTCTTCTGTGCCCTTAACCTGTATCCTTTATCACCTCCCTCAAGATTCTAGAGGCATCTCTAATCCATCCATCTTAGAGTCGGCTGTTCAGAACTGAGCTCAGTCCTTCACATAGGATCTGACTATTTTAGAACACTAAGACACTCTCAACTTTGCCAACCTGAGCAATATGCTTTTATCCATTTAGCCGTCATATTTTTCAATAACTCATTTACACCACTGGTTAAAACGAAGTTGATTTTTAACAAAAACCTTCACTCCGTTTCACATGAACATTTGTTATGCCAAACTTCTCCAATCCTTTCTTGCACAACTGATTGTTTAAATGTTAAATTCATCATTATCTTGATTAAATGTGCCGTTACCTACAAGGACTAGATAACTCTACTACAGTATTTATTATCATTATTATTATTATTATTTTAGAGACAGAGTCTCACTTTTTTGCCCAGGCTGATATAGAACTCCTGGCCTCAAACAATCCTGACTTGGACTCCCAAAGTGCTGAACTGCAGGCATAAGCCACCATGCTGGCCATATTTATTATCCATATTTATTATTCTTAATAACAACTATGATGACAGTAATAATAATCGCTAAAAGGTGTTGGGTGCTACTATGCTAAGTATCTGACATGTCCTATCCTATTAAGTTCTATTATAAGTACTAATATTATCCCATTTTCTAAATAAGAACATTGAGAATTCTAGAGACTAAGTGTAACTAGCTCGAGATTGTACGAATTAGTGTTCAAACAGGGATTCGAATGCAGGCTTACATGCACATCTTGTTAATTGCATCTTCTTTTAGTTGTTTATGCTTGGATCTCCCAGTTAAAATTGTAGAATCCCTATTATGTACCCACTCCCGAGTTCTAAATTGTGAGTGCTCAGATATTTGTTTTCATTGGATTCTATATTAAATATTGGTAGCTTCACCAATCTTGTTGGCTATTCCACCTAGATTTCCACAAATGTCTTCTTTGTCTTCAAGCAGCCATTAGTAAATATTTTGAAAGATATGAAACTCTGTAACATTCCCCTGAGAACCTCTGCTCTTTGGGATAATATTGGCGACTTTTGATATATAGTTGTTCACAAGCTATGGATCTTTCTAAATACATTCCTTCTTTTGACATTTCTCCCTACATATAACAAGTGCTTCCTGGGTGTCAGCTGTCATTATTGTCATTATTTCCACCTGAACACTCACATTCTATCATGAGAGAATTTTTCCAATGATTTATTAAATCATGATTACATCAAGTTTACAGCAATCCACTATTCTAACAGTAATCACTTTATCAAAGAATAAAAAAAAAACAGAGGAAAGGAGTGTGCTTCCTTTTCTTTGTTCACCAATGCAGTCTCACAAGAATCCACCATTTCTATTCTGAGCACTCTCTACTGCATTTAATAATGTATTACAACCCCAGATTGATGAAGATTATGACTAAATTCACAAGAATAACTTTTCCACCATTCTAATGAAGGCACACTCCAATAGTGCTTTGCAATCTACAAAACAGTAAATACTCCAGTAGTGCCTTGCACTATTATATTCCAATAATGCTTTGCAATGTACCCAAAAGAAATCTTTCAGGAAATATGAGGGTGCAATGACTCCCCTGCCTGAAGGGGTCATTTACTGTGCCTCCTTGATTCAAAAGATGAAAGCAATAAAATAGATATTTGCGTGCACAAGATTTTACATTCTTTTCAATATTCTTATACCTGCAACTTTTGATCTGGAAATTCTCTCCTAAAGATATCTTTTAACTGCAGCATTCAACATGGAAAAGATTGCAGAAAGCCTTCCAAGAGCTATAAAAATAGAATTCGTAACATTTGGCTTATGGGGAGGGCTGTGTGTTTACCAGCTTTAAGGTAGAGTGGTGCGCAGCAGCTTTATGCATTTTCTCACGGGGCATGGTTTCAAAGCTCTTCCTTCCTGTGCGCCCCCAAACCTGTTTACAGCAGTCTCTCTCCTCCACAGTACTTGCCACAGGTAGTTAAGTGTGAATAATGACAACCAAAAAAAAAAAAAAAAGAAAGAAACAAAACTAAATTCCCATTACTAAAGAGAAACTCAAGTTAGCCCTCTGGGGGAGAAGCTCACAAGGATTAATTATATTGTAGGGGTTGATATCTCTCTTCATTTCCCTTTCCAGCAGTTTTGCAAATACATTTTTCCACAGTTTTAAAGAAATGTTAAGAACTCCCAAGTTCCACAACCAGAAAATCCTGACAGTCTCTGATAGCTGAATAATGGATGAAGCTCCACTGTTTACTTAGCAGGAGAAAAAAAGAGAGAATGATAGAGAAGTCCAGATAAAGTGCAGGAATCTGACATCCTCTTGTGCTGAACAATGGTGAGAAGAATATCCCAGCTTCTTTTTTTTTTTTTTTTGTCCATGTGCAAAACGTATATGGAAACAACAGTTCAGTATGGGATTTATTATTATTTCACGCCTGTACCTAAGAGTTAATCGGGCGATTCTCTTCTATGTCAATGTGATTGCTCCCTTCAGTAATGGGCTAAGACCTGGAACACAGATTACTAAGCATTTCCATCCCAACAACTCCACTCCATCCCCTACTGCACTGTCACTCGAAAGAACTTTCCCTAAGATACTGCATCATTTTCCCAGCCAGGAAACACCTTTAGTATTACCACATATTCATGTACTGAAAAGTTGATTAAAACATTAAAGTGTAATTAGCAAAGTTGAAGGTTTTCTTTGCAATAACGTTCAGTATTTCATGGCTGATTAATTCACATTCCTATACTCCTTTGTAGGGTCAACCATACCAAGTCAGTCAAGTCGAAAGCTGTGGGGCTGTTCGTCTTCTGAGAGAACCCTCCCCATGAAATCTCCCACAATGCCTGTCACCGGTACCTAAAATTCCACCATTAGAGATTCACTCTTTTGGTTCTGGAGGCATTTTAATCCCTGGGGGTCCTATTAAAATGCAAAAACTCCGAGAAGAATAACAGCATTGAAAGCTATTATTAACTGACAGCAAGGAGGCCCTGGGGAATTGGACACAGGATAGAGCCTGAGGAACAACTCCAGGAAATCGGGGCGAGAGCAGAGGGAAGGTAGGATGGCAGCAAAAATAAACTTTATCTACTTCGCCATTTTGTAGGGGCAAGGCAGCCCCACTTCTGATATTCTGTACACTGAGGAAATTCCATTCAAGGTGAGATGATGGACACAATGCGAGCAATTTATTTTCGGTTGTGCTAAAGGAGAAAATCAACAGTGACACATAATAGTATTTATGCAGAACTCTGACTTCAGTGCAGCATGTTTAATCAGCATGTTGCCCCTGGACTTTCTCTTCCAGTGCCTTGAAGTAGTCACTTGGGTTTGTCAAGGGTTGTGTCTAAATCATATGATTATAAGCTCATGTTCTTCTATTCCCTCCCCCTCTTTAGAGACAGCGATGTGGAACCTTTCTTTTTCTGCTTGCTTTTAAAATTGTACATTTCACATACACTGGGAATGTTTCTGTAGAAAACATAGAAGTGACTTAAACTAATAAGGTGTCTCCAGAAGAGAAGAACTAGGAGTCTACGGAAGCTGACTTTGTGGATTTCAGAAAATCTGCCTGTATCTGATAAGGCACTGATTGGCAGCAGCAGAAGTTGGTCCCAGAGCCATCTCTCTCCCTCACAGAGATGCTTCCTACCTTGAAAAGTCATATGGACACTAAAAGCTTTAAAATGCCAGGAAAAGATTGAATTTCTGTTGTTACTGTGTGGTGGTGATACGTGTATATCCGTGTATATGCATACGTACGTGTGTGTATTGAAAAATGTAAATGCACAGTGGGAAAAATTTCATTTTGAATCTCCCCCAGAAAGATAATGTAAAGCATTTAAAGGTGTTATGATTTTAGGGAGAAAAGAATAGGATGAGGCAATAAGTTTCTACACTTTTCTTATGTACCTGAAACAAAAAGTTATGGAGGTATTTTGGTGTTTTATTATCGTTGCCATTGTTGTCATTTTTATGGTATATAGACAGAACAATTTAACCCAAACCTAGATCCACCTCAAAGAACGTCAAAGTCCAAGGCTTCTCAGTGAAGGCTGCCCAGGGTCAAGTCACAGAATCAGGATTACAAATTGCTTCTGGCCAGAAGGAGAGAATTATGGTGCAGAAAATAAATTCCTGGGGAAATAAAGTAAGTAGGCCTTTAGAAAATTGTAGATTTGAGAAGAAAGAATAGATGTATTGCTTTAAATTCCTGCTTCACATGGTGTCTTCACCGTAAGTGAATAACTGTGTAACTGTACTTCATTAAGGATGAGTTGATGGTTATACTATTTTAACAAAGAGTTATACTTTTGTAGAGAAAGCTTAATCAAGGGTGTCTTTAATCTGTCACTCATTTCAGTTATCTGAACCTGATGTAGTACCTGTATCTCCACTTGCCTGCATTACACCAAAACTGGCCTTCATCAAACAGGATGTGCTCCATTTCCAAAGCTCCAAAAGCACAAAACACAAAACTCAGACATATCTGAGAAAAATCCAGCAAAATCCTAGCCAATATAAAGATTTGGAAGACTGCACACTACAAGAAAAAACAAAAAATGAATATCCTTCAAACCACAGGTCAATAGCTTCATCTACATGCATCTGCAAAACAGCAGCTCATTTTCCCCCTGAACAGCATTTAGTGGCCTTATTTCATGCTCTACTCTTTCCAGGGTAAGGAAGGAGGAGAAAGACCCACAGGAATCTCCTTAAGTTTCCTTCCATAGCCACTTCTGAAAGAAGTAAATAAGGAACGCAGTGTTTGGGGATTGTCAATATTTTGATCACAGATATGAAGATGCATGAGAATGCACATGCGTATTGGGTGTGTTTTATGATTTTAAAGTCAGTATCACTGGTTGCTGATAACAGTCACAACCATTCCTTCAATCAACAGATATTGATTACCTATTAGGTGCTAAGGAATGTGCTAGATATTAGTAAGAAAAAAAAATGAGAGGGAGTTTCTGCCATTTAGCCTAGGTGAGGAAATAATTCCATAAGAATAATTATTGGGGCCAGGCGCAGTGGCTAATGTCTGTAATTCCAGCACTTTGGGAGGCTGAGGTGGGTGGATCACCTGAGGTCAGGAGTTTGAGACCAGCCTTGTCAATATGGGAAAACCCCATCTCTACCAAAAATACAAAAATTAGCCAGGGGTGGTGGTGCACCCCTGTAATCCCAGCTACTTGGGAGGCTGAGGTAGGAGAATCACTTGAACCTGGGAGGCAGAGGTTGCAGTGAGCTGAGATCAAGCCACTGCATTCCAGCCTGGGTGACAAAGTGAGACTCCGTCTCAAAAAAAAAAAAAAATAATAATAATAATAATAATTACTGGCCGAGCATGGTGGCTCACACTTATAATCTCAGCACTCTGGGATGCCAATGCAGGAGAATCACCTGAGGCCAGGAATTTGAGACCTGCCTGGGCAACATAGCAAATCCTCATCCCTACAATATTTTTTTAAAAAATTGGCTGGGTGTGGCCGAGCATGGTGGCTCATGCCTATAATCCCAACATTTTGGGAGGCCAAGGCGGGCAGATCACCTGAGGTCAGGAGTTTGGGACCAGCCTGGCTGATATGGTGAAACCCCATCTCTACTAAAAATACAAAATTACCTGGGCATGGTGGCGGGCGCCTGTAATCCCAGCTATTTGGGAGGCTGAGGCAGGAGAATCACTTGAACCCAGGAGGTGGAGGCTGCAGTGAGCCAGGATCACAGCACTGCACTCCAGCCTGGGCAACAGAGTGAGACTCTGTCTCAAAAAAAAAAAAAAAAAATTAGCTGGGTGTGGTGGCTTGTGCCTACACTGCCAGCTACTTAGGAGGCTGGAGCAGGAGGATCGCTGAAGCCCAGGAGTTCAAGGCTACAGTGACTATGATCACATCACTGCATTCCAGCCTGGGCAACAGAGCAAGAGACTATCTCTTAAAAAAATAATAAAAATAAAAAATAATTACAGCACAAGGTATTAAGCGTTATAGTAGATGTATGATGGAGTGCATGCAATTTATGTTTTGAAAGCTGTCACTATCAAAATTATGACTATACATTGTGGTTAATCTTTTCAATAATATGTGAGTAATTACCATTTAATGAAGAGTCACAATGTGACAAGCATGCACATAGTATCTCTCCTACTCTTTGCAGCTCCCCACAAGGTAAGTACTACAGTGGAGCTGAGGAAATTGAGTCTCAGGGGTTAGCTGATTTTTCATAATCACACAGCTATTGGTTACCAGAGTCTGGCAGGGTGGGATGAAATGGGAAAATGTTGGTCGAAAGGGACAATGTTTCCATTAGATCAGAGGGATACATTTTTTTAAGTCTACTGCATGGCATGGTGACTATAGTTAATCGTAATGTGTTGTGTATTTCGAAATTGCTAATAGAGTAGATTTTAAATGCTAACATCATAAAAAACAGATAAATATATGAGGTGAAAGATATGTTAATTAGCTTGATTTCTTTATTCCATAATGTTTACATATGTGAATAAATGCATATAACAAAACATCACAGTGTACACTGTAAGTATCCAGGCATACCTCACTTTATTGCACTTCACAGATACTGTGTTTTTTACAAATTGAAGGCTTGTGGTAACCCTGCAACAAGCAAATCCACCGGCACCATTTTTTTGACAACATGCGCTTATTTTGTGTCCCTGTGTCAGCATGTTTTGACAACAAAGTATTTTTAAATGAAGGCATGCACGTTGCTTTATAAGACATGATGCTATTGCACACTTAATAGACTATAGTGTAAATATAACTCTTACAATGCATTGGGAAACCAAAAATGTGAGCAACGTGCTTTATTACAATGTTCTTTTTATTGTGGTGGTCTGGAACCAACCCTGAACTATCTCCAAGATATGCCTATATACAACTAATACTTGTCAATTAAAACTTAAATGAATTAAATTAAAAATCACATAGCTGTGGAGGAGCTGATATCTAAACCCAAGTCAGCCTGACAAAGGCCATGAGCTTAACCACCAGGCCACACTAGCACCAAATCCTAAAACTGAAAATTGCACCCACTGTCTGTAGCACAAAGTTTTTAACCTATTTGAAATGGGCACAGTAGATCCCCAAAGAGATGCCTCTGGTACCTCAAAAAGGAAACAATCTTAAGCAACTAAAATAAAAAGTCAGCAAACTTCAGCAAAGTATCCCACTGGAGAGCCATGTGCAGGGAAATATTTTGAGGTCATATAGGAGACAGTAATCTTTGTATGGGGGCCAAAACACACTTCCCTAGTGAGGCTGCAGGATAGACATAAATAATCCAGCCCGGAGAAAGGTCACCTCTGAGGCTAGAGCCGGGGTTAGGAGCGACAGCTTGAAAACCAATTGCTCTGAAAATCTGCAGCAAGTCTGGCCAAGTACCACAGGGAGAGTGGTGCTGAAAGCAGATAAGACTTAACTCCTCTGCAGGAGGCGCCAACCTTGAACCTTATTGTTGCCCAGTAAATTTCATTAGGCATCACATTCTACTCCCTGCAGCAAGGGAAACCGTGGAGCCGACAAGCGCACTCCTGGAGGGACAGGAAACACAGGCCATGGGGCATGCAGAGAGGTCGCAAGACCACGGGGCAGCAGGCAGGAATCAATAGCACCAAGCAGAGTCCAGGGGGATCAGTGACCCCTAGACTTCGTGGCAGCTTAGCAAACTTGATTAACAGTGCACGTGGGATTTGCCCAGGGCTGAGCAGGCAGTCACAGACACCAGCTTTTAGAGAAGCAGAAGTATAACAGAGCTGTAGAAGGAATCGTTTCTGAGCAGGGAAGCTTGGCAAAGGCAAACCATTTGGTCACGTATGTATGATTTGAGGGGCCCAGGAAAGCATTCTTCCCTGGTTCCTCAAGATCTGAAATGACCACTATCTATTCTCTGTGTTAGATTGTTCTTCTTCTCTCTGTTAATCTATCTTTATCTGTTTTATTGTGAGAAATTTCAAACATATACAAAATTGGAAAGACTAGTAGAGTAAACCTCCATGTACATATCACCCAGCTTCAACATGTATTAACTAACAGTCAAACTTGGTCATCTCGACCTCTGCCTATCCTTTCCCTTCCCTGTCCCATGCACACTGTACTGGATAGGTATGAGACAAATCTTAGCTAGAGTAATAGAATTTAATTTGGAATACTTCTGTTTGAATCTATAAAAGGACTTCTTTTTAAAACATACCATATTATTATCACAGCAAAACTAATTGGACAATGGGCTCATTAGCACACTGGGTTTGACTGAGGGAAAGAGTCTCTGAGCTTGAGGCTATGACAATTGAAATTTCTCAAACTGGAAAGTAAAGAGAAAAAATACTGAAAAGAAGACAGTAGAATAGTCTAGAGTGGTGTCACAACTACAAAAGGTGTAGCATGCCCATAATGGGAATACCATTATGTAGGAAAGAAAGACAAAAACAGAAAGAAAATATTCAAAGTTTTAATGACTGAGAATATCTCCAAATTAATGTCATGTACCACACCACAGACCCAGGAAATTCAGAGACTACCAAGTAGGATAAATCCCTTAAAAACTACACATAGACATATTATATTCAAATTTCATAAAATCAAAGATATAGAAAAAATCTTGAAAAAAGAAAGGAAAAAGAAAGTCTTACCTCTGAGGGGAAAAAGATAAGAATTGTATCAATCTCTCCCAAGAAAAAAGCAAGCAAGAAGAGAGTGGAGAAAAAAGAAGAAGAGAGTAAAGTGAAATATTTAAAGTGTTGAGAGAAAAAAAAAAACTATCTATTTAGAATTCTCTACTCTGTGAAATTATCTTTGAAAAGTGAAGCGAGAAATACTTCCTCAAACAAATAAAAATTGAGAGAATTTGTTGGCAGTAGACCTGCCTTGCAAGGCAATATTAAAATAAGTCCTCCATCTCTTCATCCTTCTCCTCTCTCCAACCTCTAATGGCAACCACTAATCTTTTTACTTTAAGGTAAAATTTTATTTTACTATAAATAATAAATATTTATTGCAAATAGGCAGAGCATAGAAACTGGAGAAAGAGCAAATTTAATTCACACTAAGCAGAAGAAAAGACATAATAAAAATTAGAGCAGAAATCAATGAACTTGAAAATAGGAAATCAATAGGGAAAGTCAACAAAACCAGGAGATGGTTCTTTGAAGAAATTGATAAAATTGATAAGCCTCCAGCCAGGCTAACTAAAGAAAAAAAGAGAAAATACAAATTACTAGGATCAGAAATGAATGACAGAGCATCACTACAGATCCCCTGAACATTAAAAGAGTAATTAAAGAATACTATGAGCAATTCTATGCCCACAAATTTGATAACCTAGATGAAATGGACCAATTCCTTGAAAGACGAAATTGTCAAAACTCATGTAAGAAGAAACAAACAATTGAAATAGGCCTATATCTGTTAAAGAAATTAAATCTATGATAACTAATCTTACAAAACAGAAAGCACTAGGTTCAAATGGGTTCATTGGTGAGTTCTACCAAACACAAAAGGAAAAAATTTACACCCATAGTCCACAATCTCTTCCAGAAGAAACAAAGAAAATAATTCCTAACTCATTCTATGAGATCAGCATTCGCCTAATGTTAAAACCAGTCAAAGACATTACAAGAAAAGAAAACTACAGACAAATATCTTCCATTAACATAGAGGCAAAAGTCCTCAACAAAATGTTAGCAAATCAAATCCAACAAGGTAGAAAAAGAATTTTACACCATGACCAAGTGGAATTTATCTCAGTTATGCAATGTTGATTCAACAATCAAAAATCAATTAATGTAATCCATTGCATCAATAGGCTAAAGAACAGAAATCATGTGATGATATTAATAGATGCAGAAAGAGCGTTTGACAAAATCCAATACACATTCTTGATAAAAACTCTCAGCAAACTAGGAATAGAGGGGAACTTCCCCTTTGTAGACAAATAATATCTACAAAATACCTATAGCTGACATCATATTTAATGGTGAGAAACTCAAAGTTTTTCCACTAAGACCAGGAACAAGGGGAGAATGTCCCCTTTCACTACTCTTTTCAAAATTTGACTGCAAGTCCTAGCTAATGCAATAAGACAAGAAAAGTAAATAAAAGTTATATACATTGAGATAGAAGAAATAAAATTGTGTTTGCAGATGACATGATTTTCTATGTAGAAACTCTGAAAGAATTGACAAAGAAACTTTGAAACTAATAAGTGATTATAGCCAGGTCACAGGATACAAAGTTAAAATACAAAAGTCAATTGCTTTTCTACATACCAGCAATGAAGGAGTGAAACTTGAAATTACAAATGCATTACCATTTCATTAGCACCTCTCAAAATGAAATACTTAGGTATAAATCTAACAAAATATGTATAATATCTATATGAGGAAAACTATTAAACTCTAATGAAATGTATTAAATACGAACTAAATAAATGGAGAGACATTTCATGTTCACAAATTGGAAGACTCGGTACTATCAAATTGTTAGTTCTTTCCAACTTGAGCTGTAGATTCAACACAATCCCAGTCAAAGCTTTGTAAGTTATTTTGTGGATATTGACAAAGTGATTTTAAGGACTATATGGAGTGGCAAAAGGCCAACTCAATATTGATGGAGAAGAACAAAGTTGGAGGATTGGCAGTATTCAACTTCAACGATTACCGTAAACCTACAGTAATCAAGACAGTTTGGTGTTGGCAAAAGAGTAGATAAATAGATCAATGAAACAAAATAGAGGGCCCAAAAATAGATCCACATAGTCATCTGGTCTTTGACAAGCAAAGGTAATGCGATGGAGCAAAAATCATCTTTTTGACAAATGGTGCTGTCACAACTGAACAGTCTCAAGCAAAATAAATAAATCTAGACATGGACTTAACCGCCCTCACAAAAATTAACTCAAAATGTACTATAGACCTAAATGTAAAATACGAAACTGTGAAACTCCTAGAAGATAACACAGGAGAAAATCTAGGTGACCTTGGGTATAGTGATGTGTTTTTGCATACAGTAGCAGTCCCACCTAGATTGATGGATATTTGAGTTGTTTCCAATATTTTGCTACTGCAAATAATGTTTCAGTGAGTAGGCTTATAAATATATTTTCTTTCTTTCCTTTTAAAATTTTTCTTGGATTGTTATTGTCATCATTTCTGGGATACAAATAGCCCTCAGAAAATGCAATCTCTATGAAAATGCCAATGACATTCTTCAAGAAATAGAAAAAATAATCCTAAAATTCATATTGAACCACTAAAGACCTAGAATAGCTAAAGCCATCCTGAGCAAAAAGAACAGAACAGGAAAAATCACATTACCTGACTTCAAATTATACCACAGAGCTATTGTAACCCAAACAGCAAGGTCCTGGCATAAAAACAGACACATAGACCAATGGAACAGAATAGAGAATCCAGAAATAAATCCGTACATCTACAGTGATTGCACTTTTGACAAAGATGCCAAGAACATACATTGGGTAAAAAACAGTCTCTTCAATAAATGGTGCTGGAAAAACTCAATATCTATATGCAGACGAATGAAACTAAACCCCTATCTCTCACCATATACAAAAATCATATAAAAATAAATTAAAGACTTGAATCTATGACCTCAAACTATGAAACTACTACAAGAAAACATTGGGGAAACTCTCCAGGACATTGGTCTAGGCAAAGATTTCTTAAGTAATAACTTAAAAGCACAGGTAACCAAAGCAAACACGGACAAATGAGATTACATCAAGTTAAAAAGCTTCTGCATAGCAAAGGAAACAATCAACAAAGTGAAGAGACAACCCACAAAATGGGAGAACATATTTGCAAACTATCCATTTTACAAAAGATTAATAACCAGAATATATAAGGAGCTCAAACAACTCAACAGGAAAAATATCTAATAATCCCATTAAAAATGGGCCAAACATCTGAATAGACATTTCTCAAAAGAAGACATACAAATGGCAAACAGGCATAAGCAAAGTTGCTCAACATCACTGATCATCAGAGAAATGCAAATCAAAACTACAATGAGATATCATCTCACCCCAGTTAAAATGGCTTTTATCCAAAAACAGGCAATAGCAAATGCTGTCAAGGGTGTAGAGAAAAGGGAACCCTCATTCACTGTTGGTGGGAATGTACATTACTATAGCCACTAAGCAGTACAGTTTGGATGTTCCTCTAAAAATTAAAAATGGAACTACCATAAGATCCAGCAATCCCACTGATAGGTATATTCCCAAAAGAAATTAGTATATTAATGACATATATGCACATCCATGTTTATTGCAGAACTCTCCACAATAGCCAAGATTTGGAAGCAACCTAAGTGTCCATCAACAGATGAATGGATAAAGAAAATGTGGTACATAATGACAATGGAGTACTATAAAAAAAATAAGAAGCCATAAAAAAATCAGATCCTGTAATCTGCAACAACATGGATGGAACTGGAGGACATTACGTTAAGTGAAATAAGCCAAACACAGAAAGTCAAACTCCACATGTTCTCCCCAATTCATGGGAGCTAAAAATTAAAACAATTAAATGATGGTTACCAGAGGCTGCGAAGGGTAGTGGAGTGGCGGGGGGAGTGAGGATGATTAATGGGGACAAAAATATAGTTAAATGGAATTAATAAGATCTGGTATTTGATGGCACAACAGGGTGCTTACAATCAACAATAACTTACTGTACATTTTTAAATAACCAAAAGAATATGGACCTGGTGGTGTGCACTTGTAGACCCAGCTACTCAGGAGACTGAGGCAGGGGGATTGCTTGAGCCTAGGATTTGGAGGCAACAGGGAGCTATGATTGCATCATTGCACTCCAGCCTGGGTGAGAGAGTGAGACCCTGTCTTGGAAAACAAAAACAAAAACAGCTTTTAAGTGAGCAATATGACCAACCAACTTTTATTCTTGAGGAGGAATAACCCAATTCCTGACCAAGGTCTACCAGATGCTGAGTGCCAGGCTGGTTTCAGATCCTTTGCATTCTGTCACGTGAGAACACTTGTTTATCTTCCAGGACTGACCTGAGCATAAGGTGAGGTTTCTCCCTGATTTCCACTAAATTATAGACACTTGAAACCATAGCTTTTTCTAGCATGGCTGGGTTTAAATTCTATTGGCTATTTCTGCTATGTTGTTGTCATGGCAACCTTCCCATTATAAACCTGGGCACTCAGGGAAGGGGTTGCTTACATCTGGAGGGAGAAGCATATTAAACCGGACAAGTGAGGAATGAGTCTGGACAGGGCAGAATGGTAGGGGAAGAAAGGGGATGGCCAAGGGGCTGGAGGCAAGGTGCAGCTGTGAGTATCCTCCCACAGAGAGATGGACATTTTTAGACTTCCTCTCTTCAGAAAGTCCATTTCTCAGCACTGCCAAGGCTCTCCACTGCTTGTCCCATATAACCCAACTGCCACAGCTCACCCTTGAACCTCCACAAATACCCCTTCCCTTTCCACTACAGTCATTTCTCTTTAGTCCCTTGGAAACCCTCTGCTTCAGTCAAACCTATGTGCTCACTGGTCCCCAAACATTGCTTGCTACAGCCAAGTTTTGGTCCTCATTCGACCCAAGTGACTTTCACAGCTTCTCTCTGCCCTTCACTTTCTAAACACAGAGAATAATTCAACCCCTCAGGAAGCCCAATTCACCTAATCACAACACACCATTGTCCCTCACTGGGGACTATGATGGCACCTACCACATTAAAGTGTGTTATTTACAGACACCCCATACCCCTTTGTCCTCTTAGACAGGACCAGAAACTGTGCACAAATCTGAGCTTCCGAGATGTCAGTGTGCCTGTCCCTGTGTGTGAAAATACATCTGCCTTCTGGGTATCTTTTGCAATATATTCAAGGACAAATACTGACCACTTTTCAATTAGCCATGATTTTAGAATGCCCACTTCAGGGCTTCTCTCCACTGGCTGCCACGCTCTTCCCCAAGGCTCACAGGGCTGTCTCCTTGTCATTCAGGATGACATTCAAAGAGTACCCCCTTATAAAAGTTTTCTATCACTTTCCAGTTTAAAGAAAACTCCCAGTCATTCTAACCAACATCACCCTGTTTTGTTTTCATTATAACACCCATGATTTCTTAGGTACTATTGCATTATTTCTCTTTTTCTTTTTCCTGTGTTTTTTTTTTTTTTTTTTTTTTTTTGAGACGGAGTCTTGCTCTGTCTCCCAGGCTGGAGTGCATTGGTGTTATCTTGGCTCACTGCAACCTGTGCCTCCCAGGTTCAAGCAATTGTCCTGTCTCAGCCTCCTGAGCAACTGGGACTACAGGTGCACACCACCACAATTGGCTGATTTTTGTATTTTTAGTAGAGACAGGGTTTCATCATATTGGTCAGGCTGGTCTCAAACTCCTGACCTCAGGTGACCCACACACCTTGGCCTCCCAAAGTGCTGGGATTACAGGCATGAGCCACTGCACCCAGCCCATTATTTCTTTATTATCTCTGTTTCTATATTGGAATGCAAGACTCATAAGAGAAAGTAGCTTATCTGTCCTGCTTACAACTTGTCCTTGGAATAATGCCTGGTACATATTGCATAATCAATAAGTATCTATTGGTAAATCAGCAAATTCACATTCTAAGAATGCAGTTGTGATTTTTCTTTAATTATTCCACTCCTCATTTACAAATAAAAGAACTACCTGGTAGCATGGGAAGTTTTCTAATTTGCTTTATGAAGGTTCTGCTCCTTTGTCATTGCTGTAATGATGCCAGGGCAGCAGCGTTCTCAGAGCTCTTGACCCAGGCTTTCTTCCACGCACCCTTCGAAACCACCCCCTTGTATAGAGAGTAGCTAATTAATGTACCTCATTGCAAAATGCAGTCAACTTCAAAATGTTTAATAGCTTTGTGGGTTTTACGGGGGAATAAAGGGATATTTACAAGCTATCACTGAGCATTTTCTAATTCACTCTCCTCAGTGATCATATGAAGTAGAAATAGTATATTCCTGAATGACAGAAAATGGAACCCTCAAGAAGTTTAAATGCTTGGATCAGGCCCAGTATAGTGGCTCACACCTGTAATCCCAGCACTTTGGGAGACTGATATGGGAGGATCACTTGAGGTCAGGAGCTCAAGACCAACCTGGGCAATTAGTGAGACTCTGTTTGTATGGAAAAAAATAATTTTAAAAAATATTTGGCCAAGTGCAGTGGCTCATGCCTGTAATCCCAGCACTTTGGGAAGCCGAAGTGGGTGGATTACCTGAGGTCAGGAATTTGAAACCAGCCTGGCCAACGTGGTGAAACCCCATCTCTACTAAAAATACACACATTAGCTGGATGTGGTGGTGGGCACCTGTAATCTCAGCTACTCGGGAGGCTGAGGCAGGAGAATTGCTTAAACCCGGGAGACAGAGGTTGCAATGAGCCAAGATCACACCATTGCACTCCAGCCTAGGTAACAAAAGTAAAACTCCTTCTAAAAAAAAAAAAAAGCAATGTTTAAAATTAGCCGGGCATTTTGCATGCATCTGTAGTCTTAGTTACTTGAAGGCTGAGGCAAGAGGATCACTTGAGCCTAAGAGTTTGAGGCTGCAGTGAGCTATAATCATGCCACTGTACACTCCAGTCTATGCAACAGAGTGAGACTCTGTCTCAGACAAACAAAACATGCTCAGGTTGTATGAGTAGTATGTGGTCAGAGCTGCATTCAAACCTGGGTCTTTTAATTTCATATTAACCATACATCTTTCACATCTCCTAACACCGGTTTCTAAGAGGCAACATTGTCTCATGAAAACAGGCCTAGACCAGAAGCAGGAAAATTTCTCCTCGTTCAAAGTTCAGCTTGCCATTTGCCAGCCATGCTACCCTCAGCAACTTCTCCTCCTATAAAGTTGGGATGACAAAATAATTTTCCGCTCTGCCAACCTCCTCTGGTGACTGGGATGAGCACACAAGATGATGTACATCAAGACACGAAACTCCCAGGAAACAATAGCATCCCAGCGGATCCTTGTGGACTGCCTGCCATGTGACGGCTTTCGCTTCAAGTTTACTCCCGAATCTGCTAAAGTGAGGGAGGAGTCGCAGGTGAGAAATGCAATGAGGTCATGGGTTTGTGAGCTGAGGGTGGTGGTGAGAGAAGAATCCTCTTCTGGAAGAATAAAAATGTAAATAGCAACTCATGCTCAGGGCTTGTTGCCATTTGAAGTGAATGTTAGCTTGCATTGTCTTGGCAAGTCCTAGAGAGACATTTCACCTTGAGCACAGGAGTTAAGGCGGCATGCTTCAGCTAGCACATTTCAGCAGGCTTAACACAACAAACCCAGAGGAAACCAACCAGCCCCAAAGGGGACTGAGCGCACATCTCTGCATCCCCATGACTGACAGTTCATACTCACTGTGGCAAACTGCTGGAGGAGACGCAGGGAATCCGTCCCTTTTCCAGCTGAGGATTCAGATCTGACAGGTCCAGTGAACCAGGATCACCCTTTCCTCCTCCCTGATCAAGTTTTTCAGAGAAACTATGAGAGAACAAAAATAAATCTGTAGAATAATTTTTCAGACTCCTTCTCAAAATTGTAACTAAACTAAAACAAAAGCCAATCATAAAAAAGCTAAACGTTTGTTTCATTTTGGTTGAATTAGAAGGATTTGTGTTATGACCTGGATAAGAGGCTCTTCTATATTTTTTCTTTTGACTTAAGACACTATTAAAATGAGACTTTTAATATTCTATCCTAAGAAACCTTGGACACATCTATAATTTATATTATGATTTTTGAGAGGTTTCACCTGAAGGGAGTGTGGAGACCATCAGCGGTCTGTTGAGCTCTCCTTGAAAATGCTTTCCATTACTAATAGATAGAACCTCTTTTTCTTATTATTTATACAAGACCTTCTTTGATTTCCTGCTTGTGACACTTTGGAGTGAAAAACTGGTGACTGCATTAATTAAAAACGAAGATGAGATGGCTTATTTTTTTTCTATCCAGAAAATCCTAGCCAGAGTCCCTGCAAGTAGGCCTCAGTGTGAGCCTGCAGCCTGCAGGGCCAAACATTCAGGTTTCTGTCATTTGATCTGATACAAGCTTAAGTACTGATTGCAATCATTTTTGTTGAGTTGTGTGTGTGTGTGAGAGAGAGAAAGACAGGGTCTCATTCTATTTCCCAATCCGGAGTGCAGTGGTACCATAATAGCTCACTGCAGCCTTGAACTTCCGGGCTCAGGTGATCCTCCCACCTCACCCTCCCAAGTAACTGGGACTACAAGCTACGCCAGTAGGCCTTGCTGTTTTCTTTTTAAAATTTTTATAGGCCGGGTGCGGTGGCTCACGTCTGTAATCCCAGCACTTTGGGAGGCCGAGGCGGGCGGATCACGATGTCAAGAGATCGAGGCCATCCTGGCCAACATGGTAAAACCCCGTCTCTACTAAAAATACAAAAAATTAGCTGGATGTGGTGGTGCTCACCTGTAGTTCCAGCTACTTGGGAGGCTGAGGCAGGAGAATCGCCTGAACCCTGGAGGAGGATACTGCAGTGAGCTGAGATCACACCACTGTACTCCAGCCTGGTGACAGAGCGAGTCTCCGTCTCAAAAAAAAAAAATGTGTACAGATGAGATCTCACTATACTGCCCACACTGGTCTCAAACTCCTGGCCCCGAGCGTTCCTTCCGCCTCGGTGTCCTGAAGCGCTAGGATTATAGGCGGGAGCCACTGGGCCCGGCAGAACCATTATTAATTGGAGAGTAAGATGAAGCTGAGAAACAGAGGCAGGTGAAGGTGGCAGTTTGATCAGTCATCTCAAAATTCAAAGAGGAAAGGAAACTTCGTTTGCTTCCTTGACCTCCTATTTCCTTTTGCTCTCCTCCCCTCCCCTACCCCTAATCAAATTGCGTGATCAGACCTGAGAAAGAAGAGAGACTTAAAAGAGAACAGGGTGAGGATTTCTGCAGCAGCAAAGTGACCAAGGAATAGCCTATGCTCCACTTTTCACTATGTGAAGGAATAGCCCAGGTGTTTGGGGGACAGCAGCAGCTGGATGCAAATCCTGAAGCCAGGAGGTCCTGGCCAGGGGTGGTGGCTCATGCCTATAATCCCAACACTGTGGGAGGCCAAGGCAAGAGGATCACTTGAAGCCAGGTGTTTGAGAACAGGCTGGGCAACACAGCAAGACCCCATTTCTACAAAAGTTGAAAAATTTGCTGGGCATGGTGGCATGCTCTGTAGTCCCAGGTATTCAGGAGGCTGAGGTGGGATGACAGCTCTAGCCCAGGAGTTCAATGCTGCCATTAACGATGACGGCATCACTGAACTCTAGCCTGGGTGACAGAGCGAGACTCTGTCTCTACTTAAAATAATTAATTAATTTATTTATTTAATTAAAATAAGAAGTCCCATCTCTCTCAGAAAACCACCCACCAGTAAATGATAATACCCATACAAGGCAGATGAACAGGAGCTTTCAGCTGTTCAGCTGTGTTATTCCACACAAATCCTCCTTCATTCAGTTCATTCAGTAGGAGACTTTTGCAGTTGCAAGGATAAGGAAATGGTCAGCTTGTGCAAGAATCCCCTGTATGAGAAAGAAAAGACACAATACTAGAATTTGAATTTTCCATCTGAGTCAGATCTCTTTCTTACCTCTCTGACACATTTAACTGAGTAACGGTCCCGAAGCAAAAAAAAAAAAAACAAAAAACAAAAAACAAAGAAATACTAGACTTGATCTCTATTGTTGAAGAGCTTCCTGATCTGTCAGGTCGTCATCTGGCTGTGAGTTACACCTGTAATATCTCAGTACAATGGCTGGGATGTTATGTAAGGGCAATGAGTTTATGCCTGCATTCTAGGGATAATCAGCTCTCACCTGCTCTCTAGAATGCCCAGCCCAGAGGCGGTCAGCAGTACTTAATCAGTAAGGGCCACACACTGGGTGATGTGCATTGGCTCTGTGTCCCCACTGAAATCTCATCTCGAATTATAATCCACATGTGTTGGGGGAGGGGCCTGGTAGGAGGTGATTTAATCATGGGGGCTGACTTCCCCCTTGCTGTTCTTGTGATAATGAGTGAGTTCTCACGAGACCTGGTTGTTTGAAAGTGTGTGGCACTTTCCCCTTCACTGTCTCTCCTGCTCTGACGTGGTAAGATGTGCTTGTTTCCCCTATGCCTCCCGCCATGATTGTAAGTTTCCTGAGATCTCCTAGTCATGCTTCCTATTAAGCCTTCAGAACTGTGAGTCAATTAAACCTCTTTTCTTCATAAATTACCCAGTCTCAGGTAGTTCTGTAGAGCAATGTGAAAACAGACTAATACACTGGGGCAACAAATATAAGTTCATCTGTTATCATTATCACCATCAAAAATTCACATTTTACAAGTCGATAGGGCAGTTTCTCAAAAAATTAAAATTAAATTACCACATGACCCAGCCATCCCACTTCTGGATATTTACCCAAATGAATTGAAAGCAGGGTCACAAAGAGATATTCGAACACCCATGTTCATAGCAGCTGTGTTCACAATAAGCCAAAACAGAGAGCAACTCAAGTGTCCATCAAAGGATGAGTGGATAAACAAAAGGTGGTATATACATGTGATGGAATTCAGCATTAAAAAGGTAGAAAATTATAACACCTGCCACAATAGGAATGAACTTTGAGGACATTACACCAGGTGAAATGGGACAATCACAAAAGGACAAGTATTGTCTGATTCCACTTAATGAAGTAGTGAAAGTCATCAACTTCATAGACAGAAAATAGAATGATGATTGCCAGCGGTTCAGGGGAGGAGGGAATGGGGAGTTATTGTTTAATGGGGACAGAGTTTCCATTTTGCAAGATGAAAAGAGTTCTGAAGATAGATGGTGGTGATGGTTGCACAACAATGTGAATGGATTCAATGCTATTAAACTGTACACTTATAACAATTAAGATGGTACATTTTCCAGCCTGGCCAACATGGCAAAACCCCATCTCTACTACAAATGTAAAATTTAGCTGGGCATGGTGGTGTGTGCCTGTAGCCCCAGCTACTCGGGAGGATGAGGCACGGGAATCGCTTGAACCCAGGAGGTGGAGGCTGTAGTGCGTTGAGATCACACCACTGCACTCTAGCCTGGATGACAGCATAAGACTCTGTCTCAAAAAAAAAAAAAAAAAGATGGTAAATTTTATGTTTCATCTATTTAACCACGATTTTTAAAATAACAATAAATACATGCATTTATAAAAAAATTTTTAAATGTTTTGCAAATGAACATATTGGATGTTGAAAACGTGTTTTCACTGGTGAAGCAAGTGACTTTCAAGTAGCATAATTAATATTAGAAAATGACTTTCATTGGTGAAATGAAATGTATTCAGAGCATGTGGATTCACTAAAGTTATTTGTCATCGCTCCCCAGCCTTACATGAACCAGGCATAGAAGAGCATTCGGCCAGTTCTGGGTACCCCAAGGACAGCACTCTAAGTCTGATCCCTGGGCAGAGCACAGTGTAGTCAGACTGCTTGAAGCCACCTAGAAGGCACAGAATGTGACCTCGCGGGTGCTGCCAGGATCACCCTGACAGATGCTGTATGCTTGAATCACCTAAAAGACCAGGAGCTGGGGTGTCATTGAATGGTAGAACAGGTTGTATAAACTGTGTTGTGCCTGCTTAGGATGAATATTTGGCTAAAAAATGTCCTTAGGAATGTCTGCTCATTACAGCCCCATAGTGAGGGTATCAAAGAACAGCCATCCCTCACCACCTCCAACATCTTAGGTGGCTCTTGACTAAAATTAAGCTACACACCATGCAGAGAGGCAAATTCAATGTGAAGCCGATGACATTTCAAAGCCTCTCCCTAATATGGACCTCTTCTCGGGCTCTGCACTTAATTTTCTAGTCATAGTTTTGTGGTCTTGGTCTTTAGAAGGGCCTCTAAATTAAATGCATTCAAACCCAACAGTCCTTAGCTAGATCCCTGACTTGAGAATGACTAAAAGCTTAGGCTCCCTTCAACACAGGTCACCTGGAAAGAGCCATTCGGTTGTTATCAGTGTGTTTCCTTCCCACCTCTTCTCTCTTCCTTCTCTGCACCCCAGGGTCTATTTTTCCCTTCCCAACACATGAGAGGACAAGAGGGGAAATGCAACCTCATTCCAGGCAAGATCCTCTGCACCATGTTGCTAGACTAGGTGTCCCCTCCAGGACGAGACTGGAGGTGAACAGAAGGCCATGCAGAGGAAGAACCCTGGAGAGGAGCCCTGGGGTCTCCAGATGAGAGAGAAGATGAAGTCTGCCAGCACAAGACAGGGAGCACATCCGAAGGAGTCAAAGGAGAAAGCCGTCTTGTGGCATGGAAACCCCCGCCCCTAGTGATGACTAATGTAGGTCCCTTGCCCCAGCTCGGGGAGGGGAGCTTGGGCGCCTTGTGAGGCAATGGGGGATGTAGGGAGAACCTGATCATGGTGAACACAGATTCAACTTATAAAGTGTTTCCCTAGATGGCATTGCCCCTTTACACGTAGATGAAAATAATAAAGAATGCTTCAAAGCAGCACTCCTTGGTGTAATAAAGAAATCAACCCAAATGCCTATCAATCAATGAGTGGATTAAAAAACTGTGGATAAAAAAACTGGCCTGTAGTCCCAGCTACTCTGGAGGTTGAGGTGGGAGGATCACTTGAGCCCAGCAGTTCAAGGATGCAGTGAGCTGTGATCATACCACTGTACGCCAATCTGGGTGAAAGAGCAAGAACTTATTTAAAAAAGAGAGAGAGAGAGGAAGAGCAAGAAGAAAGAGAAAGAAACAAAGAGAGAAAGAGAGAGAGAAGAAAAAAAAGAAAGAAAAGAGAAAGAAAGAAAAGAGAAAGAAAGAAAGAAGAAAAAGAAAAAGAAAGAAAGAAACAAAGAAAAAGAAAGAAAGAAACAAAAAGAGAGAAAGAAAAAGAAAGAAAGAAAGAAAGAAAGAAAGAAAGAAAGAAAGAAAGAAAGAAAGAAAGAAAGAAAGAAAGAAAGAAAAAGAAAGAAAGAAAGAAAGGAAGGAAGGAAGGAAGGAAGGAAGGAAGGAAGGAAGGAAGGAAAATGAGAGGACTAGCAGAAATCCAGGCTTTGTAAGCAGGTCTGAGTTCAAACTCCCCCTCCTGTTGCTTACCAGCTGTGGTATCTGGAGAAAGTGGTCAAAATTTCAGAGCTTCAGTTTATCTTCCACAAACAGAGGAAATAGTCGTTATTTTTAGGATTGTTTTATGTCTTAAGTGGAAATAATATATATGATGTGTCTGCCTGTAGCGGCTACACAGTACCAGTCATTACTATTAATATTCCAACAGTCTAGAATGTTCTGCTTCTGGAAGCAGCACCAACAGAAACTGATCAGCGTAAGGAGGGTCATGATAGCAGAAAAGAGCATTTTACTCTTCATAGTTGAGTCACTCACTCTTTCCATTAGGCATTATTTCATTGTATCACAAGCCCAAAACCTTTTTATGGGGCTAGGAAAACTCTATTAAGTATTTTTAGGTAAAAACCAGACTTGTGTGCTTCTAATATTAGATTGCCTTAATCAGACTTTGGAACCAAATGTGTGTCTTTTCCCACCACCCAGCTTCATTTCAGCTTTTGCAGGCTAGGACCTACCCAAGGCTCCTGGCCATCCTTACTTACAACCCTGTCTCTGGTGGGTGTCGATTTTATGCTAGAAATTCTTCATACACTACCCCTTTCCCGTCCGCTGTGTGGGCTTGGCCACCTGGGATTCCACAAACAGTTGCCTGGGCCTAGGTTATGACCACCCATGACCAGGAAGCAACATACCAGACAGAAGAGTAAAGGCGACTTCTCACCTCCCTGACAGCCCAGGGAATGTGGAGAGAAGTCCCACCAAGAGCCCCCCAGCCCTAGGGCCAGTCTACCTTATCCCACCCCCATGTCCTCCTGGAGGTAGAAAATGAAAGCATGGACTGTGGGTGACAGGTCTGAGTTCAAGCCCTAGCTGCTCCGTTTAAATTATTTAAAGCTATGTGATTTTCACCAAACCACATAACCTCTCTCTGATCCACGTTTACCTTGTTGTAAAATGAAAAAAAAAGACACCAAAAAACAAAAAACAAAAAAAAAATGACACATATGCCATTGGGTCCCAGCGAGGATTAAAAAATCTGTAATATGCTTGATAAATACTAGGTACCTAGAGGACATGGTATCCATGGTGGCATTTATTATAAAGAGTGTTCCATACTCTTCCACAAGGGATGCCTGACTTCTCATTTCCTTCTAATGCGGTTTTCACACCAAGCAAAACATCACAATGCAGAAGTGTGAGGCACTGCCGTAACAACCAGGGACAAGATGGGGACAGCCAGGGAGCCATGTACCATGAGCACGGCATGGGGGATGAGAGAACTGGCATGGGAGTGGGAGTGCAGGAAGGACGACGAGAGGAGCAGATGGTGCCTTTTGTCTGGGCTTGGTTACAGTCGCTGTCGCCACATCCAATCCTGCTGGAACAGCACAGACTAAAATACCAAGTATTTCCATTTCGGCTTGACAAGCAATAGTTACACAACTAGCAAAACTGGCTTCATAACGTGGCCTGTGGAGAAAGAACTGTTCTCTCTTTTTCTGCTCTGTAAAAATTTGCCATGTGCTATTTACCAGGTAGCACAACCAGCATTGCTGAGCTCTGACAGTCCCTGTCGAGGCTGCCTATTCTATGGCAGCATCATCTTATTCTTTTTCTCCCTTTTGTGCCCAAACTTGCATTTCAAACTCAAGGAAAAAGCCCAACAGCCTATATCCTACCAGAGGCAGCTGCAATAATGGGAATCCGCCTTGCTCACTTTTAATATTCTCTCAAGTTCAAGGTGACACTCTTTTTTTCTGGCTACTTCTCTGAAATAATTTGAAAATTGATTTCTTTTCCTTTTGCCTTTCCCAGGGTCAGCCTTTTCCCAGCATCCATGCGTATTGAAGAGGAAAGGGATGTTTCTGGTTTGTCCTCTCTTGCCTTTGTGATTTCTTTTTGCTTGGACCACAGAGAGCTTTGCAGGAGAGCAGAGATGGAATCATTTTCTCTCCTTTTTTTTTTTTTTTCAACTTCACCTATTGAATATTCATTAGGTGATGGATTCTACCTCAACCATTAGCCAAGGGAACAGAAATAGTTTGCAGCCAGCTCTCTGCCACAGATAGGCTTCCAAACCATTGTGAGGTAGAGTTTTTCCTACCGGGTGAGGTTCAGACAAGCAGCTGTGATTTCCCTAGACATAGTCCCATGCTCAGAGCAGATGCCTGTCAAACCAGCCCCCAGTAAGCAGCAAGAGTGATCTCACTTCCTTTCCCTAAAGGTAACTGTCCTCATTACTCTTATTACTAAGCTGAATGAACCTTGGGTGCATAATAGAATTTTCTTTAAAATATTCATCATCTGACAGCTGATATTTCAGCCATATTCCACTTGAAGACTACATTGGGGGAAGGAAGCTGAGCAGCAGCGCTCAATTAACTCGGTGTTTTGCTCACTTTCTGAAACTACTTTTCAAGTCCAAGTCATTAAAAATGCATGGGACTGTGTAATGTGGTACTCTCCTGCGAGCTCCCAGAGCAGGACAGAGGTGGCCACTGAAGCCGCTGCTCTGCCTACATAGGCACCAGCAGCTCCAGGAATCAGAGGCTTCTCCTGCCAGGGAGAAATGGAAAACTCCCCACTGCCTCCGCCTTCCTGCCCTCCCCAAGTACCTCGCTGTGTGCAAAAAGAATTAATACATCTTCCTTAGCCCCTTATGGGTCTTCCAATTGGGTATGCCAGCTTTTTGTGTGGTTTTCAGGTTGAAAGGAAGCAGTGGGCAGATGCACATACTGGAAACATGGCAAGTGGGAAACAGTGGAGACAGATGCACTTGGACTCAGTCCCAGTGTTGCCACTTATTTCATGATCCTCAGTTTCCTCATCTGTCAGATACACTGATGTGGTTTAGATCTGTGTCTCCACCAAATGTCATGTCAAATTGTAATCCCCAGTGTTGGAGGTGGGGCCTGGTGGGAGGTGACTGGATCATAAGGGCGGATTTTCCCCTTGGTACTATGTCCCAACAGCGGGTGAGTTCTTGTGAGATCTGGTTGTTTAAAAATATGTAGCGCCTCCCCACGTTTCTTGCTCCAGCCATGTAAGATGCATCTGTTTTCCCCTTCACTTTCTGTCATGATTGTAAGTTTCCTGAGGCCTCCTCAGAAGCAGAAGCCGCCATGCTTCCTGTACAGCCTGCAGAACCATGAGCCAATTAAGGTACTTTTCTTTATAAGTTACCCAGTCTCAGGTATTTCTTCCTAGCAATGTGAGAATGGACTAATACATCCACACAGTGTGACAGTGCAAGGATTGGGAAGAGCATAGAAAATCTATATTGAGCAGCCTTTGCCTCATCATTGATGCTAAATAATTGGCCTCCAATACCCCATCGTGGGGAGGGTTCTCAGCCACATCTGAGACCTCATGCTTTAGGCTGCGCTGCCATTGGCTGCATCCCCTATTACAGTTGTAACCCCCTGAGGCCAAGGTCCAGGTCCTATCCTATTCACCTCTATCCTCAGTGTTTGGCCTATATCTGGTACATAATAGATATTCAATAAGACTTCTATGAGATAATTACATTACATGTGATTGTAATTACTCTATTGGAATGTGATATGGTTTGGCTGTGTCCCCACCCAAATCTCATCTTGCATTGTAGCTCCCACAATCCCCACGTGTTGTGGGAGAGGCCTGGTGGGAGATAATTGAATCATGGGGGCCGTTTCCCCCCTACTGTTCTCATGGTAGTGAATAAGTCTCACGAGAGCTGATGGTTTTATAAGAGGAAATCACTTTTGATTGACTCTCATTCTCTTCTCTTTTGTGCCACCATGTGAGATGTGCTTTTCACCTTCCACCATGATTTTGAGACCTCTTCAGCCACATGGAACTGTGAGTTCATTAAATCTCTTTCTTTTGTAAATTGCCCCATCTCAGGTATGTCTTTATCAGCAGCATGAAAATGACTAATGCAGAATCATTCATTAATTCACATGTTATTATAATGATATATAATAATTAATCATTAATAACTTCTTAATTGTTTTAACTTTTGAATATATAAGAATTATTAGGAAGTGAGCAGAAATGCTAACATAATCATTTTTCAGCAAAATTTTAAGTGGAAACTCACAAAAATAAGTTGGCCTTTTAATTACGATTGCTGCCAGGCAAGCAGGAATTGCACTTCAGAGGAGAGCAATGGAAAACAAAAACTGAATCTTTGGACATGGGCTAAAAACAAGCTTGATAATTGCATCCTTGGTACCCATGGACATTTGCCCGTAGCCCCTAAACCATTCCATAATTTGAAAATGTTCGGTTTGTTTGCCATTTCTCAGTTTGCTGAGTTTGGTTTTGTCTCCACATCCAAACGTTCAGAATCTTATTCAACCTGATCCAAACCACTCTGGTCTAGAAATAGGTCTTGATATCCAGCCAGCCTGGGTTTTTATGCAATATTTCCAGTACTTCTGCTTTCAAAACAAGGTGGTGGAAAGAAAACACCAGACAAGCCCTACTGTTGTATTCCAGAACTTTCCCAGTTCCTTCTGGAAACTTTGGGCCTTCTTCAGAGAATTGTTGTGAGATACAACCAAGAAAAATAAAAATAATATGACCTTACCCTTGTATAACACCCAATGGTTTATGTGTCGCTGATATTTACTCAGCTCATTGTTTTCACATGTACTGTCCTTTGACGCCTCCAAAGAGGGAACTTATAGTAAGCTCCAAGCCAAGGGTCTTGGTTTTCTTGGGACTTCCACATTGCTGTCTTACTCATCTAGGGCCTGGGAACAACAGGTAAGGGGAGCTTTGCCATGCAGAAGCTGGGGCAAGGACGGCAGCACTCCTAGGCTCGCACAGTCAACGAGTGACAGAGCTGGGACTAGAACCCATCAGGTCTGGGCTCCTTCCACTGCACCGTGTGAATTCTATACCTGCTGTGAACGTTATCATGCAATAAATAACATCACAATACTCAGTGTTTGTTAACATTAATTATGGAAGTATAGGTGTACCATATGTCACTAAAATAGGTAGCCTGCTTAAGTCAATTTCTAGTGTATTTCAAAACCATTACAGTAGCATTTTCTTTCTTTTTTTTTTTTTGAGGCAGGGTCTCTGTTACCCAAGCTGGAGTGCAGTGGCAGAACCATAGCTCATTGCAGCCTTGACCTCCAGGGCTCAGGCAATCCTCTCACATCAGCTTCCTGAGTACCTGGGACTGTAGACATGCACCACCACACCTGGCTAATTTTTTAATTTTTTGTAGAGACAGGGTCTCACTGTGTTGCCCAGGCTGGTCTAAAACTCCTGAGCTCAAGGAATCCTCCTGCCTAAGCCTCCCAAAGTGCTGGGATTACAGGCATGAACCACCATGCCCGGCCTACAGTAGCATTTTATCAGCACCAGGCAGTGAAACCAAAGTTCAGCAATGTTGACGCTATGTCTGCATCCTTACGCTAGATCATAACTAACAATTAATAATATATTGAGTACAAATTAAGCAAGTGAATGAGGATGAAAAGAGTTGATTTATTCAAGGCCTTGGGAAGTCTAAACGATTATCTGAGAAGCAGCATAACATGGTGGATCACCATAGCCTCCAGAGCCAGACTGTGTGGGTTTACACCTTTCATTTACTGACTGGTTGTTGCAGTTACTTAAACTCTCTGTGTCCCTGTTTCCTCATCTGTAAGATAGAGATACTAACCTACTCATCTCTAGTCGCAGAGATAGCCTACTTCATGTAGGTGCTGTA
This sequence comes from Homo sapiens, assembly GCF_000001405.40. NCBI lineage: Eukaryota > Metazoa > Chordata > Mammalia > Primates > Hominidae > Homo > Homo sapiens. The sequence continues at coordinate 35,823,589 of NC_000010.11, read as the reverse complement.
TTAATTGAATTAACATATGTAAAGACTTGGAATAGTCCTTGGTACCCAGCAAGCACAATATAAGCCTTTGCTATTATTATCGACTACATTGATCATCTAAATGACTAACTGCTGCCTTCTTATTTTATGATATAATGCTCTCTGTTGTTCGTTTGTGTATGTTTTTTGTCCCTAGTGTGACTATACATTCCCTGAGGGCAGGGGAAGCTTGTTATTAACTTGGTCACCCCTCAATACCTCATAGAGTGGTAGACTCGTTAGTAGGTGGTCAATAAACACTAATGGAAATCATAAACCCATTTTAAATTCTTATTTAAAATGCCACAAATCAACTCAAAAATCTCTGATGATTTCTGTTGCCTAGGGATCAAGTCTGACCTCAGGCAGGCAGCCAACTCTGTCTTCAAGTTCATGACCTGATGCTTTTTCACGCCCCACTGTCATTGTGTCCCAACAGATTCTCTTGCCACACCCCAAGCAGGGGTGGCAATGCCCACCTTGATGCCTTTGATTGTTTTTCTTCCTTTTCGGGAACACCCTTCCTTTTGTGTTTCGCCCATCCACATCATATACCCCCTTCAAAGCCCACTTGACCTCTCTCCTCCCAGAGGATGCTTCCCAACTCCCCAAGTCAAGTGGTCATCTTCATCATCTCCCGACTCCTGTAGATTATAACTGCAGCTCATTGGAAATGTCTCATATCCAGGCTTAACTATTGGTCAAAATCTTATGTACGGCCTCATTGTATTTATTCATAGCTGATTACCTCCTTGATCAGTTATAAGTTCTGGGAGGTCACAGATGTTGCCGATCTGCCTCATCCTCTTGAATCCCCAGCACAGCATCTGACACATGCTGGGTTGTCAGTGTATTCCTTATCTATTGTGTAACAAATCGCCCCCAAACTGGGCTGCTGAGAACAAACATAATCACTCATGACCTCTCCCAGCGTCTGTGTGTCGGGAGCTCAGGAGCTGCTTGTCTGGTGGTGGTTCTGGCCCAGTGACTCTTGAGGTTGCAACAGATGTCAGCCAGGGCCGCAGGGACCTGGAGACGCCACTAGGGCTGGAGGAGCCGCTTCCGAGGTAGCTCACACACCCCGCTGGCTGGCAAGTCAGTGCTGGCTGTTGGCAGGAGCCTCTGTGCTTCCCACGTGGGCCTCCCCAGAGGGCTGCTGGAGAGTTCTCTGAGCAGAAGGCTGGCTGGCTACCTCCTTTCCCCTCCCACTCCAGAGTGAGGAATCCAAAAAAACACCAAGGCCAAAGCTGAGATGCCTTTTATGACCTGGCTTTGGAAGTCACACCGTGTCTAGGTGTCTGGCTTTTAGAGTCAAGAGATAATTGCTTTTTGTTAAGTGTCATCTTCATGAGTTCATATGCTCTTTGAAAGAAAAAAACGACATCCCCTCCTTCCAGTATCTAGCACAGTGCTTTGCATCCAATAAGCACTCAGATCTTGAATATATTTGCAATTAATGAAAGGATATTTGCTGGTAAATGCCATCAATATCTTCATAATCAATCAAATCATGACTTAATTTTTAGGTTTTCATCAGACAATTATTGTAGTCAGATGAATAATGTTTAAGGAAACAGAATTCCCATCTTCAAAATTCTTTAAACAAGCTGAGAAATGTGACAGACACCACCAGGAACAATTCAAAGATAATCTCCTGTAGCTACTGAGCATAATGCTTTGTGATTTTATGATTTAAGTGTTATGTCTACATGTTTGAGGTTTTCATTTGCTTTTCTTGGCATAGACTCACTGTTTCTAGACCACCAGTACTCCTAAAGACCAAAATTAATTGCTAGTTTTATAGTTTTATATGTCTAAATGATAGGGATGCCAGATTGTGTCAAAATGAAAGCACATCCAAATTTAATGAAGTTCAAAGGAAGAAATGTTTATTTATGGATTAAAGTCTAAAACGATCTGTTGCTTGTAGTTACTGAAATAGTGACAGCTCTTCTCAGCAGGGGGAGGGAGGGTGAGAAGAGAAGAGCCAGGGAGAAAGCTCTTCTGTGAGCCTGAGAGTGGAATCAACAACAACCCAAGTTCCTGGGTCTTTTCACACCAGTTGAGATCACAGATGATATACAAATGAAGTCATGAAGAAAAGGGGAACCTCTGGTAAGGGGGCAGAGGTTTTATTCTCTCAGCTCGTCACACATCTGCACAGGCGTGTCTCGACATGTCTTCAGGAGCAGAGCATACTTAATCTCTTTGGGGCACAGTTTTGCTGGTTGTTGAACTTCAGTGATATCATTAGACATCCCTTGGAATAAAGGGCACAAAGAATCTAACCTACTAGGTCACCAGAAACTTATTTCCACATCGTTTATGACCACCAAGTCCCTGTGCACATGTTGCCTGAGATCAAATCACTGGGTACCATGTTTGCTGGGGCAGAAAGAACTGACCAGCTTTTGTATTTGAGCAGAAGTTTTAGAACTCATCTCTACAGCTCTTCATTGTTTCCAAGGACTTAAGTGCATCTTAACAAATATTTCTTCCATCACAAGATAGATCAACATCTAATTACAGTGATTTTATTCAGTAAGATACTTTAATTACATTCATCATTTTTGTTCAATCTGAACAAATTCTAGAATTTGAATATGGCATAATGATTTGTCATTTAATATTTAGGTGGATATTTTTTAACAGAAAATATCTGTTACTTTTCAATTCATCCAAACTCTACATCAGCTTTCTTTGAAATGAACTGCAGTTTGGATACCATAAAAAGAACATTAGATTTGGAGTCAGAAAATCCAAGTCTAAACCCCAAGTTTCCTACTTATTTTCTGTGTGATCATGATTTATTCATTAACTTCTCAGAGTTTCATCTCAGTTTCATAATATGTAAAGCAAAGATAATCTCACTGCCCTCTGTACTTCACAAGGTTGCTGTGAAAATCAAAATCTTTGCTGTATGTATGTGAAAGCCCCTAGTGAACAGAAGAGTTTTACAAGAAGGAGGTATGTTAATGTTTTTATCTTGCACATAAAATACTAAAGCATAGTACTTCCACTCACAGCCAGCATGTCCTCTGTTTCACCTTCTACCACCACCACCAGCAGCAATGCCAAAAAACTAAGTCTTCTTGTTAACTATCTATTATAAGCATCTGATTTCATGGACAGAAATTGTCTATGGGTCAAATCGTGTGTCCTGGTATGGACTGTCAGCTACTGATGGCCTTCAAAACCTGCCCATAACACCACTAACCATCTGAAAAGGCAGGAATGCTTTGTCTCACAGTTCCAATTATAACCCCCAGTGGTGTGAGATGAGGCTTCTTCTAGCCGCCTTTTTCCTCCATATCTCAATAATTTCATGCAGCTTTTAGATGGATTAGAAACATAATTTTACTATGGTAAACACAAAATGGTTTTAAGAGAAAAATGGACCTGATGTCTACCATCAAAAAGGACAGCTTAACCAAAAACAATACTAGGATCAAAAGTCTGGTTTTAGGTTGTACCATCTTCATTGTCTGAATTCAAGAAATTCAATAACTCCACCCCAGTGGCTAGTTGGGTTACTTGATGGCACATTGTGTAGCTAATTCCCAGCACAGGAAGGCAGCAGTGCTCAGGATCAAACGTTCCGCAGGAATCATGGCGAGATTCTTTCATGATTAAGCTGGCCAACTGGCAATGCTTACCGTTAACATTTTCCAGGGCCAAGTCATCTCTTCCATGATCTATGGCATGGAACAGTGGGGTTTTAACTAAAGAGGCAGATCCAAAGTCAATGTCCCCCAGCCCTGTTCCACACTAGAATGACAAGGGCTTCCAAAGCAAGAAAGTATTCGGCTAGGGTTCCTCATCCTTCACAAAGAAACATCAGCTTTGCTACCTGTGTGTCTGGTGTCTGACAAATTAAGATGTCCCTTCAATCAGCAGCAGAGGCTCTGCCCACCAGGCATTTGCCAAAGAAATCTTGCCAAGCTTGAAATCTCCACTCTTGCTATTGCTAAAAGCCCATGGCGACAACCATAATTCAGAGAAGAATTGCTCCAAGTCTCTTAAACAGTGATCCACATAATACATTCCTTTTAAAATTTAGTACCAAGAAAAAGTCTGCTTCTCCTGACAAATTTTCTTGTTTTTTTAATCAAGCAAATAGAAGTAAAACCACATCTCCGTCTTTTATACTTCTATAAATTTTTATTTTAATTCCCTTCTACCTTCTCCGTGGTGTTTAGTTTTCATTAAATTTTCCTAATGGGTGTAAATACACACACACACACACACACACACACACACATAAACACAGACACACATATAAACACAAACACATAAACACAGACACACACACATACATAAACATACCCATACACACACATACATAAACACACACACATATAAACATACACATACACACACATACACATACACACAGACATATACATACATAAACACACACATGCACACACATACATACACATATCGTGATCATCATTTAAGACAAGTAATTTTTAGAAGTAAAAGATAAATTACAAATAAATGGATCTTACCAATTCTAACCCTTTGCCAAACACGGTATAGCAAGACCTGACCACATACAACCAATGCGTACATTATCAGGTTAAAAACATCCTCTATATCTTCTTAAAGCAAACTCCTAGCCCTAGAATCTGAAGTATTCCTGCTCATCACTCAGAAATCATGTCTGGAGTTTTCATCTCTGAGGAGCTCTTCAACTCCCCAGAATTCCAGGCTCAGCTGGAGCCCTGTCCTGTAGTCAGTGGAGTCTCATAACCCTGACTGCTCCCTGCTACAACCCGTGAGCCTCCTGAGATCAGGAATCACTTATCATCTCTGAAGTCCTAGCATCTAGCATAAGGTCTTACATATCATAAAAATATTTAAAATGTTTATGGAATAAATGGGAAAATGCACCACTTCTCTTAACAATAAGAAGCCACTTTACAAAGACTATAATAGATCAAAAGCCAAAAATCTGGCCAAAAATCCATATATATATGATTCCACAAAAAAAAACTATTAGAACTGATAAGTGAATTCAGTAAAGTTGCAGGATACAAAATCAACTTACAAAAATCAGTAGTGTTTTTATACACAAATGATGATATAACTAAAAGAAACTCTAGAAAACAATCTCATTTATAATAGTATTAAAAATACCTAAGAATAAATTTACCCCAAAAATGAAAGATTTGTATGCTGAAAAACTGTAAAACATTGATGAGAGAAATTGAAGAAGACACAAATAAATGAAAAGCTATGCAGAGCTCATGAATCAGAAGAATTAATATTAAAATTTCCATACCACCCAAAGCAATATACAGGTTTAACACAATCCATATCAAAATCCCAATGACATTCTTCACGGAAATAGAAAACACAATACTAAAATTAGTATTGAAGCTTAAACTATTAAATTAACATTATAATTTAATGAAATAAGCCCTTTTGTGTGATGTTCTAACATCGATCTCAATATTAAGTGGTACACTCTTGAAATATTTTGAAACTGATGCTATCACTACACCCACCTGCATTAGTAAAAGATTTAGAGCTCTCTAACTAGAAAATAATGCATTTTTAAACAGATTGTCCTTTTAATTTAGGAAATATTCCAAAAATTACAGAATGTTACAACAGTATTGCAGAAACTAAATAGAAGTGTTCATGCTGGATTCTTTGAGACAAATTTAACTTCACCTCAATGAAAATTTAAAATACCTAATGTTGGACAAATGCAGTCTAAATTGTGATGTAGAATTACCCAGGTGATCACAATATTAACCAGAAAAATAGAAGAAATTTTGATCACTAAGGAAGCACACACAAGGAGCAAATGGGCCATGGGAGAAGAGTGAGATGGGTCATAAAGAAGGTGAGATGCTAAGATTCTGCTTATTTTCCCAAGCTTTGATATTAGGTTGGTACAAAAGTAATTGTGGTTTTTGCCATTACTTTCTTTTTTTCTTAATTATACTTTAAGTTCTAGTGTACATGTGCACAACGTGCAGGTTTGTTACATATGTATACATGTGCCATGTTGGTGTGCTGCACCCATTAACTTGTCATTTACATTAGGTATATCTCTTAATGCTATCCCTCCCCCCTCCCCCCACTCCATGACAGGCCCTGGTGTGTGACGTTCCCCATCCTGTGTCCAAGTGTTCTCATTGTTCAATTCCCACCTATGAGTGAGAACACGTGGTATTTGCTTTTCTGTCCTTGCAATAGTTTGCTCAGAATGATGATTTCCATCTTCATCCATGTCCCTACAAAGGACATGAACTCAGCTTTTTTACGGCTGCATAGTATTCCATGGTGCATATGTGCCACATTTTCTTAATCCAGTCTATCATTGATGGACATTTGGGTTGGCTCCAAGTCTTTGCTATTGTGAATAGTGCCGCAATAAACATACGTGTGCATGTGTCTTTATAGCAGCATGATTTATAATCCTTTGGGTATATACCCAGTAATGGGATGGCTGGGTCAAATGGTATTTCTAGTTCTAGATCCTTGAGGAATCGCCACACTGTCTTCCACAATGGTTGAACTAGTTTACAGTCCCACCAACAGTGTAAAAGTGTTCCTATTTCTCCACATCCTCTTCAGCACCTGTTGTTTCCTGACTTTTTAATGATCGCCATTCTAACTGCTGTGAGATGGTATCTCATTGTGGTTTTGATTTGCATTTCTCTGATGGCCAGTGATGATGAGCATTTTTTCATGTGTTTTTTGGCTGCATAAATGTCTTCTTTTGAGAAGTGTCTGTTCATATCCTTTGCCCATTTTTTGATGGGGTTGTTTGTTTTTTTCTTGTAAATTTGTTTGAGTTCATTGTAGATTCTGGATATTAGCCCTTTGTCAGATGAGTAGGTTGCAAAAATTTTCTCCCATTCTGTAGGTTGCCTGTTCACTCTGATGGTAGGTTTTTTTTGCTGTGCAGAAGCTCCTTAGTTTAATTAGATCCCATTTGTCAATTTTGGCTTTTGTTGCCATTACTTTTGGTGTTTTAGACATGAAGTCCTTGCCCATGCCTATGTCCTGAATGGTATTGGCTAGGTTTTCTTCTAGGATTTTTATGGTTTTAGGTCTAACATGTAAGTCTTTAATCCATCTTGAATTAATTTTTATGTAAGGTGTAAGGAAGGGATCCAGTTTCAGCTTTCTACATATGGCTAGCCAGTTTTCCCAGCACCATTTATTAAATAGGGAATCCTTTCCCCATTGCTTGTTTTTCAGGTTTGTCAAAGATCTGATGGTTGTAGATGTGTGGTATTATTTCTGAGGGCTCTGTTCTGTTCCATTGGTCTATATCTCTGTTTTGGTACCAGTACCATGGTGTTTTGGTTACTGTAGCCTTGTAGTATAGTTTGAAGTCAGGTAGCATGATGCCTCCAGCTTTGTTCTTTTGATTTAGGATTGTCTTGGCAATGCAGGCTCTATTTTGGTTCCACATGAACTTTAAAGTAGTTTTTTCCAATTCTGTGAAGACAGTCATTGGTAGCTTGATGGGAATGGCATTGAATCTATAAATTACCTTGGGCAGTATGGCCATTTTCACGATATTGGTTCTTCCTATCCATGAGCATGGAATGTTCTTCCATTTGTTTGTGTCCTCTTTTATTTCGTTGAGCAGTGGTTTGCAGTTCTCCTTGAAGAAGTCCTTCATGCTAAAAACTCTTAATAAACTGGGTATTGATAGGACATACATCAAAATAATAAGAGCTATTTATGACAAACCCACAGCCAATATCATACTGAATGAGCAAAAACTGGAAGCATTCCCTTTGAAAACTGGCACAAGACAGGGATGCTCTCTCTCACCACTCCTATTCAGCATAGTGTTGGAAGTTCTGGCCAGGGCAATCAGGCAGGAGAAAGAAATAAAGGGCATTCAATTAGGAGAAGAGGAAGTCAAATGTCCCTGTTTGCAGATGACATGATTGTATATTTAGAAAACCCCATCGTCTCAGCCCAAAATCTCCTTAAGCTGATAAGCAACTTCAGCAAAGTCTCAGGATACAAAATCAATGTGCAAAAATCACAAGCATTCCTATACACTAATAACAGACAAACAGAGAGCCAAATCATGAGTGAACTCCCATTCACAATTGCTTCAAAGAGAATAAAATACCTAGGAATCCAACTTACAAAGGATGTGAAGGTGTTTGCCATTACTTTCAATGACAAAAACCGCAATCACTTTTGCACCAAATTTGATATTAAGAACATCAACAGACGCATCTATACACATCTGCAAAAGCAAGCTTCCTCACATCCCCTCGCTCATGAAAGCTCACTTTGCCTTTTTGAGATTTAGTTGATATCCTCACGGCTTCAATGTTCCTGAAGTTCAAGTCCACGTCATGAGATAAATGGAAGAGATGAATTTTCTGCTACTTTATTCACTACGTTGTTATCAATGTGTCCATCAAGTGCACCACTTTTGTAGAGGGAGGCCAGGGAACTGAAATCGAACCCGTCTGGAGTCTGCTAAGGGTGTGGATTCAGAGCTCAGAGGCTGAGAACTGCCACTCATCAACAGAAAGGGTGGTAACTGGAAGCGGGTGGGCTCAGAGACCACCACACAGGGCGTATCACAATGTCTTCCGCAGCAAATGACTGCAGGCAGCTGAGATCCAAATTGCACACTCTTTTAGATATTTTCTGCAACTATGCACAGCCTTTCATACATGTACGTATGTCTACTCATATGTGTGAGGCGAGAAAGAGCCTTTAAGTAAGTTTCATTTTTCTTTAGCCGAACTGAATTTATATAAAAGAAGACCTAGAAGCTGGCAAAAAGATGAAGTGGGAAAAGTTGACCATATTAATGGCACAGGAGTTTTTCCTCCTGAATTTAATTAGCTGCACTGAATTGATGTAAAAAAAGACCTAGAAACTGAAAAAAAGATGAGGCGGGAAAAGTTGACAATGTTAGTGGCACAGGACTTTTCCTCCCGGATTTAAACTCTTATCCCTGAAATAAAATAGGGAAAACACCATACCCCTTACACATCTGGCTCTTAAAGCATTGCCTTTTCTCTTTCTCTCTCTTGCTATATCTACTTGCTTTCCCTTTCTGCCCTGCTTACACACTATCACCACCAACAGCACACACACACACACACACACACACACACACACACACACACACACACACAAGTTTTTCCAGAACCTTCCTGATTTTCTTTGTTGGTCCATTGAGTGTCCTATGAACAGCATGCAGCTGCTTGAGAAAAATCCATGCAGCTTTGGAGAGTGAAACTAGAAGGAATGAACTGTGGCAGGGGGTGTGTGTGTGTGGATGTATATGCTGTGTGTGCATGTATGTGTTTGTGTGTGTATTTATGCATTGTGTAAATGCCTGTGTGCACATTTATGTGTGTGCATGCATGTGTGTATATGAATGTGTGTGTTGTATGTGTATGTGCATGTGTGTGCATGTATGGATGTGTGTACATGTGTACAAGAATACATGTGTGTATGTGCATGTGTTCGGGCAGCATAATCAGAAGACAGGGAGAAAAGGGAAGCAAGAGAAAGAGATTATCTACATACCTAAGGAATTATTGACTAAAATAGAATCAGCTCTTTCAATAACCCATCTACCCACTCCCCACAGCAAAAGCAAAGTCAAATACAATTAGGGATGGAGGAATGCCTTTTTATCTAAGGGAGGAAGCATAAAACAAAAAGTAAGCAAGCTAAGAAAAATAGACCTCTACCTCATTTTTTTTTTCACCAAATCCAAAACATACTGCCTATAACATTGGCCGTTTACAATGGCAATTAACATCAATCCTAGGGTCTAATTAACCTCAATCAACAAGTCTAAGTAGGTTAATTAAATAGGATTTGGCTAAGCATGAAGCACAAAAATACAGCTGTCTCATTTAAATGTGATTTACTAAGGAAAGTCATCATTTACCAAAGTTTTTGTCTTTCTTTTCACACAGCAAAGCATAATGGGTGGTGGGGTTGTGGACAAGTGGGGATGTCATTCAGAGACTGATTCTTTGGGGATTTCTTCGGTAATAGGCAGTCCCACATAACTCAAATATTATCTCCTGGTTATCTGCACTCATCTCAAGCTCATCTTCTTTATGAAGCATCAACTCATCCCTTTGTTGTTTGTTTCACTCCTGTCCCGCCCACCGCCACCTCCTTATGTTATAAATTCCCTCCGGGTACAGAGCCTATGTGATTCATCCTTGTCTTCTTAAAATCATCAAGCATAGTGCTTTGTGAGTAGTAAGTACCCAATTAATTGTTCCTTTAATTGGATTTTCAGCAAAATGCACTTTTTTCTCACCACAACCTCAATCATAATTTGGATTTCTGGGTTTTAGGATAAGACTGTCCAGGCCAGCCAGGCATAGTGGCTCATGTCTATAATCCCAGCACTTTGGGAGGTGGAGACAGGAGGCTTGCTGGAGGCCAGCTGTTTAAGACCAGCCTGGACAACAAAGTGAGACCCCCTCATCTCCTGAAAAAATAATTTTAACAAATTAGCTGGGTGTGGGGACATAAGCCTGTAGTCCCAGCTACTTGGGAGGCTGAGGTGGAAAGATAGTTTGACCCCAGGAGTTTGAGGTTACAGTGAGCCATGATGGTGCCACTGCACTGTACTCGGCCTGGGTGACAAAGCAAGACCCTGTGTCTAAAAAAAACAAAGAAGTAAACAAAGACTGTCCAGGCCCTCCACGGAGGGTGGCATCCCAATCGCACACTGTGGCCTTTTTCGTCCTTTCCTTTCCTCAGTGCCCTGTTCACTACCCTGCAATGGTCCCCTCTGCATAATCCATCTTTCACCACGGTGTGGTTCAGGCCAACTTCATCAATTGTTGCATCAAAAGCCCTGAATGTGCTACTTTCAAAAGTACTCAACTGTGTCCACACTAGGACTGTCATGCACAGAGGCCACCACTTACGTCCTGTATTAGTTCATTCTCATGCTGCTAATAAAGACATACCAGAGACTGGATAATTTATAAAGGAAAGAGGTTTAATTGACTCACAGTGTTGCAGGGCTGGTAAGGCCCCAGGAAACTTACAATCATGGTGGAAGAGGAAGCAAACACACCCTTCTTCACATGATGGCAGGAAGGAAAAGTGCAGAGCGAAGTGGGGGGAAGCCCCTTATAAAACCATCAGATCTCATGAGAACTCACTCACTATCATGAGAACAGCATGGAAGTAACTGCCCCCATGATTCAATTACCACCCACAGGGTCCCTCCCACGACATGTGGGAACTATGGGAACTAGAGTTCAAGGTGAGATTTGGGTGGGGACACAGCCAAACCATATCAGGTCCCAAGGCCACACTGGCCAATTCTCATTCCACATCAATTCCATGATTATTCAATGTCTACCGGAAAAGTGTGCCTAGATGAATACATGATTTTTTAGAAGCATTTCAAGTTGCGTAAGCATAGCTACCTTCTCAATCTCATACCTAAGTCTGACAGGTGACAGTCTGAGAGCTGACAATCTAAAAGTGAATAGAAGATCCTTCCTGGGCCTGAGTGCTGAGATCACAGAATCTAGACTGGAAAGAACCTTTGAAATCCGCCGGTTCAACTTCCTCATTTTACACATGTGGAATAATCCAGTGACAGGGTCACACCACTGGGGAGACAGAAGCCAGAGTCACTGACAATAGCCCAGAGCTCCTTCTCTGCCCTTGTTGCTCCTCTGGTCGGGAGGGAGCTGCCATCATCCCATCAGGAATAAGAGCACAGTGTCACACAGCTGGCTATGCCTCCACTGGATACACACAACTGCAGAGTCCAGCTGAATTATGAGGCATTCATCAGGGATTCGCTGCTATCCAGGCTAGAAAGGGAGAGCACCACTCCATATGGAGAGCACCATCCCGTATGAATCACCAGCTCAGGACCAGGGATGGTGCTAGGCACTTATTTGCATGTCTAATCTCTTTTTGTTTTTGTTTTTCAGAGACAGTGTCTCACTTTGTTGCCCAGCTGGTCTCGAACTCCTGGCTTCAAGTGATTCTCCTGCCTCAGTCTCCCAAAGTGCTGGGATTATAGGTACGAGCCACCACGTCTGGCCCATTATCATATTTAATCTTAATAAGAAATTCAAAAAAATCATTTAAATTCTTAGTTTTAGGCTTGAAAGCTAAGGCTCAATTTCGGCTTTCCAAACCAGACTTTCAAATCGTACATTTTTCACACCAGCTGAGCTAGAAAATCAGGCAAGTTAGGCTAAAGACGATATGGGCAGTCCTGTCTAGAACTTTGGCTAACTCATGAGCCACTTATCTTAGACAAAGTAACTTCACACACTCTCTCTCTCTCCAATCTCATCCTCCACTGTCTGCTACACATTGATACTTGCTTTTTCCTTTGTTTTTAAGCAGACTCTGTCTAAAACTGCTCTTATCATATGGCCCCTAGAACTGCTTCTCTTCTTAATTCTTCCATGCCTGTTTTAGGTGACCCCACCATCTGGTCACTCAGGAGGGAAGCTCAGAGTCATTGCCGACTACTGCCCTCACCTGCAACTCTGCTGCCACCTGCAAGATCTATCTTCTATATTACATTCACTGCCTGGGGAAGACCCCACCCCAGGTCAAGCATCTCTTCCCCAGCTCCAGCCTGTCAACCAAGACCAGGTTCTTCATTTCATAGACAGCTTTCAACCTAAATATTACATCCCTGGCCAGCACTGTCTAACAAAACTTTCTGTGATGATGGAAATGTTCTATATCTGCGCAGTTCAATATGGTAGCCACTGGTCATATGTGGTTGTTGAGTACTTGAAATGTGACTTGTGTGACTATATAACTGAATTTTTTGTTCCTTCTTTGTTCATTTGTTTTTGTTTTTGCTATTTTCTCTTGAGTTTAATGGATTTAAATCTAAGTAGCCCCAAGTGGCTAGTTGCAGCTATATTGGATAGCATGATTCTAGGCAAAAGTGTCACTCTCTGGAACATGCCTTGCTGGTTCTCTATCCTCACATTTCCATAAAAGCAGGAACAGTGCCATTTTGTTCACTGCTGCAACCCTAGTGCTTAGATAAGGGCTTGACATGTGGTAGGTGCCCAAGACATATTTTTAATGAACAAATGTAGTCTGTCTCTTCCACCTATCCAACTCTTTCCCAGTGTTCAAACTTTGATACTGTTTACATTTTGCAAAAAAAAAAAAAAAATCAAAAGCATGTGATATCATGTAGCTCATTTGGCTTATGAAATACTGGTGTGTTTGATGTATTCTCACATGCTCATTTGCTTTATATGTTCTCATTTCTTGAGGGAAGAGGTAGGTCATGTGACCTTTGGATCCCACCACACCAAATGCTGGACATCACAAATAGCTGGGTTTGCTCACCCTTGGTTGCATGAACAGACTGCTTCTTTCATTTAGTTCCCTCACCGAGGTCTAAGGGCACCAACACTGCACTTTCTTCCCAGCTCAGGCTTATCCTAATCCCCTGCTCCTGTCGACTCTGCAGATACTTCTTCCAGGCCTGATTTCTCAGATGACAAAGGTGAATCTTAGCTGGTCTCAGTGCAGTGGTGGCTTCTCTTTTATAGCAGCTAGAGACATTCTTGGCCACACTTTGTCCTGATACCCAAGAAAGCAGCAGAATGGTGTAGGGAGAAGTCCAGTGGTGTGACCCTGACTGGGTTTCTCCAGTTTCAGAATCCAAATCACCAGAGTTGCCATCCCTGACTCCCGGGGCTGACGCAGTAAATGTCTGTGAAAGTATTTTTAAAGTATAAAATCCTGGACAAATGAAAAATAGTTACGTTGGCACACAGCTGAGTCACGGAGATTTTAGGTAAATTATGAGTGTAAAATATTTAGTTCATTCATTCAATATTTAATGAGCAAAAGCATCATCCTGGTCAGTGGGTTAATCTCATTGAGTAAGACCAATGCAGTTCTAGACTCAAAGAGCATCATTCCAGTACTAGAGACAATTTTAAACCATACGCATAAGAAAGTGTGTCACACTGTGGCATGAAAGGCAATGCAGGGTCGTCCTTGCAAGGATGAGTGCTGGAGGAGGCATGAGCTAGATGCAGGTGGTGGGGCAAACAGGACGGCATGTGCAAAGGCCCTGAGGTGGGAAGGAGGCTGGACACTTGAAGCAGAAGTCAGGGTGGTGGACGCAAGAGAGGCAGGACTGGGGATAGGTGGCAGGTGAGGCTGAAGGGAGGGCCAGGACCAGGCCAGGGGAGCTCTGTAGATGGAGATTTTATCTCAAAAGCGATGGAAACCACTGGAGAGTTTGAACAAGGCAGTGGTATAAGCAGATTGGCATTTCTAAGATTCCCCTGGGAGCACTGTGGAGAGCAGATTGGGAGTGAGCAAGAGAAAACTGAGAGAAGAGCCAGGTGGCTCTCACAGTGCCCTGGGCAAGGGATGGTCTCGATTCAACCTGTGGTGTCAGCAGAGACAATAGAATGTAGAGATGAATGTATAGATTCAATAGCTACTTAATTAGTAAAATCAAGACTCCTTGATTGATTGCTGTGAATGAAAGTGAAAGAAAGAAATAATAATAGCCATAATAAAGCCCAAAGCAACATATCACCTACTATGGATGTGTATTGTTCAATTATCATTACCTCCATGTTACAGATGAAGGCATGAAAGATTAATTAACTCACTCCTGTCCCAGAAGGAGTAAGTTGTAGAGCTGAGATTGGAATCCACATAGCTTGGCTTCAGAGTATGTGAAGACGGTACAAGCCTTTTGTAACAAGGATGATGTTTGACTTTCTCCCTCCCAGTGCTAGGCACTGTGATAGGAACATCGTAGGGAGATGAGGTATGAGGCTCTGGAGGGAAGACCACCCTAAGTACATCTTTGGAGGTGCGATCCTTGTGAGATGTTCAATAAGCAGCTGGACACACCAGTATGGAGTGCAGAAAAATATTCTGGACTGGGGATACAGAGAGTTGTCTACATCTGGGTAATTGAAGACCTTGTATTAGATTGGGGGTCAGCAAACTATGGCCCAGAGGCCATATTCAGCCTGTCACCTGTTCTTGTAAATAAAGTTTTATTGGAACACAGCTAAGACCATTTTTGTACCTACCATCTATAGCTGCTTTCTTCCTACAATGGCAGAGATGAAAAGTGGCAACAGGGACCACATGACCTACATACCTTGAATACTTACTATCTGGCCATTTACAAAAAATATTGGCCAACCCTGGTTTGGATGAAGTCACCCAGACAGAGAGAGACAATATATGAAAAGGGAATTTAACCACCATGGTTAAAGGCAAGATAGGGAAGAAATAACTACAAAGGGGGAGTGAGAAGGACAGAGAAGTATAAAAAAGAAAAAAGGAGCAAAGAAGGAAGGGAGGAAATGGCATCAAAGGAGGCAAGAAAAGAGTGTTACAGAAAGAGGGAGAGGTCTGCTGCATAAATGTTGCCCAATGGCCAGGAAAGATTATTGGAAACTCCCCAACAGATTCAGCAACATAGAGATTATAGGTAAATCTGGATACAGTTCAGGGCACTGTTGGGGCTGGAGGCTGGACTGAGGCAGATGGAGGAGAAAGAAGAAAGTGATCGCAGCAGAAAGAAGCAGAAAGAAGAAAAGATCGCACCAGCACCATGCGTAAGTGATGTGGGTGCTAAGATAGAGGAAGAGGTAAGGCAGTGGCTAAGAGATGAGGGCATGGTGAGTATTCAGTTGAATCAAAATAGTTTTGTTCTTAAGCTTAAAATGGATCTGATTAACTGTCTTACAATCAAAGCAAACTTGTCAGTTTTTAGATGGTCATTAAGTCAACACTAGATGCAGAGAATTTTCTACTTTGTAGTCGGTGTGAGATACTCAGTTTTACTTGATTGAGTGCAAATAGAGAATTTCACTAAGTGAATATGAAATCACAGCTTATAATTATACCTACAGATGGTACGTTTCAAGTTGCTAGTGCTTACTCTGTGTTTGCACCATCCTAAGCGCATACATTTATTTGCTTCTCACAATAACTCCATGAAGTCTATATCATCATCTTCCTCACTGTATCAATAAGGGATCTGAGGCACAGAGAGGTCAGGTGACTTACCCAAAGTCAAACAGTATTTAGTAAAGCAGTGAGAGGTCAAGTCCAGTCCATCTATACTTTACTTCTCCGGTAAAAGAATGGTACAAATTTTACATCTTCGACTACATTTAAATTAAACCTACATGTGCATAACATGTTACATTTCTCAGGGCACATGCGTATTGGACCTTCTTATCGTTTTTTGGGGGTTAAACGGCATCAATATTGCTATGCTCTTACTATGATCATTCACAGATGCAGAAACTGAGGCTCGGAAAGGCCAATTACCCCAACTAAGGTCACAGGTCAGTCAGTGACACCACCTGGACCAGAAGCTAAGCTTTCTGACTAGTGATCTGGTTCCCTGTCTATAGCTCATTGTCTTCAGGGAAAGGTATCAATGTTCCAATATTTTCAAACTAACAAAACGTCTCTGCACTTTCAATGTTCTGATTCCAGGGACCAAGTAAACTGCTTCATTCACTTTCCCAAGATCTTTCAAGAAAAAATATAGACTGAATTTTCAGATTGCTTGACACTGGCAGAGTGAAATGGTTTGCTAAGCTCTTCTAAAAATGACTCACCAGTAGCTCGTTTAACTACCGTAACTTTGTGTGCTACTCTTACAAGATATTTTTACTTCTCAACATATAAAACGTTTACTTAAGGATATGTTTTTTTCTTGTTCCTCTTCTTCCTCTTCTTCTTCTTCTTCTTCCTCTTCTTCTTCTCCTCTTCCTCCTCCTCCTCCTTCTCCTCCTTCTCCTCCTTCTTCTTCTTCTCCTCCTTCTGTTTTTTTGGTTCGGTTTGTTTTTGGGGTGTTTTTTTTTTTTGAGACAGAATCTCTTTGTGTTGACCAGGCTGGAGTGCAGTGGCACCATCATGGCTCACTGTGGCCTCTACCTCCCAGGCTCAAGTGATCCTCCTGCCTTGGCCTCCTAAAGTGCTGGAATTACAAGAGTGAGTCACTGCACTCAGCCCCTTTAAATATGATACTAACAAAATATCTTCAAATTACAACTTCTAAGTCAGTGATCTTGAATAAAGCTACAGTGACATTTTCATTTTGTTAGTAACGTGTTTTCCTCTGTTTTAACATTTTGCCTATGTAGGCAAGAGCTAAGTGTCTCATATATCTCCAAAGGCAATTTACCATGCTATCCCTTTTTATCTTCACCAAAACTCAGCCAGAATGAAAAGATGTTTTCTCAGAATAATTCTGGGGTTCTACAAGAGTGTGTGAGGTCAAGGCCTCTTAGCTTGGCCCTGTTCCACAGCTTGCTCAACATGGTGCTAACCTGGTCTTCCCGGTCTCCTGAAGCAGGCCCATGGTCTGGGAAATGGAAGAAGGTAGAGTGCTACTTCATCCATTGCAGTGCTTCAGAAGCTTGTATTATCAACCATTGCTGCCTGCTCCCTAATTAAAGGCAGGGAGTCCCTCAATCCAGGAATGCTTGTGGAATCTACACCCTGCTGCTTCTCTGCAACATTACATGTTCAAAGACACATAACAGCACATTCAGAAACACATTAACAGTCTTCCTTTTTTTTTTTTTTTTTTTTCTGAGACAGAGTCTGACTGTCGCCCAGGCTGGAGTGCAGTGGCACGATCTTGGCTCACTGCAACCTCCTGCCTCAGCCTCCTGAGTAGCTGGGATTACAGGCACCTGCCACTATGCCCAGCTAATTTTTGTATTTTTAGTAGAGATGGGGTTTCACCATGTTGGCCAGGCTGGTCTTGAACTCCTGACCTCAGACGAACCACTCACCTCGGCCTCCCAAGGTGCTGGGATTACAGGCATGAGCTACCATGCCCAGCCAACAGTCCTCACTTTAAACTTCAGTGTGCAAAGAACTATGGTGCAAAGACCAAAAAAGTGTGCAAGACCTTCATGAAAAGACTGTTCAAACTTTATGGAAAGATCAGAAATTAAACTGAAGAACAATAAGAGGATATGAGGTTCCACACAAGAAGATTAATACTTTATCTCTTCTGTCCAAGTCTACATATTAAAAGAAATGCTAAATGATACCTGTATGCACATAGCACTTTATAGTTCTCAAAGCAGATGCTTGTTCGAGCTGCAAACACTTTGGGAAGAGTAGGCTTTCAACAGATAGATGCTGTAATCGTCTTATTATCTTCATTTCACCAATGAAGAAACAGGCTCTGACTGCTATATTATTTGCCAGAAATCAATGGGTGAGTAAGTAATACAGCCAAAATAAAATCAGAGTATTTATCAAAGTTCCCAAATTGTGTTACTACTTTTGTTTGGTTGGTTTGATTTTACTTGAATAGTGATTATAAAATTCATCTAGTAAAATAACTGGCTAAAAAATTTCTGGTGAAAAATGAGGCGGTCTCTCCAAAACATAAAAGAAAGCTACAAGTTACTACTACAAATTAAAACAATGTGGAGGCTGTCTGTGGTGGCTCATGCCTGTAAGCCTAGCACTCTGGGAGGCTGAGGCAGGAGGATCACTTGAGCCCTGGGGTTCAAGGCTGCAGTGAGCTATAATCATGCCACTGCACTCCAGCCTGGGCAACAGATGAAGACCCTATCTCTAAATAAATAAATAGATAAAACAGTGTGGAAATGGTTCCAGAATACCTAAACCATTTGAGGTTTACCATGGATGTGGTGGTGCATGAAGTAGAACAGAAAGTCCAAAAACAGTTAATTTTGAAATTTTCATAGGATAATAGCCTTATTTAGAATTAGTGGCAAAAAGATGAATTAATTGTTAAATAATTGGGTTTGGGACAATGGGTTAATTATATTTTTTAAGTTAGATTATTATCCACACAATACTGAATAAATTCAAAATAAATTAAAGATTTTAATGTAAAACACAAAATTATAGGAGTACTAGAAAAATTTTAAGTGGAATACATTATAGCCTTTGGGTGCAAAGAACCTTTCTTAGCATGACATCAAAGCTAGAAGTCACGAGAAAAAATATTCTTATAGGAATAATTGTACAACCGTTACATTTCTACTATTTGATGTCAGTTGCCAAACAGTTTTAATGTTAATGACATGTAAAATGCTTAGCATATAGTTTTGCATGTTTTTTTTTTTTTTTTTTTTTTTTTTTTTTTTTTTTTTGAGACCGACTCTCACTCTGTTGCCAGGCTGGAGGTGCAGCAGCATGATCTCAGCTCACTGCAACCTCTGCCTCCCGGGTTCAAGCGATTCCCCTGCCTCTGCCTCCTGAGTAGCTGGGACTACAGGCTCGTGCCACCCCACCCAGCTAATTTTTTTTTTTTTTTTTTGTATTTTAGTAGAGAGGGGATTTCACCAAGTTGGCCATGATGGTCTCAATCACCTGACCTCATGATCTGCCTGCCTCGGCCTCCCAGAGTGCTGGGATTACAGGTTTGACCCACCGTGCCCGGCCTTTACATGATTTTTTAAAAGCAGCATACGAAACTGTTTACTCCATATTTTATGTTATTTTGAGAATGTAAATTAAAATACCTACAAGAAGAAACTGTGAAAAATATCATCAGTAGTTATCTCTGGGTAGTAAGATTGTGACTGGTTTTTATTCTGTTATCTATTTGTGGTTTTTAAAGATTTCTTATATTTGTAATTTTTATAGACAAAGAAGAATAAAATAAATATAATGAAATTAATAATTATGTAAAATTTGCTATATATTTCAGAGTTTTCTTGCCTATTAAATACTTATTTTTGTAAATAATAATGAGCTATCCTTAGCCAAACATGCAGTACCCAACTTTGACATCCTTCTCCTCTCTGTCTTGCCACTTTGGCCCCTCTTTAAGCCAGCTGTTAGTAAACATTCTGCACTCATTTTCTGTTAGACTGCAGATCAATGTTCAAATGCAATAAGCCCTGAGTACCTGTAAGTCCTAAGAAAGGATTGGTGTTACCTGTACCTCCCCCTATCACGGGCAAACAAAGCCTTCTTTGTAGCCATCAGCATCAGTGCTCTTACACATTCTAACTTAAAGTCTAAAAGACAGCATGGAGCTTTCTGAAGGATAAAGACAATGCGTAGCCTTTAGAGGCTTATGTCTTCACCTTCTGCAAATTCCAATAAAATGAAAATGGGAGAATGAAAATGGTACCATTTAAACTAAAGCAGGAAATGGGGTATTAGTGTGTGTGAAATTTCTGCAAAATTTAGATGAAATACTGGACAGAACAGGGAAACTTGTCTCTGTGAAATGCCTGCCTATGGAGACCAGTGGGAGCCAAAACTAACAGGCATGCAGTTAGCAGACCATTTAGAAAAGAGCTATCTTGTTCAGCAGAATACCAGACAGACTCAGGAATTTGTGGCATCAGAAACAGGCAGCATCAAGCTGTGTTGGGGCCCGTCCTCCACCTCCACCCAGAACACCAACATTCAAGTGCCCAATCCACTCCATCCCACCCAAGTCGGAAGATGTTGTGTTTTGTTTTTATTTTCTCATGGAAAAGTTAATGAGAGAAGCTAGGGATTTGGAAGCCCTGGCCTTAGCTGAAAGCGAAGTGAATCATGAGACTGGAAACAGGGGTGCTTATTCAAAATGTGCATATAGCATGGTTACATCCTTGGCCGTTGGCAAAGACAGCATCCTGGTCACCCAGACATTTCTGCAGAAACTGACTAGCTGCAGAGAAAGACCTCCACATTCTGATTTGTGGAATTCCTCAAACAAAACAGCCAGCTCCCCACCACTTAACCCAAAATGAAGTTTTCCAGTTGGTAATCCCCATCCAAGTTCACAGAAGATGTTAAGGAAAAAAAAAACAACATGAAGAAGAGCCCAAAATAAAGAAAAATGAAGTCAAAAGAGATCACAATAATGTAGGAGCTAAAAGAAGAAACACAATGCATTCTATTGCATCCATAAAACAAGAATAAGATGTTATAGTAAAAGAAAAATCAGAAAACAAAGAATTCCTGAAAAGTAGAAAGATAGAAGACATTTTAAAAATCCAAAATGTGGGTGGGATATAGGATAGAAGAAATCTACACACAGAACAGAAAATGAATATTCAACAAATATTGACTGCAAACCTCCCACATCCCAGGCAGTGTTTCAGGTGGTGGGAATAACAAAGTGAACAAAATTGAAAGAAATCTCTGCCCTCGTAGAACTGACATTCCATAAAAAGAAGTGAAATATATGAGAAAAAATAAGGTAGTAAAGGACAAATCCAGGTGACCCAATACCCTAGAAAATACAAATTCCAGAAAAAGCAGAGAACAGAGAGATGGAATGAAACTGTCAAAGAAATAGTACAAGAAAATTTTCAGAACCAAAGCATACAATTCACTAGATTGAAAGAACTAAACAAATGTCTGTCACAACCAAAGAAAAAAGGTACATGTAATAACAGATCAGAAATCCAAAGATGGAGATACCTAAATAATATATCTAAAGATCTAGATCTAAACATAAGTTACCTGCAAAGAAAAAGAATTAGAATTCTCAGTAGAAATAATGAACATTGTAAGGTGCCAGATTGAGGCCCAATATATTATGGAGAAAATCTTTTTAACTTAGATACCTATAACTAGTCATATTGTTAAGTCAATTATGAGAACAGAATAAAGATATATTCAGGTGTTTGAGTACCCAGAAATTAAGCTTCCATTAACTCTTTTGTACATTGCTACTGGAGAATATTGTCCAGGATATTAGACAAGAAACATCCTTGTCTAGCTCTCCTATAGGAGAGCTTCAAAATAAGTTCAAGGCTAATGGTGGTATGAAAGTCCAGAATTACAACGAATCTAAATTAAAATAAGAAGGTGAAGGGTCCAAGTTATATAATTGTGAATGTTATAATACAGACTTGAATGTGAATGCAACTCCAAAGAATGTACTCATAAATTTCCACCAATAATCCACATGGCACATCAAAAGCCCAGACCTGCTCTGAAGAGGACAAATCCATTATAAAGATCATTATTATGTAACAACCTTGAAAACGCTAAGCTGAGAAGTTATCTGCCTGGACAAGTGTGTTATGTCTATAACAGAGACCCTGGTGTTAAAAAGAAAGAGGTGGATCGACATGTATGTATGGAACAATCTCCAGACATATTGGTAAGTGAAAACAAGCAAACTGTAGAATTCTTACTTAGGACACCAAACTTCATGCTATAAAAGTGAAAGGCACATTTAGAAATATGTTTGTATCTACAGAGAATTATCCTCTGAAGAAAATTCAAGAAACATAGTAGTTTTCTCTGAGGAAGAGAACCAGAAAACTGGGAGACAGGGGTGGAAGAATTATTTAGTCTCACGGAATTTCTTTACCATACGCATGTTTATTTAATCAAAAACGGATTCATTAAATTTATAAACAAAGTTAATGTGTACACTATAAACAGAGTTCAGGAGACTAAGAGAGAAAGTCTTAAAGAATCCCATCATACATCCTCAGAATTTTAAAAAATTTCTCTCCCACCTCAGAATTACTCACAAAGTCTCATGTATTTTCTCCAAGTCATTTTCTATTTAGTCACTAAAAATCTGATTTGCAAAACGATGTGTACATGTTATCACTTCCACATCATTACTAGCTGGTTTATTTTATCAATCTCCATTAATATTATGTGCATTTAGATACATCTTTATACTTACATTTGCTTGTAAATTTTATTTATTCATTATTCTTCAATACATTTGCATGGGTTAGTTTATTATTATCTATATTAAAGAGAAGAAAATGAGATATTAGACAGTAAGTTAATTTTCCATTATGATGAATGAAGTCAGGACAATGAAGTACTTAATTGGGATCTAGAAATTTTGGGGTTTGTCAGTATCATTAAATTGCATAGCCTTGAAAATGAGCCAAACTTTCCAAATATCAGGCTCCTGGCAAATGTTCAGCAGCATCTACTGCACAGAACACAGTGTAGGAAGCACATGAGAAAAACGTTTGTAGCTTGGTTTCTTCCTCCCTAAGAAAAATGTCTTTGGGGAGAAATAAGACTCATGGACCCATGGAAGTAACTACGTGGAATAGAGCTCCATGCAATTAGTTTCAACTAAATAATATGGAAAAAAAATGTAAAAAGAACTAAAAAATGTCCCAGTTGCAGTGCTTAGAAAAGGTTTTGTTCAGGGGAGAGGATTTAAGCCAATATTGAAGAGTGGATGAGATTTTTTATTAAACAGATGATCCAAGTATCCAATATAATTTAAATAAGAAACAGTTTACGTAAGTTTACCTTGGCCATGTTATTTCATCCACTTAATGACCTAATTAAATCACTCACCATCACTCATCATTTTGTGGCAAGGAGTTGTTAGAAAATTCCTTCTCTTCCCCTTCAATCATCACTCTTCTCTTTCCCTGCTCTCACTCTCTTTCCCATTCTTCTCTCTGTCCCCTCACCCCACCGACAAAATAAATGGATCAGCTGTAAAGTTATTTTTGAAAAATTCAAGGATGTTATGCTTGAACATTCTATTACAGGCTTTTGTGTGGATACAGACAGAGTTAAAGGTCCAACTACATGTTCCACAGGTCTTCCACATTCCATTATCCATTTCAACAGACTTTTTTCACCCTGAATTTCACATGATGTGTCAGCTTGAATTCTTCCAAGTTTATGGTGGAGAGCATGTGGAACCATGACATGGGGAAGGACCTTTCCTTCACCGGCCTGCAAATGTGTTCAGAATTCCCTGCTTCATGCAGGGACCTGCATTAACATATTCCATCTTCCCAAAGTAGGCCCTTTGTGGAAGCATGAAGACATCAATTACCCAACTTACCTCGGCTTCCACCTGTCCAGGGGGACTAATTGAGAGAAAGCCATTGACAGCATCATCAGGGGTGCTGGTGTGTCAGGCAGGACATCACAAATCCCTCAACTCTTTCAAACAGGTTTTGCTCTCTCCTGGCTATTGTCCTGCATCCTGCTCTCCTAAAGCGAACACTCATTACTTAAACAGATTCATTCTACATCCAGTTGCTGACTGTCTCAGGGATCATTTTCCATGACGTACAGCTGTGCTGCATCAGGCCCCATGGCATTTCTGCCCCAACCCAGTCACATCAATTCACCACTAGATTCCCAGTCCTCACCTGTTGATAGAGCTGTCTAGGGGGACACAGCAACCTCCTGTAGAGAAGTTACCCCAGAAAGTTCTTGGTGTTTTTCTCCGGCCTTTCTTTATGTATAACAATATGCCTCTACCTAATGCTGAAGACACTTTTTCAAGAATTCCATCTGCTATATGTGACGGTTCTCAAACTAACAGCCTTTTGGTTGTCTCAACACTACCACTGCTTTCTTAATGATTCCTGGCACTGGGGGTGATTTGGGAGATGGATATTAGGGCCAAGGGTGAGAAATGCTGAAATTCTGCCCTGTCAATGTTATGACAACATTTCCCAGGAAGCACTCTCAAAAGGAACTCCAGCCCGTAGGAAGACAGGGTGCTCCTTTATTGCCATCTGGGCTT
Organism: Homo sapiens; assembly: GCF_000001405.40. NCBI lineage: Eukaryota > Metazoa > Chordata > Mammalia > Primates > Hominidae > Homo > Homo sapiens. The sequence continues at coordinate 35,799,084 of NC_000010.11, read as the reverse complement.
GGAACCCACACCCAAGGCTGGGCCTCTCTGCAACCTCAGGCTGGAACTCTATGCTTAGGCTCAGGCTCCAAACAGGATCTTTCCTTTATCTTCCAAATCCCAATCTTGAAAGGGATGGACCACAGCTACCAGCAGCATTCCCAGACCTCAAACCTACACTCAAGAAGTGAGAGGAGGGCCAGACGCAGGCAACTTCCAACAAAGAGAGGTGGCTCATGGGGCCTTGCCTGTTAAAGCATGGTGACCTTGTCTACTTGTAAAATAGCCAATCATGGTCTTGGGATGTGACCAATCAGTCAGTGACCCTGCATTCAAGGAAGGGAACTGGGAGGCAGGAGGAGACTCAGAACTTGCCTCTCCCTTGTGCAACTTTGAATCACTTTACAATACTCGGTGTGTGTGTGATCAGTTTCTCCCCAGGAATCACAAGCTTCCTGAGAGCAAGAGCACACATATGTCCTTTGGAGGTTTTGTTTTTTGGTTTTTTTTTTTTTTTTTTTTTTTTTGAGACTGAATTTCACTCTTGTTGCCCAGGCTAGAGTGCAGTGGCGTGGCTCACTGCAACCTCAACCTCCCGGGTTCAAACAATTCTCCTGCCTCAGACTTCCAAGTAGCTGGGATTACAGGTGCCTTCTAGCACGCCCAGCTGATTTTTTTTTTTTTTAAGTAGAGATGGGGTTTCACCATGTTGGCCAGGCTGGTCTCAAACTCCTAACCTCAGGTGATCCACCCACCTGGGTCTTCCAAAGTGCTAGGATTACAGGCGTGAGCCATCGCACCTGGCCTCCTTGGTGTGTTTGAATTTTTGGATGCCATCTTGGCCTTCCTGATCTCAGCTCCCCTTCTTTGAGTCAACGTCTCACTTGGTAACATCCTGCTGCAGCAACAGGATCCCATGGCAATTTTGTCCAGACGGTCTTGGGCTGAAGGAGACTTCCTAAAACAATTCAGAACACAGCCGCCCTCCTCATCAGGCTCCTGCTGGTACGTGGAGCCCAAGCAAAGTTGTAAATCCTCTGGTTCCCATGAAACCCAGCACTGGTCATCTCCTGTTGCCTTCAACAAGCAAAAGAATACAAGATTTAATGGGCCAGTAATTTGAGATATCCTTGAATTTTAAAATCACAATAAAAACAAATTAAGACAAGAAAACAACCATCATTTCACCCAAAATGATCACAACCTGAATATATTTAGCAGTTGGCAGAAAGATAGCTCATTTGTGGGGCAGAGATCCGTGTTCAAGTTCTAGTTCTAGTTCTAGTTCTAGTTCATCTACTAATTAGCTACTTGATCTCAGCCTACTTGGTTCACTTGGACCTCCATCTCTTCATCTGTAAATGAGGAGGTGCAAAGTCTAAGGCCACTTTCATCCTTGTAAATTTACTAAGTTTAGAAACATTTAAGACTTTTAGCTAAAAGTGTGATAAAACAATTGATTTGTGCATTTGTGCATTTATAAATGTAAATTGGTCTTTAAGGCGCACAGTCTTGGCTATCAGGAGTAAAACAGTCCCTCCATCCCTTTACTCAGATAATGTTAAAAATATTCAAAGTGTACATGGGGCAATTTGGTGTGAATAATTTTGATTTAGTTTTCTTTTTTAAAATAAGAAAGTCAAGTGGTGGGAAACACTGGTAATGTGAAACTAAGATCAAGGCCAATAACAACATTATGATTCTGACTGTAACCTTAAGTCACCCACAAGCCACGTCAGTGCTCACTGGAGTACAGTACCTAAGAAGCACACATTTCACACAATGATGGAAATTCACAAAAGTGCACACATATGAACTTCTGCATTTCTGCCCTTGTTAAGGTTATTTAACATAGTTAATCTATTCTATAATTTGGAGGAAGTTGCATTTGACAAATGTACGTTTGGAGAGGTTAGTTTGGAAAAGAGAGGGAAACACCTTTCTATCTAAATATTACACCAATCCAGAATAAGTTATTATATTTTCTCCTAAAGAATGATAGGTTATCAGGTTTAATCCAAAATAAAAGTATCCAGCTTCTATCGAAAATAGTTACCTGATTCAAAAAATGTATATTTCATCTGCTTTAAACACTGTCCAGACAAATCATCGGTGGAAAGCGGGGTATGGTTAGGGGGTCACCGACATTACCGTGAAGCCGCTTTATTCTCAGCTGCCTTCTGCTGCCAGAACCTTTGACAGCTGACATACTTCCATCATTGCTTCAGGGAGAAATCATGAAGTGCCATCCAGAGAGACTCGGGGAAGTGCAAAGTGACAGCAGGGAGAGCAAACATTGTCACACAGGCCCAGAGAGGCAACAGCTCTGCAGGAGTGGAGGAGTTCTAGCAACTTCTCTGCGTTTCAATGGCACACACGCAGCGACTTAGAGGTATGGACTTTATTAGGAATTAAATTGTTCCCACCGCTGCTCTGCTCCTTCAGGCCACAAACACGTTGGAGGATTATTTTGAAATTTTACTTCCGCAGCAAGCTCTGTCTGGGGAAGGCAAATGTGCAGAAGAGAGAGACTTCATTCAAAATCTGCACAATCAGTAAGAAAAACAGACAGCAGAATCTGAGACTAGCTCAGGGAAATGTGCAGTTAAAGAATATGAAAATAGAGGCTGGGCGAGATGGCTCATGCCTGTAATCCCAGAACTTCGGGAGGCCAAAGCAAGGGGATCGTTTGGGGCTAGGAGATTGAGGCCAGCCTGGGCAACATAGTGAGACCCCATCTTTACCAAAAAGACAAAAATAAGCCGGGTGTAGTGGCAAGCACCTATAGTCCCAGCTACTCAGGAGGCTGAGGCAGGAGGATCACTTGAGCCTAGAAAGTTTGAGGCTGCAGTGGGCTGTGATTAGGTCACTGCACTCCAGCCTGGGTGACAGAGCAAAACTCTATCTCTAAAGAAAAAAACATAAAGAGTATGGAAATAGGGTAGGAAATATTTAATCTCTGATGAGATTTCAGTACAAATGACTGGAAAGTAACAAGAAGATTATATCTTTGGGTGAAGGGAGCCAGTAGAGGTGGCTAGGAGTCCCAGCACAGTCACTGTGTGACCCAAATGCCTCTTGAGAACTCCAATTCTAAAAAAACAAAGGCTGTAACAGACATATAGATCTCAAACTTTTAGAATTATGTAAAGCATAATATGGTGGGGAAAAACAAAAGAGATTTGTTAGACCTACCTGTGTTCAAATCTTTTTCCAAACTTGTGCAAACCCAAACAAGTCCTTAAAGCTCCCTGAACCTCAGTTTCCTCATCTAAAAAATGATGGTGATCATCCTGCCTTTTAGGTCTAATGGGCATTGAAGATGATGCAACACGCAGGGCTTTGAGTTAGCTCTCAGGAAAGAGCAATGATTATTATTTTATTGCAGAAACCACCCGGGGACGGTAAACGCTTAGCGAGGAAGGTGGTGTTTGCCTTGGCTGATGCTCCATGGTGATGTGAACAAAACTCTGGGATTTGAGGGAGGCCACCTGATGCCTGGCAGACATCGAAACCACTCCCAAGGTCCATGTGTCTGGCAAACTCTTTCCCCGTCTCAGCATTCAAAATGGTATTGTTCCCCAGTCCAGCACAACCCACAGCTATACATCAGTTTCCTGCAAGGTGAGTCATGGTAACGTGAGAGCATGGGGCACACAGCCCACGACAGAAATTATGTCAACTGCATTTCCTTCTCCAAAACAGATTAGGAGTCTCGGTGGCACTGATCCATTCAAACTCACTCTTCATGCTGGATGTCACGCACACACTGATGGCCCCTGAGATGCAGAGCCAAGCCCAGGGAGCCACTGGCCTTGTCCTTATTTGCACAACTGACCTGCCTCGGCCCTTGGAGGAGGGATGTGGCCAGGGGTGTTGTTCTCTGAGGGATCTGTTGTTTTTTTCTATCCAGTCAGGGGCTGCTGTTCTAGGCTTTCCACCGCTGAATCTCAGTTTAGTCTCTCAAGGATTTTTACTCTGTGGATGTCCCTGTGCAACTTGCCTTCATGGGAATCAGAGTTGCTGCATAGCGACAGATAGACAACCCTCCCTGAAAAGCTGCCAGCCCAGGCTGGGGCTTTGATAGCAGAAGAGGAGGCTGGAAACCAAGAGCCTGGGAGCCAGGCTCCTCTCCCTCCACCAGGACGGGCCTCTGTCCAATCTACGCGAATCTGAGAACAGCAGCCATTCAGCCAACCAGGAGTTTATTTCCAAATGAGTCTTCCCACGACCTCGATAGCATCCCCAGGCGCAGCCCTGCAGCGGCACCAACCAGAAGCCGAGGGCCCTGCACCCTGGGCTGAGAGTCCCCAGCCACGGACTTAGCTTCCTACTGCCTTCCTTCCTAGACCAGGCTCCGAGGAGGAGAGCTGTGCTGTTGTCCACGCTTGGGCCTCAGCTGGCCAACAGGGAACTGTCTGGTTTTAGAGGAATGCACAGTCACAATAGGCCACCGCCTGGCCAGCTTCTTCCCAGATGAGACTTTCAACAGCTACCTCTTGAAGCTGTGGCAGCTTCCCTCCTTATGGCTTTCATGTCACCTTCCCCTGTACCCCTGCCCTTCACAGACAGGTCTTACCCAGGCAAACCTTTCCAGGCCACCCCCAAACAAGCCCAATCCCTGGTCTGTTTCCCTGGAGGCTTTCTCACATCCCTCCCGTATCGCCTGACTCCCGCTATAGACAACATGTTCCTGGAGAGCAAGGTCTGAACCATGATTTTTCTGTGAGCCTTTACACGTGGCATAGTCCCCAAATTAAAATTTAAAATTTCTTTATTAACTGGTTTTTTTTTCGGAGACAGGATCTCACTCTGTCACCCAGGCTGATGTATGGTAGTGCCATCATAGCTTACTGCAGCCTCCAGCTCCAGGGTTCAAGTGATCCTCCTACCTCAGCCTCTCAGGTAGCTGGAACTATAGGTGTAAGCCATCACAACTGGCTGTAGGTATTTGAATTTACATTCTTAAAATAGCATAGAATATGGAGTGAACAGTTTTGTAGGCTGCTTTTGCATGATTTTTATCATGCAAAACTATATGCTAAGCATTTTACATGTCATTAGCATTAAAACTATTTGGCAACTGACATCTTTGAACGACCATCTTTGTACAATTGTACAATTATTCCTATAAGAATATTTTTTCTCACAATTTCTAGCTTTGATGTTATGCTAAGAAAGGCCCATTGTACCCAAAGGCTATAACATATTTCTCTTAAAATTTTCCTAGTACTCCTATAGTTTTGTGTTTTACATTGAAATCAGCCTCCAAAAGTGCTGGGATTACAGGCATGAGCCACCGTGCCTGGCCAAAATTTAAAATGGATTAAGCATCTAATATGTAGTTGACATTCTACACGTTTCAAAGATACCATTCTCGTGATAATCGTTTAAATTTTATCATCACCATTTTACAACTTCACTTTTAGGGAAGACCTGGAGCCATTAAGTAATTTGAGATTTTGTGGATAATAATCTAACTTTAAAAATATGATTATCCCATTGTTCCAAACCTAATTATTGAGCAATTAATTTATCCTTTTGTCACTAATTCTAAATAAGGCTATTATCATATGAAAATTTCAAAATTAACTATGTTGCCCAGGCTGGTCTTGAGCTCCTGTACTCAAGCAGTGCTCCCTCCTCAGCCTCCAAAACTGCTGGCATTACAGGCATGAGCCATTGTGCCTGGCCAAAATTTAAAATTTATTAAGCATCTAGTATGTAGTTGACATTCTACATATTTCAAAGATGCCATTCTTATGACGATCATTTAAATATCATCATCACCATTTTACAACTTCGCTTTTAGGGAAAACCTAGAAGGAGTAAGAAACTTGTGCAAGGCTGGGCGCTGTGGCTCACTCCTATAATCCCAGCATGTTGGGAAGCTAAGGTGGGTGGATCAGCTGAAGTCAGGAGTTCAAGACCAGCCTGGCCAACATGGTGAAACCCCGTCTCTACTAAAAATACAAAAATTAGCCAGGCTTGGTGGCAGGCACCTGCAATCCCAGCTACTGGAGAGACTGAGGCAGGAGAAAAGCTTGAACCTGGGGAGGTGGGGGTTGCAGTGAGCCGAGATCATGCCATTGTACTCCAGCCTGGGCGACAAGAGTGAAACTTTCTCTCAAAAATATATTAAAAAAAAGAAACTTGTGCAAAATCACATTAGTGATCAACTGATTCCAGAGAAGGACATTGCCATTAACAGTCTGAATTACACATAGTAGGTGCTCAGTAAGTGGCTAAGTTGAGAAGTAGATGCAAAAATGCATTTAAATATTATCTCCCTGCCACGTACTCTGCATCTCTTTAATATAAATTTTCTCAATTTTAGGGAAATATGCAAAGGGACTGAAATGGCTGAGATATGGTTACATAATGACTGTTTAACAATGTCAGGTATAAGATGGTTTTTCTTAATGCTGATGAACAGCTTTCTCTCTCACAGAGGAATAAACAAGTGGGAACAGTTGTTCATTGAAGCAGGAAAAAATTACTCTCAACGAGCTCGACCACGGAAGTGAGATGTGAGATTTTAGCATCTCCATCTCAGGAGGTTTTTGAAGCAGAGAATGCAGAAACCAGCTGTCCTGGATGGATGAGTCATCCAGCAGGTCCTGGTGTCCGTGGGGCTTAAGCAATGTGCTCATAAGAGGCCACCTTCGAGAGGGGTCATTCATCCTTCATCGTAGGTGTCCCCAGGCCTGGAGTAGCGGGCCTCTTTTTTGAAAACACTGGGGCTTATTGCAAAAATGGAATTTCACACTCAACCACAGAAAATGCCTGGTTGCCATTAGACAGGTTGGCTCTGGACAAAATTGAGATGTAGTATTTCACATTTGTCTTGAATTGTTCATCTTCCCTTTTCTCCAAGCCTGTTCCTATACCCTCCTCTTTTGACTCCCCCCTTTCTCTTCTCATTCTTTCCTTTGATCAAATTCTTCCCCACAAGCGGTTTTTGCTCCTTCTGCATGTGTACTGTGCACACAATAAGTGCCTTTGAAGTATCCGCCCTCCAGAGCTCCTCTGGCCTTGTGGTCACGTGAAACACAGATCCTGGTCCTGATGCAGGTAGGTGGGCATAACACCCTCCTCAAAACCTACCAGCCTCATCTGTGACGTGGGATTCCTACCACGAACCCATCTCCATGGATGCTTTTAGTCCTTTTAAAGTTGGCTTCCATGAGATGACAGCCGTGCTGGGGAACTGACCTCAGTACCACGTCTCGCACGTGCAGCATCAAGCACCCTTGTTACACCCGAGGAAAATGAAAATACACACCTTTCTCTCTCTGGTAACAATTTTATTTTCAAGGCAATTGTTATTCATTAATCTCTACTTTTATGAGTAGTGGCTTACATGAATCAGTAATCAAATTTATAAGAGAATATACAAAGACTTCATCAGAAGCTTTTATCCTGCGCTGAGATCATAGTTAAATACTGTCACAAAAGTGAATAGTTTGAGGCTGATCTGGTAACGACTGTGTTCACATTTTAAAGTGAGTTTATCTAATGATGAATGGTTACGTTTTTTAAAGCAGGGAAGATAAGAGGTGTGTCTGCTGCTACAAGCAGGCGCCAGGCTCTTAAGAGAGGGCCCCCTTTTTCCCCGCCCATGTCACTGTGGCACGTTCTAAAACTAATGCAGAGTGGATGCATTTCGTCAGATTGTGTGGGACCTTCCTGAAATAGCAATTGAAGTTAGTTATGAAAAGTCTCACTCTAACCTATGCA